>NC_000014.9:69308682-69611713 GCF_000001405.40 Homo sapiens
ATTGCCTAAACCAGGACAAGTGCTCATTCAGAAGGGCTCCAGAGAGCACAGGAATGTACACTGTAATTGTCTCAGGAAATCAAGTGTATTTTTACCTAGAAATGAAACTTCTGCTAAGTCAAAGAGTAATATTTTTAAATGCTGATGTTGACAAATAGCCTTCTGTCATGGTTATACCAATGTATCATTCACCAATGTATAAAAGCTTCTATTTCTTCAAACTGTCAAAATACTGAGAATTAATAATTATTCTTGAACTTTGCCAGATGAATTAGCAAGACATTATGTCTCATTTTAGTTTTTGACTTTTGTTTTCTGTAATTTTTTATTACTGGCAGAATCAACCAGATAGATCTTGCTTTAATTTGCATTTTTATTTAGTCATTAATGAGGTTGAACATCTTTTCATTTATTAATGGCCATTTGCATTTTATTTTTATTTTATTTTTCCTTTTTTAACATGTACTTATATTTATTATAAAAGGATATAACTCAGGAAAAGCCAGATGGAAGAAATGCATAAGGCAAGATATGGGGAAAGGGGCACAAAGCTTTCATGACCTCTTGAGATGTGCCACCTACGTTTCATCTTTCTTTCTTTCTTCCTTTCTTTTCCTTCTTTTTTTTTTTTTTTATTTGAGACAGGGTCTCACTCTGTCACCCAAGCTGGAGTGCAGTGGTACGATCATAACTTATTGCAGCCTTGAATTCCTGGGCTCCAGTGATCCTCCTGCTTCAATCTCCTGAGTAGCTGGGACTACAGCACGCACCATCATACCTGGATTATTTTTATTATTTTTTTGTGTGTTTGTAGAGATGAGGTCTTGCTGTGTTGCCCAGACTGGTCTTGAACTCCTGGCCTCAAGTGATCCTCCTGCCTTGGCCTCCCAAAGTGCTGGGATTATGGGCATGAGCCACTAGCCAGCCACACATTTCATTTTTCTATGAACTTCTTCATATCCTTTAAGCTTATATTCCTTTTTAAATATTGGTTCATTTCTTATTGATTAATAAGAGCTCTTTGTGTATTACAGAAGTTAGTTCTTTGTCATATTTTTATTTAATATTTTTTCCCAACGTGATGTTTGTATTTTGACTTTATGACATTTTTGACATATAAAAATGTTAAGTCTTTGTATAGTGTTTTCTTTTATGACATATGGGCTTTATGGCCAAGATTGAAAATAAATGAAAAGTGACCAATTTTTTTCTTTATACTTTTAAGTTTCTTTTTCAGTTTAAATATTTGAGCTACCTGAAATTTATTTTGGTTGAAGAAATTAGTCCAGCTTTATTGATTTCCACATTGCCTAGTCACTTTTCCTAACATCATTCACTGAATGGCATAGCTCTCCCTCCCCACTGCCATTTGAAGTACAAGTGTATCTTATGCCAATCCTCCACATGTATTTGGGTCTATTTCTGATCTCTCCTCTATTGATCTGTTTATAGTAAGACATACTATAAGACTACAGGTACTACTAGTATAGTAGTATTCTACTATATACTACTATATAGGATATAGATCTATATCCTATAGATATAGGATACTATTATATGAATAGCATCTGTAGTCTTATGGTATATCTTAAAACCTGGTAGGTAGTTTTTTTTTCAGATTTTCTCTGATTGTTCTCTCATGTTTAAACTCTTCCAGCTGAATCTCCCTTCCCCCAACACAGCTGTTATTTGATCAGAGTTGCATTAAATTCATAGATTAAGTCAAGGAGAATGTATGTCTTTACATCACTGAATCTTTTCCAAGCATGAGCTGTGTCTTCCCTTTAAGGTCTGTTTAACTACAGGGTGGGTGGCCATAAAGGGAAACATGGACAAATATACCTAATCAGTGGTTTATTTCTATCACATTACAATACATGAAACTGTGTTGTTTTTACTAACAATGTATGGTTCAGTGTACTGTGCAAAACTGCAATAAATGCCACATTTCCATTGATCCCTGTACATGCATCTAAAATATGCTATGATCGGAACATTTGTGTCTCTGTTTTCTGATGGAATGAAACTGCCTTTATGGCATCCCAGAAGTAATCAAAAGGGTTTTTTCTGTCTAAAAAAAATTAGGGCTGGGTGCGGTGGCTCACACCTGTAACCTCAAGACTTTGGGAGGCTGAGGCAGGAGGATCACTTGAGCCCAGGAGGTTGAGGCTGCGGTGAGCTGTGATGGCACCACTGCACTCCAGCCGGGGTGACAGAATGAGACCCCAGCTCAATAAATAAATAAAATTTTAAAAAAATAGTATTATCCCTCTTTCCAAAATTTATGGCTACTTTGTGCCTTGATAAAATGCGGGCTACAGGGGTAGAGGCAGTCCAGGGGCATGGTCTTATTGAGGGGACAGGTCACACCTGCTCCAGCAGTGGTCCTGTCTTTGTGCTGCTGTAACAGAATATCACAGCCAGGGTGGCTTATAAACAACAGAAATTGATTTCTTACAGTTTCAGAGCCTGGAAACCCAAGATCAAGGCACCAGCAGGTTTGGTGTCTGATGAGGGCTGCTCTCTCTGTTTCCAAGATGGTACCTTGTTGCTGTGTATTCCAGAGGGGACAAATGCTGTGTCCTCGTATGGCAGAAGGTGAAAGGGCGTAAAGGTGTGAACTCTCTCTGAAGCCTCTTTTATAAAGGCATTAATCCATTCATGAGGGCAGAGCCTTTCTGACTTAATCACTTCCCAAAAGACCTTACTTCTTAATACCACCACAATGGGGATTAAGTTTCAACAGGAATTTTGGAGGGGACATATTCGAACCACAGCAGAGCCTCAAAGAAAGTCACACAAGAGGCAGGCTGATTTTTCCCAAGTTCTCCTTCCCCTCTCCCTTTTCCTTACATTTAATCTGATTCAAAAAAATCTGCCTTTGTCATGCTCTGTCCTATTGGTGGACATTATTGTGAGAGTATAACCTAACCGATTAATTACTAGTCACAAACCACAGGTAATGTGTTTCTAAATTTGACCCACAGTGCCAATAATGTGCCATATCGGCCACTACTCTGTTTTTGGCTCTCTCTTCTGAAAAGTGTTATAAACCGACATGCCCAGCTGGCAATCAAAGGCTTGCTGAGTTCTAATGTGTTGAATTGGATCCTGGCCTGCTGGTCCCGACCTCAGTTGGTGGGGCAGAAGGCTGTCACCATCTTTGCAATAGTCACACTATAAGTGTTCTATATGTTATACGGCCCATTATTGCTTTTTTTTCCCCCTTAATATGTTGGGGCAGGGGTGGTGGCTCACACCTATAATCCCGGCACTTTGGGAGGCCAAGGCAGGAGGATGGCTTGAGGCCAGGAATTTGAGACCCGCCTAGCGTAACATAGCAAGATCCTGTTTCTAAAAAAAAAAAAAAAAATCTGTCTATCTATCTATCTATCTATCTATCTATCTATCTATCTATCTATATCTATCTATCTGTCTAATATATATAGTCCCAGCTACTCAGGAGACTGAGGTGGGAGGATCACTTGAGCCTAGGAGTTTGAGGCTGCAGTGAGCTAGAATCATGCCACTGCACTCTAGGCTGGGCAACAGAGCAAGACCCTATCTCTAAAAAAAATTTTTTTTAAATTAACTGTGATCAGTCCGTGTTCGATAGATACTGACTGTGAAATACCTGAAGTACAATGATGGCATGCAGACCTTGACGCTTTGCGCTTGTGACTACAGCAGAAGTGGCACCGACCTGGACCCCATGTTAGCCCAGAGGGTGTTTCTTGGGGCCTCAGTTGCCTTGAGGTTGTCCTGTCTCAGCAGTTCATCCTGCTCATGTCCTTTTCCTCAGCCATAGAGCAGGACCAGGTTGTTTGAGGGACTGGTACCCTGAGCAAGAATGACTTTGTCTCCCGTTAGGTGTGACTGCTGCTGAGGGTCATCAGGACCTTGAGGGTGTCGCTGGCTGAGAGGACCCAGGAAATCTGGTGGTGTGCTGATTTGGTCTGAGTACACAAACTCTTGTATTTTTCTGTTCTTCCATGTTCTTTTGAGCCATAGTCAAGAAGCGCATGTCCAGGCCAAGGAGTGACAGCACTGGGCAAGTCCCTATCTGAGCCACGAGCTGATGCCCTGATCCTTGAGCCAAGGAAGGAAGCGACCTCCAGCCTGAGCTTGTCAGGACTCAGCTGTGTGCCGGGCACCAGAGGCCAGCCTGCTTTGGAGCTGAGGACTCAGAATTGGCAAGAGGGGATGCCAAGGACATCTGAGCCACAAGCTGGTCTGAAGGCACACAGAGAAAGCTTTGTGCTTAGGCTCTGTGGCCAGACAGCCTCAATTTTGGTCCCGGCTAAGCCACTCAGCAGCTATGTGACCTTGGGCATACTATTGTACCTCTAGGCCTCAGTTTCCACCTCTGTAAAATAAGAATAAGAGGAGCATTTGGAGATAGAAATAAGCCCTTGGCATAGCACCCAGTGCACAGTAGACCCTCAATGAGCCGTCAGCATCAGCTCATTCCTGTTGAAGATGCCCAGTCTTCCCCCCATACTCTGGGCTACAGCAGCTGTGGCTGGAAGGATCAGGTAGGGCTTTTGTACCCTTCACAGACTCAGAGATGCTTGATTTGCACTGGCGAAACTGATAAGCAGATGCAAGCCGAGCATCACATATCTCTGGCATGGACCAGCCTCACACTCCCTCCATCCGCAGATGGCCTCTGGGCTGGGCAAAGGGCGGGAAATGGAGACCTGGGGAGCCTGGTGGACCTGGAGAGGACCCTCGGGTCTGAGCAGAGACTGCCTGGAATGGCGGGCCTGATGCCTTGGCCTAGCCTTAGGTAGAGGACCCTGGGTGGCTCAGATCCCTAGGGGAATAAGCAGTGGGCCTCCCTCCACTTTCTTGGTGAGATCACTGGAACCACAAGCACTCATAAGGCCACAGGAACTCTTTCTCAGTGAAACCAGTAGTGTTGGAAAGCTGTGCAGTCATCAGTACCCCTGGAGGAGTCATATTAGGATGTGTTGGGAAATCTAACTGGAGGCCTTAGGTGGGTTTCCCCAGGCAGCTCCTATCTCGTGTTCTGGATATGTAATTAAACTAGGGCCTCCCAGGCCTGTGGGACAGAAGTGTTGCAAGGTAGTGGATTTCCATAGTAACCATGGTGGCTCTAGCTGAGTTTCAGTTGGCTCTGCTGATGGTGAAGTTCCTGGTCAATACAAATATAGGCCAAAAACCAGACTCGCGGTTAGCCTTCCTGGGAACGGGGTCAGAGGAGATAGCCTTTAAGGTCCCTCGTAGTTCCAAGATCCTGTGATTAGCCCCTCACCATCATGAGTTTGTACAAAGCAGCGGCTCTCAACTTGGTAGCACATTGGAACTGCCTGGAGAGCTTTAAAAACATCTGATGCTTTTGTCCCACCTCCAGAGATTCTGGTTTAGTTGGTCTTGGGTATGGCCTGGACATCAGGCTTTTTGCCATCTTCCCACGTGATTCTAATGTGTGGCCAAGGTTGAGAACTACTGACAAAAAGGCAGACAACGTATATAATAATAGTTAATAACAATTCGTTAGTTAATAATAATAATCACAATTTATGTGCCAGGCACTGTGCAAAGCACATTATATGCATTGCATTCTTGATAATTTCCATTTTCCAGATGAAGAAGAAACATGTTCAGAAAGGGAAGTGACTTTCCAAGGCCAGAGAGCAGTAAGAACTGCCATTCTATACCAGAGCCATGAGAGTTCAAAGCCCTGGCCAGTCACTTCTATAATTGCCACTTTTGAGGCAATGTGCAGCAGAAGATGGGGACATGTCTGGAGCAGACTCCTGAGGGACCCTTGATACTCCACTCAGGCCTCCCCTGTACCCAACCTGAGGTTCCTGGCCCTGTGCAACCTGCAGCACCTTGTCTGGTTGGATGAGACCACTGGCAGCCCAGTGGGGTTGGCTACTTCCTGAGGCAGGCTCAGGGAGGCCCTGTGGAACCCTCCTTTTCATTTGGAAGAGTTGGAACCTGAGACCTTGAGCTCAGAGATGTCGAATTATGTGCTTAGCTTCCCAGCTCTCATAATGAATGGCAGTCTTTCAACTTGGGACAGAGAATCAGGTAAGATTTTACTCCCAGGGGAGTGGGGAGTGGTTGGAAATCACATTTTATTCACCAGGTGTTTTTGGTTTATAGCAGACTCAGGAAAAAAGTCAGGGGCCATCCATAAAATAGGGCCAGAGCCTTTTTACTTGCAGTTTCATTGAAATTTAGTGAAAGGTAAACCCAGCAGGTACCTGTTTTACTGGCAGTAAAAGAAAATTGGGCAACAATTATTTAAAATGAGTCAGAGCTGTTTAAATCTAAAATTTAGGGGTATGTGTATGTTTTAAAAGAAAGTTTACAAGGCTTGGAGATTTGGACTGAACTGTTTTTGATGAAAATGACATGGAAAATATTTTCCTTTCTTATTTTAAACCTTCTTCTTTGCTGTTTGTTTCCTAAATTTAGCAGGAAGCAATAAGCAAATCTAGCTGGAAAAAAAAACTGAAGCAAGTTAGGGAAGTTTCAAGGTCTAATCGAAATGATAGACTGAAAATAAAGCTGTCCAAGGTGAGACAGTAATTCTTCCCATTTTATAGAAAAAAGTCATTATTTCAACTTAAACCATTTCAGATGTGATTGACCTATTGGACACGGAAGTGCTGGATTTGGCACTCCCTAAAAGTACAAAGACTGGGGAGGGAGGCAACTGTCTAAACATCAGCCAAGAACTCTCAGCAGGAGGCTGGAAGGATGTGGGAGGCTCGTCAGCCTGTCACTCACCATCTCCCCAACCTTCCTTCCTCACCATGGCAACACCAGGGCTTCTGGAGCCATGGTCCAGATGGAACCCCCAGTCTCAAAGCCTGAACACCGCCCTGCCTGCTGGGGAAGGCTGGGAATGCCCCACCCAACTCTAGACTTAAGCCACTGGCCAAATGCCAAAGACGGGCCTGATATTTTGGAATGGAGTGTTGACACCAGTGACTGTCATTGTTGTCAGTGACTCACTTGTTGGGTTTTGGGTTTGACTTTGTTTTTTACTTGTGGAGAATGATTTTCTATTTATTGGAAGAACTGCAGGACTGATATCTCTGAACTTTTGGTCACTAGAGAAGAACACCCAACTCAAATCAGTTTTTAAAAAAAAAAATATGTAGGTAGGTAGGTAGATAGATACTTTACATCTCTTGGTTCTGATTGTTTCTTCTTGGTTCATTTTTCAGACAAGGTTTCTCCATGTGATGGACAAGAAGATTCTCATTTTGCACGCTTGGCAGTGCTGGCAAAAAAAAAAGTTCATTGTATAGAAAAGTCTCAGGGAAGATTCTGATTGGCCCAGATCAAATCAAATGACCATTCCTGAACCAATCACTGTGTCTAGAGGTGCAGTAATGAGATTGGCCTAGCCAGGGTCTTGTGCTCACCCTTGTGGTGGTGCTTGGGGTGTTGGTGGGACAGGGGACAGTGAATGACAGTCCTGCCAGAAGCCTATGAGTGGGGAAGAAGATCTCCAAGACAGGCAAACTACCATACGCCGGCTTGGTCCACCTCAGTCTCAAGTATTGTATTTGGCCAAGGGTGCAGGGATGGTGGGGAAAGGAGGAAGGAGAGGCTTGAGATTACACATGTATTCAGTAGCTATTGTTTTTGAGTGCCTACAATCACCAAGGTTTTTCTCTGGGCTTTGGGATTCAGCATGAGACAAAACAGAAAACCCCTGCCCTAGTGAAGCTTATAATCTTGTGGGGAGAGGTAGCCAAAACCCTAAAATAAATAAGTAAAGCACATATAGACTGTGAGATTGCAATGAGTGCCTTAGGAGAAGCAAAACACTGCAGGAGGGCAGGGAATGAGAGGGTCGGGTTGGGGTCACAGAGTTACATGTGGTGGTTGGGGAAGGCTCACAGAGGAGGTGAGGTTTGAGCAGCGTCCTGCAGGAGGTTTGAGCAGGGCCCTGCAGGCCCTACACAGAGGAGCCTTCCACAGAAAGAGAGTGTGGCTGGAGCAGAGCAAGTAAGGGGCAGCAGTGGAAGCAAGTTCAGCAAGGTGACACCTGCCCAGAGAGCGCCTCAGGCCATTGTGAGCTTGGGGGCTTGTAGTCTGTGAGGGGGGGGGGCACTGAAGGTCACGTGATGTATCACAGGGTCCCATTTGTTTGCTGTTTTCTCTCCATTTGATTATAGGTCCTTTGAGAGCAGGGACAATATTTAGGTATTCATTCATTTACTTATCTATTCCTTGATTCAGCAACCACCTGTTGAGTACCTACTGTGTGCCAGGTGCAGGGAGCCCCATGAGGAAGAGCTCACCATCTAGTGGAAAAGAAAGAGAAGTAAAGCACAAATGTCAGTGTCATGTGACATGTGCCCCTGCTTGACATAAGAATTCCACCAACAACCCAAAATACTTTCACTACCCCCTCCAGAGAGGGCAGCCAAGCTAGTCCCATCTAGTGGCTCCAAGCCCAGGATCTCCAGTCTCTTGAGCTGGTCCAGATATAGCTCCTCATGGTCCTGCAGCCAAGTGCCAAATGATGCATTTACTCCCTCGCCAATACACTTAGTGAGCAACATGGATGGAATGCAGGCTAGCAGCAGCACAGTTCCCCTTTAGAAGAGGGGAGGAGGGAAACAGCATCCACTGGTCACACGACATCTGCAGACTCCTGCTCCAGTGGGAGTCAGGGTGGGGTGAGGTTCTGTGGTCAGTTCTCCAGCTCCGCTCTGAGCTTGGGGTTGGCGGTTTCTTCTTTCTGATCCTCCATGGCCAAGCCTGGCATGGGATGGGGCATGAAAGGGACCAGATGCTTGGATTCCTGTTCTAGGGGTTATGTTGCCTTTTGTTTATTTCCACATTCCCAGCCTCTTACCCAGTGTATGTACATAGTAGGTTTTCACTCAGTATTTGCTGAGTTAATACCAGTGTTGTTAAGTACACTGCCTATGAATACACAGGGCAGACATTGAATCAGGCTATGGAGCATGGGAGGGCATCAAAGACGATTTTGTGAATTCATGACTTGGGTGGAACTGCTCATCTCGGCAACAGGGAATGCAGGAGAAGCAGCAGCTTTGGGATAAGTGGGGAATTTGTTTTGAGATGCCAAGTTAGGGGCACCCGTGGGACATTCAAAGACCTGAAGTCTCAAGATCAAAGAATGGGGCTAAAGGCAAAAGGAGGAGTTCAAGAGCTGGAAGGAAATGATTATGATCTGGGCATGGGAACTGGGGTTACATATCGGAAGTAGAACGGCTCTGGGTGGTGACCGGGGCGAGGCCAGAGAGAGCTGAGGAGAGAGGAAGTGAAAGCCCTTCAGAGGTCATGGAATTGTGGCCAGGAGCCACAACCTACCCTTCCTCAGGATCCCCTTCACTTCACTGGCTCAGGGCCAACTGACATTTCAGCTCCAACCCCAAGGAACAGCAGGGTCATCCTGAAAGGAGAGCTAAGGCCTCTGGGCCTGTTGTTTCCATGACACCTGTCTCACAGGTGAAGAGTCAAACCCCAAACCCTGATACCACCTGGAGCGGGGTTGGACCACCCAGAGAGTATGGCTTGTGGAAGGGAACAGCAGACTTTACTTTTCCCAATAGCATCTTTGAGGATGTGTAACTCAATTTCGAGGCCTTGGGAGGAACCTCTCTAGAGAGCCTGGGCCTGAGCAGACATTCTTCCCCAACAGTCTCCATGGCCCTGAGGAAGCCTTGAATGAAGTGGGGAAGGCAGCAGGCTGGGGCAGGGGGAACTATCTCAGAAACCTTACTTCTGCTTCCTGGCACATAGGAGGCGCTTGGTGGAGCTTTGTTGAATGAATGCATGCATGAATGGATGAGTGAATGCAAGCATTCATAAACAAATGAATGCATGTTTAGGTGATTCAGAAGGGTGCCCCAGTGCCTGGTAGATGGGTGACTGTCAGTCAATGTTCACTGGGCAATGAATGAGTGTGGGATGAGGACTCAGAGGTTTCCTGAGCCCACAGAGTGGCCGTAAGTCCTAAATAAACAAACATGGCTATTTCCCACAGCTGACCTGGAGGATAACGAAGTGCATACTCTCCCTTTGGGAGCTTCAGCAAATCATCCCTCTGCAGTTTTTCTTTAATTTTAGCTCCTTTGCCATCAACTGGAGGCTCCGTTCCATTTCCCTGACCTAGAGCTAAGAGGGCATCCATCGCTCTCCCAGGTGGGAAGGACAAAAAGAATCACTCTCCCTTTCAGAGTTGGATGGCTTGGATCCTTCTGGCGATCCAGGGCCCAAGCCAGAACATTCCTTTTGTCCCTCTCTCCCTCCTTCCTTCCTTCCATCTTCCGTCTTTCCTGAAATGGATTTTGAGTTCACTGGGGGCTCCGCCACATCTGTTCAGTCTCTGGCATGGCACCACCTCAGTGTTCCACACAGCAGCCACAGCAGTGTTACCATCATGAGCATCTGTGTCTAGCATGGGGTGGGCCCAGTGGACACGAGGACATCTCCCTCACTGTTCTGCCCTCAGGGAACCTCCAACTGGCTCCTAGGACAGGAGGCAACCCTAGAAGGTAGTATCGCTACAGAGTGGCAGCAGTTCAGGAGATCAGAGCTCCCCGGACCCTGGGCATGCCTGTCCAGTGAGGTCGGGGGCTAGGCTCTCAGGGGAACATAGAGGCCCTGAGCTGCTGGTGACAGTCCCAGTGTCATTCCACACAGCGATCCACTCCCCACAGGTCTAGCTGCCTTGCTGGGACCATCCCTCTAGGACTAGGCCTGTGATAGCATCCTCATGCAAGAGTTTTGTGAGTGGGCAATTCTCACCCTCCTTTCTGCTTCCTCTGGGGCCCCAGCTTCAGCCCAGGGCTGATGGTTGGGCGGAAAGTTGGAGTTGGGATGTACCCACAGTTGATGATATTTCATGGCACTCTGGAGAACATCCAGCCAGCAGTTTGGTTCAAGTAATGAGATGTCAGGGTGCTTGCATCCATCTGTTAATTTCAGATGTGTCCTTCCCCAGTGTCTGTTGCTGGAGACTCTGGGAGCACAGGGTAGGGTGTGGCCATGAAGGAACGGGATGGGCAATGGCATCTGCCATCCATCACTGCCCAGCACTTAGTGCCTGGGGACCAGTGGATCTTACAGGGGCCATTTCAGGAGCAAGCAAAAGTCCCAGAGAAGATGCATCACTGTCTGAGCACTTGAGTTCTGGTAGCTCTGGCATCAGCCTGCAGGGGTTTGCTGTCCTTACAGGTAGTTCTTTATGCAGCAGATTGTCCAAGCCCTGGTGTTTTACTGATCGGGTGCCTCATATAATGCCTAGGCCAGGGCTAGGCCCAAGTTTCTGCCTAGGAGACTGTCAATCTGCAGGCGCTTGGCAGCATCCATTCTGGTTTGTAGTCCCCTCAGGACACCTTGCCTTAGAGGTCTGGTGCACTCCAGGACTCACCCCCCCAATATCCCGCAAAGAACATTGGTTAAGAGCATGGGCTTTGGAGTCGGAATGACCAGTTTAAATCCAGACCTTGTGACTTAATAGCTCTGACCCTGGATGCTTTTTAAAAAGCCTCTTGATGGCCGGGCGCGGTGGCGCATGCCTGTAATCCCAGCACTTTGGGAGGCTGAGGTGGGTGGATCACTTGAGGTCAGGAGTTCAAGGCCAGCCTAGCCAACACCACGAAACTCCACCTCTACCAAAACTATGAAAATTAGCTAGGCGTGGTGGTGCGCACCTGTAATCTCAGCTACTTGGGAGGCTGAGACAGGAGAATCGCTTCAACCTGGGAGGCAGAGGTTGCAGTGAGCCAAGATCTGCACTCCAGCCTGGGTGACAGAATAAGACCCTGTGTCAAAAAAAAGAAAAAAAAAAGAAAAAAAGAAAAAAAAAGAAACCCTCTTGAGCCTCAGTTTTCTCTTCTGTACAGTGGGGGAGATAATGGTCTCCTCCTCATAGAGTTGGCGTAAGGCACAAATGAGGCCACGTGGCTGGCTCCCGCCTGGTGTGTGCTGAGCACTCGCCAAGCAGTGGGGTCCTCCTGCCTGTGGTCCTCTCTGATGCTGACCTTCATCTCAGGTGACAGGAACTCCCTCGAAAGGCTTTGATGAGAAGGCCTACCTGTCGGCCAAGCAGCTGAAGGCTGGAGAGGACCCCTACAGACAGCACGCCTTCAACCAGCTGGAGAGTGACAAGCTGAGCCCAGACCGGCCCATCCGGGACACCCGCCATTACAGGTACGGCCTCCATCGTGTCAGTGGAGGAAGAAAGACTGAGAGAAAGCCAACATTGTTTAGTTTGTCTTCTTTTACGTGTATCTAAGAAATGAGGATGATTTCCTCAGACTGTGTCCAGTGATTTAGACATTCAAAAACCCTCACCCTCTGTTGCTGGTTTACCTGGCCTACTGAGGCCCTGCCAAGACCAAGGAAACCGCTCCGCTGGGGCCAAGGAGGCCCCAAGGCACTTCAGTCTGGCGCCCCAGCAAAAGTGACCTGGGAGGGGACCAAAGGAGGTCCGTGGCAGTGGGTGAGCCAGGCGCTCTTGGGGCCTTACTGGTGGTGCCTAAAGTGGAGAGAGTCACAGCCCTGCACATTGCAAACAGTGGGGTGCTGTGGCCCACCCCATTGACCTCCCTTTCCTGCACCACAGCTCCACCTCCTCAGCAACTCCCAGAAATGCTTCCTAGTCTTGTTCTTAGTTCTCTCAGTATGGTGAGGTGGGAGAGGCCTTAGACCAGGACCAAGGAAGCCTCCACTCTCATCCCAGCTCAGTGTGCGTGACCGGCCTTAAGCAAGGCATTAGCCCCTCTCTGGGTCTATGCCCTTGTGTGTTCTGTCTAGAGGGTGAAAGTCACCATCTCCAGTCTTTCCTCTTCCTGCCGTCACCTGCACGAACAGTCTGAGTTCCTGATGCTGAAGCACCACCCCCCGCTCCCCATGACCTGGCCTTACCCACCTTTCCCCCAGCACTTGATGGTCCTGCAGTCCCAGATTCCTCCCTCCTTCCTTCCTTGCTTTCACACATGCTGTTTCCTCTGCCTAAACGCACCTCCTCCGCCCCACCTACCCTTTGAGCTACTTGGCTCACTTCGAGGACACTTGGCTCACTGTCCTCTCCTCCATGGAAGGCTCCTTCCCAACCCGGGCTAGGTTGGGCCCCTCTTCTGTGCTCTGTGCAGACATCTCACAGAATGGCCAGGGCGCTGTTGGAGCTGACTCACGGCTGTGCCTGCAGCTGTGTGCTCAAAGCTAGGCTGGGCCTCCGTCTGGTCCTGGCTTGAGGGTAGCAACAATGACTTGGATCAAGGTTGCTTTTACTTCTGAAGCAGCTACTCCACAGCACAAAGGGTATAGGTGAGGTGAGGGTGCGAGAGGGCCTGGTTCTAGCACCTTCCTTGTCACTCACAGATGCATGCCTGAAGTCCAGGGTGCTTGGTGGCCTGTGCAAGGTGAGATGAACACAGGGCTGGGGGAGCCCCAGACCTTGGCCTTGCTGTCCTGTAACGCCAGCACTGTCAGCCTCCAGAAACCACTCATGCAGCCAAGTAAGGCAGTACTCCTGCTTCGCGGCAAGGACACCACCAGGCCTGCTGGCTGTTTCTGGGCCTCAGAAGTTCTTTCTCACCCAGTCCTGGGCAGCATCCCCTCCTGTCTGCCTGTGCTGCAGAAGAGGTTACATCCACATAGCTCCACTTAGAGACCTTTCATGGGCAGCCCTAGCCATGGCTGACCTAGTCCCAGGGTCTAGAGGATCTGTTGGCCCCAATCTGTGAATTGAGGGCTTGCCCTGGATAATCTCTGTTCACCCCCCAGCTTACCTGACTCTGAACCGCCTCAGGTGCTCACTGAGAAACTTAAAGGGGGAATTGCCCTGGGGGCTATGTACATTTTTAAATGAGACGCTTTAAATCCAGGGTAGTGGTGGGTTGATGAGGTGCCACATGCTGCTGCTGGGCCCTGTCAGAAAGCTGAGGTGGGCCAGGCACGGTGGCTCACACCTGTAATCCCAGCACTTTGGGAGGCTGAGGTGGGTGGATCATTTGAGGTCAGGAGTTCAAGACCAGCCTGCCTATCATGGTGAAACCCTGTCTCTACTAAAATACAAAAATTAGCTGGGTGTGGTGGTGGGCACCTGTAATCTCAGCTACTCGGGAGGCTAAGGCAGGAGAATCTCTTGAACCTGGGAGGCAGAGGTTGCAGTGAGCCAAGATCGCAGTACCGTACTCCAGCCTGGGTGCCAGAGTAAGGCTCCGTCTCAAAAAAGAAAAAAGAAAGCTGAGGTGGCTCACGGGGTGTGTGTGTGTGTGTGTGTGTGTGTGTGTGTGTGTGTGTGTGTGTGTGTGTGTGTGCGCGCGCACGCGCGCACGCATGCACACGTGTAGGGAAGCAAAGGACGTGCTGGCTTTAGTGGGCAGGCCTCCTGCCATGGTGGGGCCAGTTTGCTGGTAGAAGCTGCTCTTCCTTGCAGCCCTGCAGGCTGTAGTGTCCGCTGGACTCCAAATTGTCAGGTTCATTTCTGGTCCAGCCTCAATCTAGGGAGCCCGCTCCAGGGGAGCAAAGGGACATAAACCACATAAGACAGGCCGAGGAGGATCACAGAGAAAACCCCATCAGCTCCAAACTCAAAACTCAGGGCTGGGACAAACCCCTTTAGAGGCTCCTGGCTCCTGGGAGCCAGATAAACCCCCATGCTAAGTAACATCAATCCCAGAGGCATGCATGCCGAAAGGGCTGGAGGGAGCCGGTGGGGAGGTCAAGTTCACCCTTCAGATGGGGTGTGGGTGGGTTTGCCCCCTTCAGGGAGACGTCACTGTCCCGATTCCCTCCTTTCTGGGCACCGGATGGTTGGGGGATCAGGACAGAGGACTGGGGCCCTGGAGGTCAGCACTGGGAGGGTGCACACTTAGGAGGTATTTGCTGCTCCCAGCACACCCCAGCTCAGCCGGCCAAGCTCACTCCCTCCCCCACAATTCATAGGCCCTTGAACAGCATGGTTTCTCAAGGGGTAGAAGGCAAATTTCCCTCCGCCACCACTACCCTACACCCCCTCTCAAGGAGAATTATTGCACAGCCTCTCAAGATTTCCCCCAGGGGGGTCCCAGGCTAGTGGGACTCCTGCCTGTCTGACCTGGTCTGCTCTGCAGGGCAGGAAACAGGCCTGGGAATTCGGGCTGTAAGCTGCTGTCAGTAGAATGAATGCCACAATGAAAAAACGGGCACTGGTGGAATAGTCAGAGAGCAATTGTAATAAAGAAGATTGCTATGAAAACCAGCAACGGAGGCCACCTTCCAGCACCCCAGGAGCTCAAATAAATGCATACGCAGAAACAACAGGGATGAAGTCTGGCAGGAATGAATTGTTTTCACTCCCTTTCTAGAGGAGAGGGAGCCAGTAGGCCAGAAAATGTGGTGTCTATGGATGGCTGGGGAGGGAGGAAGTGACGGGATAGGCCTTTGGTGTCTTAACAGAGGCTTGTTTCCTCCAGGGGACCCAGTACCCTGGGAGGAGTGAGACTGCTCCCCAGCTTGTTGTCTGCAGCAGGGCTGTCAGTGTTGGGCAGTGACAGGGAGGAATTCCCTGGCAGCCAGGGTAGGGGTGATTCCTCTGCAGATTCTACCAAATGTCCTGAGCTGGGAAGAGAGAAGGAAGAAACTCTAGGGTATCAGGACAAACAGAGGTAGTTTTCCCTCTCGCACATACCCCCCACCATACGACAGAGTGTGGTCAGGGCTGTATCCTGGGGCCTGGTGCAGTATCTGTATATACTAGGGAGCCCCCTCTGGGGGCTCTGAGATCTCTGGTAAAGAGCCCCCAGGCCTTGGAAGGTCTCCCAACCTGCTGCTTCCCTCCCAGGACCCCAGGATGGGTGGCATCGGGGTTCTGGGCCAGTGTGGGATGCAGCATGGGGGTGGAGGCGCGGGGCCTCTGGCCTGGCTGTTGGTGTGCCTTCTCTGCCTGGCAGAAGTATTCTCAGGCACAAGACTGGACAAAGAAAAACATTGACCTGCCCTGAGGATGCCCTCATGGCTGGCTCTGACCTCTGTGCTCCCTTCTCAGCTGCCCATCTGTGTCCTACTCCTCGGACCTGCCAGCCACCAGCGTCATCATCACCTTCCACAATGAGGCCCGTTCCACCCTGCTGCGCACAGTGAAGAGGTAAGTCCAGCCATGGGACTCTCATCTCAGTGGTGCTGGCAGGGGAGGACATTGGGATTGGGCGCTGTGGCCAGACAGCTTGAAGCCCAGCAGGTGCTGGAGGCTGAGTCCTGTACTTCTGAGAGGCTGAGACTGGTGAATCAGGGCCAGGAAGACCCCAGAAGTCAAACTGTTAGAGGAATGCGACAGTCAAACACCAGGTCAGATGTCCAGGACAAGGGCAGAAATGCAGGTGTCAGGAGCTGAGGGAGGCCGGGCTAGACAGGAGGCCTCAGGAGGGTGATGGAAGCCCAGCAGTGTCTGTCAGTGTCAGAGAGAGGTGGATTGGAGGTGGATTCTTCCTGCTAAGCCTGGGCTTGTGGTCAAGTTGAACTCCCATCTCCCCATTTCCTCAATGAACTTAGACAAGAATAGGATTCAGGTAGGAGCGCCCAGCATGCTGGCCCTGGAGCTGGGCGGCTGGGGAGTCCCACGGCCCCGGGAGTGGTAAAAATGGGAGGTGGTTCCTAAATCCAGGCTCTTTCTCTGTTTCCACTGCTACTGTAGTGTCCTGAACCGAACTCCTGCCAACTTGATCCAGGAGATCATTTTAGTGGATGACTTCAGCTCAGATCGTGAGTAGTCACCTTCCTTTTTGCAGCCCTCCATTCCGCCCTCGTCCCTGTTTCCCCAGAACACCAAGGCAAGCACCCTGAGGTTGTCCTGACCATCGCAGACACCTTTCTGCCCCCAGCAGGGATCCTGTCTTTTCTAGGACCCCTCCCTGGTCCTGTTCCCTGGTGTCAAAGGAGGGGAAAGAAGGGTGGGTGTTGCTTTGGATGGGACTCTAGTGAGATGATATTGTTTTTAAAAAGTAAAGAAAATCAACAGCATCCTTCATTATTACAACTGCCAAATGCAGATGATAGCTGGGCTGGTAGCCACCCCCAAGCGTGCTTTCTAGTGCTCCCTGAGGTGGAGTGGAGTACTGCCATAGGTACAGGCACTCCTCAGTCTGGCCTGAGAGTGGGGCAGGGCAACCCTTCGGCCAGTAGTGATGACCATACCTCTTCCCAATCCCCATCCCCAACCCTTTCCTGGGCTTAGTATGGGGCAATTTTCATGGCAGCCAAACCACTAGTGGCCTGATGCCCATGTCTAAATGAGCTTGCCTTCCTCTTTGCATCCTCAGCGGAAGACTGTCTACTCCTGACCAGGATCCCCAAGGTCAAGTGCCTGCGCAATGATCGGCGGGAAGGTGAGTCCTTGCACCCTGGGTCCCACCAAGGGCCCATCTTGGTGTCATCCTGTGCACTTCCCCACTCTCTCTTGGTGCCGTGGCACACCAAGCCAACATGGTCCTGCTGCATTCCTGATGGCTGAGACCAGGTTCTGCAGAAGACTCTCCTCCTTCCCAGATCAGCCCCATCAAGGCACAACTGTAGGCAAGTTGCTCCATCTCTGACTGCCTTAGCTGTCTCTCCTGAGAAATGGGATAAGACAGTCCCTTTCTGCCTTGCAAGGTGATTGTAAGGATTGCATGAGACAGGCTGTGTGGAAAGGCTTTGAGAAAAATCCAGAAGCATAAAGCAGATGTGATCTCACTTCCAATCCAGATGTGTTTTGGAGTAGCTACTACAGCGTGGCATTGTGCATGGCACTCTAGGGGACACGAAGGAAGTACAAAGCATAGTCCCTGCCCTCGGAGAGCTACTACATAGCCAAGGGGTCAGAATCCACTGCAGCCACAGGCTGGCTGTGGTTGTGTATGAATAGCATGGATATCAGAGGAGAGCTGGAGTGAGCAGGGAAGGCTTCCATGGAGGAATGGGCCTCAATGGGGTGTGGGGGCATCATGAGACAGGTAAAGGGGAGCAAGGGAGGGCATGCCAGCTTGTGCACTCTGCAAGCAAAGGCATCAGTCAGGGGTATGGGCATGCGCAATACTAACAGCCCCTTTCCTGAGGTCTCCTCCCCTGCGGGCATCCGGTTTGCTACTTTCAGTCCTTGTACTCAGCCCACTGTGCCTGTTGTACAGACAAGGGAACTGGGGTTTAAGGAGCTTCAGCGATTTGCCCAGGGTGATGAATAGAGCAGCCATGGCTCCAACCTGTGGGGCCCAACCCAAAGGCCAGCCGCCTACTCATACTCATACTCCCTTCCTGCGAGACCCCAGGCCTGGTCAGCATGGGGAATAGATGGAGTGAATTGAGATGATAGAAGACCTTGGAAGCCAGAAGAAAGCATTGACTTCATAAGGCAGAGGTAGCAGGGAGCCACTGAGGTTTTAGAGTAAGAGAGGGATGTGATTGATATGTTTAAAATAATCCCAGCACTTTGGGAGGCTGAGGCGGGCAGACCACTTGAGGTCAGGAGTTCAAGACTAGCCTGGCCAATGTGCTAAAACCCCGTCTCTACTAAAAATACGAAAATATCTGGGTGTGGTGGCACATGCCTGTAGCCCCAACTACTCAGGAGGCTGAGGCAGGAGAATCACTTGAACGCTTGAACCCAGGAGGCAGAGGTTGCAGTGAGCCAAGATTGCGCCACTGCACTCCAGCCTGGGTGACAGAGCGACACTCAGTTTCGAAAAAAAGAAAGAAAGAAAGAAAGACCAGTCAGGCCAAGGGGCCACAAGAATACCAGTGAGGGAGACCTTCAAACCAGAATGGAAGTGGCCGAAGTTAAATCCTTCCCAAGCCACTGGGCTGTAGGTACCGTCAGGTCTGGGAATATGCTGTCCCTGGATTTGACAACAGTAAATGTAAATTTATGACTCGATGCTTTGTAGACACTTTTGGAGTGGAGATTGATGGGCTTTTGGCTGGCTGGCGGGCTGGTAGGCAGCTAGAGGCAGAGTCTGGGGCAGAGGCATGGCTAGGGAAATGTCTCCAAGGAGCTGCTTATACTCAGAGCTCTAAGAGTGAGGCCCTTCCCTCCCACAGCTCACAGGGCACACATGGCCACTCTGGCAGGGGCAGGAGAAGCTGGGCCTCCTCCCTCCTGACCAGGCAGGTCTCCGCCCAGAGCAGAGTGCTGCCCAAAATGAGGCTGGTGAGGCTATCGGGGGACAGGCACAGAAGAACAGAACCTGACATGTGTGGGTCTCCCAGGCACCAAGCTCTGTCCCTGTCGTCTTGTTTGATCCTGACAGTCAGGGATTATTATCTCTCTGAATCTTATAGATAAGAAAACTGAGGCTCAGAGCGGTTAAATAACATGCTGAAGGTAAGGAAAGGGGCTGCCATACAAACTTAAGCCTATCTTAGTCTCGAAGATTATCTCCATGCTACACATAGGGGTATGGATGGAGGGGACGACCCAGAGGTTCCCATGGGAAAAAGTTTTGTTTTCTGGTTCTCCTTTGGGATCAAACTACTTTATTGCACTTTCCACGCTCTAAACTGTGACTGTTCATCAGTGTGTCCCTAGAGCCCAGACAGTGACTGGCACATAGAGGGCACTCGGGGTGTGACCCTGGAGTGATGGTGGTTGATGGGTGGATAAGAAGAAGCAAGGGAGGGAGGCAGGAAACAAGCAGAAGTATAAAGTCAAATCTAATCACAATAACTCAGGAAGCCTCAGCCCCTGAAGGAGAGGAGAGCCTTGGGACTTTGGGGGACAGGTGGGAAGCCAGTTGGCCCAGTCCCAGCGCCAAGCCCTATCTACTCCTCTTGTAGGGCTGATCCGGTCCCGAGTGCGTGGGGCGGACGTGGCTGCAGCTACCGTTCTCACCTTTCTGGATAGCCACTGCGAAGTGAACACCGAGTGGCTGCCGCCCATGCTGCAGCGGGTGAAGGAGGTGAGCCACTGTCTCTGGGGAGCTGGGCGTCCTTGGGGACTCAGCCACTACGTTCCTGGCACCGAGGCCTATGGGACAGTATTTGAAGCTGGGCAGGCATCGTAGGAAGCCCAAATAGTCTACTTCCCCCTGAGTGACTTCACCTTATTGAGTTTTCTCATCTGAAAATGGGGATAATTGTCATAATTATCCCACTGGGTTATTGTGAGAATGAAATTGGATGAAAGCCTGGGTGAGCTACAAAGCTCCTGCTACAAATGGGTGTTGTTTTTCTCCTTGGAGAGTTAGGATCCTGTGCTGGGAGAGCTTTTGTTCGGGCTGGGAAGCCCTTGCAAGAGGGAGCAGAGGATGTTGTTCTCAAAGAGAGGAGAGGGTAGGAGGGCCCCTGCCACGTGCCTACTGTTCTCCAGAACAGGGAGGATTTGGACAGATGGCAGAAAAGGATGAGGTGATAACAACCCGACCATAAAAAGACAAATAACCCAATTTAAAAATTGGCAAAGGGGCCTGGAGCGGTGGCTCACCCCTGTAATCCCAGCACTTTGGGAGGCCGGGGAGGGCAGATCACCTGAGATCGGGAGTTCAAGACCAGCCTGGCCAACATGGTGAAACCCCATCTCTACAAAAGTACAAAAAGTAGCTGGGCATGACGGCGGGTGCCTGTGCTCCCAGCTACTTGGGAGGCAGAGGCGGGAGAATCACCTGGTCCCGGGAGGCAGAGGTTGCAGTGAGCCAAGATCACACCACTGCACTGCAGCCTGGGCAACTGAGCGAGACTCCATCTCAAGAAAAAAAAATTGGCAAAGGATTTGAGTAGACATTTTTTCAAGGAAGATATAGAAATGGCCAATAAGCCTAGGAAAAGATGCTCAGCATCATTAGTCATTAGGGAAGTGCAACTCAAAACCATAATGAGATGCCACTTCACACCTACCAGGATGGCTAGAATCCAAAAGATGGACAATAACAAGTGCTGGCAAGGACATGGAGAAATAGGAGCTGTATCAGGCCATTCTTGCATTGCTATAAGGAAATACCTGAGACTGGATAACTTACAAATAAAAGGTTTAATCGGCTCACGTTGTACAAGCATGGCACTGGCATCTGCTTGGCTTCTGAGGAGGCCTCAGGGAGCTTTATTCATGGCAGAAAGTGAAGGGGGAGTAGGTACCTCACATGGCGAGAGTGGGGGCAAGAGAGAGTTGGGTGGAGGTACTACATGCTTCTAAACTAACCAGATCTCACGAGAAGTCACTTACTGTCAGGAAGACAACACCAAGCCATGAACGATCCACCCCCATGACCCAAACACCCCTAACTAGGCCCCATCTCCAACCTTGGGGATTACATTTCAACATGAGATTTGGGGGGATAAATACCCAAACCATATCAGGAGCCTTCATATATTGCTGGCAGGAATGTAAAGTAGGGCAGCCACTTTGGAAGGCAGTCTGGCAGTTCTGCGAAAGTTTGAACATAAGTTAGTTAGCATATGACCCAGCAGTGGAGCTGCTAGGTGTAGACCCGAGAGAAATGAAAACATATGTTCACACAATAACTTCAGAGCAGCACTATTCAGAATAACCAAAAGGTAGAAAAAATCCAAATGCCTATCAACTGACGAATGGGTAAATAAAATGTGGTGTATCCATACAACAGAATTATCCAGACATTAAAAAAATGAAGAACTGATACATGCTACAACATGGATGAACTTTGAAAACCTACGTGAAGTGAAAGCCAGTCACGAAAAGCCATACATTATATGATTCCTTTCATAGGAAATGTCCAGAATAAGCAAATCTATAGAAACAGAAAGTAGATTGGGTTTCTTGTCGGGGTGGTGAAATGTTCTGGAACAAGATAGTGGTGATGGTTGTACAATCTTGTGAATATACTAAAAACCATCAATTGTGTACTTTAAACCTGTGATTTTATATCTCAGCACAAAAAAAAGTCTATAAAAAGGATGAGGTGAGGCCCTCCACAGAGCACTGAAAAACCATCAAAGGTCTCTGTTGATCAGCCCCATCCCGGGCTTCCGTTATCCTGATCTAGGGTGGGAACTGAGGGGCAGAGCTGGATTCCAAGTTCCAGACAAGAGGATTTTGGGGGTGAAAGCAGAGTGGGGAAGGAGAAGAAAGAAGAGGCTCTGTTCCGTGTCCCCCATGGAGGGCGAAAGATGAGAAGGCTCATGAAGGGTGATGAAGTTTTACATGTGGTATATGACATAATCTACCACCCCAAAAAAGAGGCCAGCAAAATCAACATTATTCATCAAGGTTTTGGATTTGGATTTGTGTTCTGGGAGGTGATGCGGGGAGTGGCGAGTCTGACCTTGTAACAGTGGATGTGGTATGAGAGGGATAGCACCCAGATTACATGGGGACCTCGGAGCCCCTGCCCTCCAGCTGCTAGTAGTCCCATTGGGAAGACTCAAACAACTATAATACAAAGGTAAATGATATTAATAAAGCAACAGTTCAGACCAGAAATAGAAGAGCCACTTCAGGCAGCACAGTGAGTCACTGTCCCAGGAATCATCTAGGCTGTCATTGTAAGAGTAGCTTAAAAGAGGAAAAAATCCTTCAGCCTGCAGCAGTCAAGGAAGGCTTCATGGAGTAGGTGAGATTCTAGCAGGGCTCAAAATAATGTGTGAGGAAGAGGCTTGGAGAGTACATGGGAGCCAAATAGGAACATCCAGGAGCTTGGGTGTGGTGATGCAGGACAGCTGCCAGGAGCCTGCCAGGGTTGAGGGGTGGCCCTGGGCATACCCTGCAGGAAGTGCTGAGTGCCCCATGTCTCAGAGAGGCCTTCTCCCCAGAGCAGGCAGCTAGGCCTTTTTCTGCAGAGAAGTCCCAGGCCTCACACCATCTCACATCTCTCTCCTAGGACCACACCCGCGTGGTGAGTCCCATCATTGATGTCATCAGTCTGGATAATTTTGCCTACCTTGCAGCATCTGCTGACCTTCGTGGAGGTGAGTTCTGCTCCCGGGGGTGGGGCTGTAGACATGAAAGGAGGTAGGTGAGGCTAGGCAGGCAAAAACCCTTGCTTGCTGCTCTTTCCAGCTGTGCCAGAGACCCTCATGAACACCCCTTCCACCACCTCCAAAGAGAAAATGAAGAGGGATTGGGTGCAGCCCTGGGACTGGGGACAAAGGAGCAGAGCTGGCAGTTGCAGGCTTCTGATACAATCAGTAGCAGAGCCAGACTAGTCTCTCATCTTTCCCTCCCTCCAAATATTGACACTTTCTTCCCAAATGCTGCCAGCCTAGGGATCATGGCCACAAGTCCCGGCAGAAGGCCATGATGTGACAGCTGTCTTGAGGATGGGGAGTAGGGAGCCCTCAGCCTCACATGACTTCCTAACACATGCGCCCCAGAGATGGTCAAGACCAGTGTTGTGTATGGCAACTATCAGCCACATTTGGCTATTGAGCTCTTGAAATATGACTAGTCTTGAAAAGTGACTAGTTGGAATTAAGAGTGCTATAGGCATAGAAGACCCACAGGTTACCCAGACTTAGTGTGAAAGAATGTAAGATACCTCATTAGTAATTTTTTGTATTGATTACATGTTGAAATGACAATATTTTTGATATATTACATTAAAAATATTTCGTCCAAATTAATTTCATATATTCTTTTTCTGATGTGATTACTAGAACATTTTGAATTACGTATTTGGCTTACATTTGTGCCTTGCATTATATTTCTTTTGGACTGTGACGGGCTGTTCAGTACAGTAGATAATAGTCACCTTTGGTTACTTAAACTTGCATTAATTCAAATTAAATAAAACTTAAAAGGCAGTTCCTTAACTGTACTAGCCACATTTCAAGGCTCAGTAGCCACATGAAGTTAGTGGCTACCATATTTGACAATGCAGATACAGAACATTTCATCATTGCAGAGAGTTCTATGGAACTGTGCTGCTCTAGAGAATCTGTTGCTGGGAGCTGGCGGGCACAGTGGATTTCCTGTTTGGGATCTGGACTCCCAGTATATGGACCCAGCCATTAGTTAGATTGTGAGTCTGAGTGGGATTCTGAAGGGAGCCAGGCATTTCCCCTTTGGGAAATCACCTCAGGGCTTTGGCACTGGCAGCTGCCCCTGCCTTGAATTCCCTTTCTCCAGGTATCTTCATGGATCTATCCTTCATTCAGGTCTCTACTCCAAAGTCACCAGAGAGCCTTTCCTGACTATTCTAACTAAAATATTAATAGTATGGGCACTCCTTCTTTGTTTTCTTCTTTTTTTTTTTTTTTTTAGTACTTTCATCCCCAGCTGACATAGTCTCCACTGATTTATTTATCTTTGTAGCTTCTGTCTTACCCAGTAGATGGTACACTTCCTGAGAGGAGGAGCTTGGCTCATTCCGAATGAAGGAGGGACTGCACGAAGAGCCCAGGGCTCTGATCAGGGGAGACTCCGAGGGGTGGTGGAGTGAAGGGTCTCAGCAGCCCGCAGCTCTGCCCTGAGCTCTGTCCTCACCTTGCTGTGTCCCTTAGGGTTCGACTGGAGCCTGCATTTCAAGTGGGAGCAGATCCCTCTTGAGCAGAAGATGACCCGGACAGACCCCACCAGGCCCATAAGGTCAGAGCTGCGGTGGGCTCTGGGGGACCCCTTCCTTCCCTGGGTCAGGGGCCTGGGAGGCTCTTGGGAGGCTGTATCGGTCGCTTGGGCTCCTGAGGCGCACTAAGTGCTGACTCTGTTCTGGGCCTTCGGACCCTGTATGCAGGGACAGCGAGGACAGAGGCCACGGGAACAGATGTGGGGGGCCAGGGAGCTGGCCAGACATCCTGCCCCAGTGACTCTGCAGGGAGGGATCTAGAGGCAGACGGTCTTGGGTCCTGGGGCCATCTAAAGGGCCTCCTTGCTTCTCCAGCTCACGTGTTGCGTCTTCCCTCTCCTTGCTCCCAGGACGCCTGTCATAGCTGGAGGAATCTTCGTGATCGACAAGTCCTGGTTTAACCACTTGGGAAAGTATGATGCCCAGATGGACATCTGGGGGGGAGAGAATTTTGGTGAGTTGGGAAATAGTGACAGTGAAAATAACAGTAGCAGTAATAACCACAGTTAACCCTGACAGAGCACTTTCTATGCGTGAGGACCTGCTCTAAGGACTTTACACACATGAGGTCATTTAATTCTCTCAAGGACCCTCTGAGGTAAGTACCATGATCTCCATTTTACTGATTTTAAAACCCAAGGCACAGAGAAGTTAAGCAATTTGTCCAGAGCCACACAGCTAGTAAACAAAGAGGTTCTATTTAGGGGGAGCCCGTGGTCACATGGCTGGACATGTGTGTGGAAGAACACACAACTGTATCACAGACCACAGCTTACACACGTGGCTGCTTCCCTACCAGCAAGGCTGGGAGGTGTGTGGTAGAGGGTGGTGGTGAAATGCTAAGTGATGGAGTCAGATGGCCTGGGTGCAAACCCTGACCCTACCACCTGCATGCTGTTTGGCCCTGGGCAAGTTAAAGCCCTTTAAAGTCTGAGTTTCCTCAAGAGGTTGTTATGAGTACTAAATGAGGTGATGAGTTAAAGGCAGGTCACAGTGCTGGTGGCCACTGTCATTAGGCAGTCTCTAGACTCAGAAGCACAGGAAGCTGCCCCTCCCTGCCCTGAAGCAGCAGCGAAGGAGACAGAGGTGGGGGCAAAGTGTTCCAGTAGGGAGCTGGAGGGGGCTGGACCCTCACACACTTGCTTCTCAGCTCACGGTGTTGGGGCCACAGAGTACCAGGGAAGGGTTACCAAGTGGGATCGGAGCCCAAACTCTGGACTCCAGTATGTGTGGGCTGGCAAGCCAGTCAACTCTTTGAACCTCAGTTTCTTCATTTGCAAAACAGGGTTGCAAGTGAGATGGAGGTTAGATAAAGGGTGAGCATCAGTTAGGGTCCTGGCAGAATACGGAAGGTGCAACCGACTTGAGTGTTTATTAAAGGGCTTATTTACATGGTGCGGGCAGGATAGAGGGAACCATAGGGACAGCACAGTACTGGGCAGGGCTGTGACTTCTGGGAGCTGTAACCACCCCAAGGTCTGAAAGACAGGGTGAGGGAGCACCCCACGATGGAGCTGTGGTCTTGGGGCACATGCAGCCAGCCCATGGCACCAGGTGGAGAGTGTCAGGGCTAAACACTCACCCTCACTCTACCCCCACCCCGTCATCTCCTGCTGGTGCCTCCCTGTCTGCCTGAGGAAGGGAACCCAGCAGTGCAGCCCCCAGGGGCTGTCTCACAAACAGCGACGTGGAGACGGGGGCGGTGGGGAGCACCATTCTGGGGGTCTCCAGGAGCAGGGGCAGGTCCTTGGTGGCCTGTTCTTGCCCTCTTGGTGGGCCCAGTCCTTCACAGAGCCCTCTCCCACTGCTTCCTTCTTCTTCCTGACCAGGTGTTCTGAGCAATAACTAGCACTGGTGGTATCTCACCCATTTGACAGGTAGAAAGACTGAGGTGGATGCTGCCTTCTAGATTTCAGTCCGGAAACTCCACATCTAATGGGCGTATGCAGCTCCTTTACCAGAGCCACTTATGTGTTGTGGGACGTTGGCAAAGGCACAGTCTATGTCTCTGAGACGTTAGGAGCAGGGATTCTTTAACTCTTTCTCCCTGATGAGGAAAATAGCAGTGAGGGGGCTTGCAACAGGCCTGATCCCGACTCAAAACCAGCTGGAGTGGGAATGGGCATGGGACTCCCCCAGCTTTGTAACTTGCTTTTGGAGGCTGTTTCCAGGCAGGGTTCAGAGAAGTAAATTCTGGGAACTGGGGTGCAGTGACCCCTCCATTCTGACCCCTTTCATGTGTTTTGGGTCCAAGTGACCCGCTTTGTGTCTTCAATCTCGGCCTGAAGGGCTTTGGCAAAGCCAGTTTCCTGTGAAGACTTGGAAAGCTGGGAAACCCACAGTCTCCTTGCTCTGCCTCCAAAGGCCATTTTTTCTTTTTCTTTTTTTTCTGAGGCTAGAGACAGAGAAACAAGTGAATGATCAAACAGCTCATTTCAAACTCTGCCTGAGGCAAGGGCTCCGTGGTTGGAGAACTTGAAAGGTGAACCACAGAGTGGTTCTGGCAAGGGTTTTGTTTCTTAGAAGAAATTCAAAGAAATGTCTGGGCTAGCTGCAGTGCTCAGACGTTCAGCCGCTGGGACCAGTTTTGAGCTATGAGACTCCTGTCGCTGGTGGGTTTGAGCCTTTCCTTTTATTCCTTTATTGAAGGAAGGGAGATTTCCAAACCAAGACGTGTTCTTTTGTCCCCAAAGAATTCCAAACTCGGGAGCCCAGAGGCCACCTTGAGTGGGGCTGGCAGATGTGCAAGGTTAGGATCCCCAACAAAGATGTGTTGGGGATCCTTTTAAAACATAGATTATGTTGCTTCTGTGCTCAAAACCTTGCAAGAGTTCTCATGTCATTCTGAGGAAAACCCAAACTCCTTACTGGCTACAGGGTATCTGCCTTTCCCTGCAGCCCCGCAGCCACACCCCTGCCCTCACTTCCCACTTCTCCCACCCTGCCTCACTCCACGTGGGCTGCACGGCCTCCTTTTTTTTCAGACAGAGTCTTGCTCTTATTGCCCAGGCTGGAAGGCAGTGGCACAATCTTACTCATTGCACTCTCTGCCTCCAGGGTTCAAGCGATTCTCCTGCCTCAGCCTTCTGAGTAGCTGGGATTACAGGCACACACCACCAGGCCCGGCTAATTTTTGTATTTTTAGTAGAGACGGGGTTTCACCACGTTGGCCAGGATGGTCTCGAACTCCTGACCTCTCAGGTGATCCACCCGCCTCAGCCTCCCAAAGGGCTGGGGTTGTAGGCGTGAGCCACCGCCCCCAGCCAGCATGGCCTCTTTGAACTTGCCAGCTGTGCTGTTGCCTCTAGGGACCTGCCCTTGCCGGCTCCTCTGCCCGGAATGCTCTTCTCCTGCTAGCCACAGGACTTGCTCCCTCATCTGTTTCAGGTCTTGGCTCAAATGTCCCTTTTATAGTGACAACTCCCCTCATCAGCCTGGTTTAAAACATAGTCTTAGTCCTCCCCCACCACCATCCACTGGCCCTCTTCAGCTCCCAGCCTGATTCATTTTTCTCCATGGCCCTAACTACCATCTGATATGCTGTATTTATTTTATTTTTTATTTTTATTTTTTTCATTTTATTTATTTATTTATTTTTAGAGACAGAGTCTCCCTCTGTCACCCAGGATGGAGTGCAGTGGCACGATCTTGGCTCACTGAAACCTCTGCCTCCCGGGTTCAAACAATTCTGCCTCAGCCTTCCAAATAGCTGGGACTACAGGTGCATGCCGCCACACCCGGATAATTTCTTTTGCATTTTAGTAGAGACGGGGTTTCACCATGTGGCCCAGGCTGGTCTCGAACTCCTGAGCTCAGGCAATCTGCCGCCCTCAGCCTCCCAAAGTCCTAAGATCACAGGCGTGAACCACCGCACCTGGCTGACATGCTACATTTTTATGCATTTTCTTGTTTACTTGCATTTTTTTGCCCCTTATTTTATGGAGTTCCCGTCTTCTCACTTCCCTGCTAGAGTACAAGGGAATCTAGAGCAGTGTCTGACATATAATGAAAATTTGCTGAGTGAACTAAAGAATCTGACAGTGTGGCTTGCTGGACACAATGTGAACTTGATGCTGCACTTCTGCAACTGAATATTTGAGTGACCTTGGAGAGGTTATTTAACAACTTTGAGCTTCAACGTCCTCGTTAAAAAAAATAAGGCTAAAAATCCTGACTTCACATGGTTGCAGTGAGAATTAGATATTGGATAGAAAGAGCATGGCATGTAGTAAGTACTCAGTAAATGGATGGTTACTGCTATTGTTATGGCCATTGTTGATAATAATAACAATAGTTAATAATATTATAGACATTATGGGCTGAGTGGGATGAAGTGACTTAACTAGCATAACAAAGTTGGGATGGCAGAAATGGAACCAGAATGCAGATCTTCGGCCCCCCAGGACTGTGCCCAGTTCTACGCCTTAGTTGCTGAGGCCAAACACAGAGCTCTGACCAGGAGAAGGGACGGATGCCTGGCAGTTTATAGGCAGACCTAGGGAAGCCCATTGATATAGCCATCCTTACATGTGGGTCCAGGTATGCCAAGTGTCCGGTCCTGGCCCTGAACCACATCTGGACGTCACTTGGTGCACACAGGCTGGCCAGAGGTGGGCTTTAGTCCTGCTTCCTCCACTCTGCCCTTTGCTAGTTACTGGGAGGGTCCTGACCAGCTATGCCACGTGAGAGCCCCCAGGCCTGGTTGGAGATCATGAGTGTCCTTAGAGCCAGCTGAGGAGTGGGAAGAGACTATAGGGTTAATATGAAGGAAAGTACGAAATCAAAAGAGATTATGTGAGATTCAGCCAGCTGTCAAGGTGGGTCCTTACCATAAATGGCAACTGGTGAGCGGAGATCAGAGTGGTAACTTTTGAGGTCCCCTTCTGGGCAGCAGGATGGCCACTGCTCTCCCGACACCACTGGGGACCACAGTCATCCACAAAAGCTGGTTCAGCTCCACCACCGCTGTCAAAAGGAGGCATGGCTCAAGAGGGCCAGTGAGAGCCTGTACAAGGAGACCAACTGGGTCAAGAGGGAGGTTGGGGCCAGCCCAAGAGGTGCCAGCTGGAGCAGCCTGTGGTTTGGTTGGTGGCTGGTTTTCCGACCTCTCAGGTGCACAGAGCTGGCTGACGAGCAGATGTGTTTTTCCTTAGCTCATGTCTGTCTGGGGCTTTCTAGACAGAGCCTGGAAATGATGCCACTGTTTGGTTGTTTTCCTTCTACTTATGTTCTTGGTGTTCCTTCAAGCTTTTTCCACTGCTCTTCCTGGAATGGGCCACGGGGATCATGTGTATATGTGTGTGTGTGCATGTGCACGTACACACGTAGAGTGGGCAGTCAGGAACCTGTGCAAGGAGTGGGAGCACTCCATTTGAGCAGGCCCAGGAGCCCCGACCCCAACATGTACCTCCAGTGAGACACCAAAGGGAAGGGAAGCCAGCCCCTTCCCACCCTCACTTGCCAAGGAACCCCTTCCTCCTCCTGACGGCTACTATTTCCTGCAGAGCTCTCCTTCAGGGTGTGGATGTGTGGTGGCAGTCTGGAGATCGTCCCCTGCAGCCGGGTGGGCCATGTCTTCAGGAAACGGCACCCCTACAACTTCCCTGAGGGTAATGCCCTCACCTACATCAGGTAGGTCACCGAGAAAGGAGCACGGGACTCAGAGGAGGACACCAAGGCCCAAGCCCCCAGCCTTGCCAGTTATCACTATGTGACTGTGGGCAGCCACCTCACTTCTTGGGCCTCAGTTTCCCCATTTGCCCCCTCTGGTAACATCCTGGGATTGCAGGTACCTTCAGGGGTGGAGGGAGTTGCCACCAGGTCTCTCTTGCCTTGAGACTCATATGGACTTCCTTTGTCCATATGAGTCTCGGAAAATTGGCCAAATCCCCAACTAAGCCATGCTCTCCACTCATGGAGCCCCGAGTGCTGGTCATGGATGCCTGTGCCCCAACCCTGACTTGATCAACCATCTGTCCATCCCTATCCCCAGCTACAGGGTGCACTAGTCTCAAGGGAGAGTGGGTAATGTCCTAGAAGACCACTCCACGGTCTGCTCTCCTGAGGAGGTTGGCAGGGGAGGATGAGGGACTTGTCATGAGCACCCTCGTACATGTGGATGGTTCTTCACCTTGTCGAGCTCATGCTTATTCGTACAGCGTCTGGAGCAGCAGCTGCCCAAGTCTAGCTGCATACCTACAAAGTCGATGGGTATTGACAGACTGTCTTCCAAAAGGACCGTGCTAATCTATACCATCCAAGTATCACCTTGCTCCTGAGATTCTCATCGTCCTGTATTCATGGATCGATTAATCTTGATCCTGACCGCTAACCCTGTTGCTTCCCTGGTGACCTTATTTTGCTCTTTCCTCTCCTTTTAGGAATACTAAGCGCACTGCAGAAGTGTGGATGGATGAATACAAGCAATACTACTATGAGGCCCGGCCCTCGGCCATCGGGAAGGCCTTCGGCAGGTGGGCCCCCCCAGCTCCACTGTCTGACTCCCTCTACCCACATTAGCACAACCCCAGCAAAATACGAAGTGGTATGTACGCCAGGGAACCACCCGCCACCTCCCCAGCCACTGAGGTCCCACTCTAATGGGCTTCTTTGGGTCCTGGGAGGGAATGCAACCGCAGAGACAAGACCTTAGGCTTTGAGGAGCGTGAAATCTCATGGGAGAGAAGGCTCGCTTATGAAAAAGAGCTGCCTGTCCACAGCTGCCTGCAGAAGAACAGGCATCTGTGGAACTGCTTAGGAGGGGGCTGCCTGCAGAAAGCATTTGGGGTTCTGCCTCCACTCCCTGTTCAAAATTGAGATCTGTTAGCCTATTTTCCTGTCATGGACTGTTAGGACTATGGTCTAGTTAAGCATTTTCAAAATGCAGATGGGTTGTGAAATCAATTTAGTGGGTCGTGACCAGCATTTAAAAAGAGAGAGAGAGAAGTAGAACCCTATAGATTAGATTAGTACAGAGCAGGATAGAAAATAAGAGTTGATTGCAGTTAAGGGTTAGTATTGTCCTTATGAAACTCTTATTTCCGTTGTGGGTGCATGTGTGTGCATGCATGTACCTACACATGTACAGTTGCCCCTCTGCATCTGCAGGGGATTTGTTCCAGGACCCCCCACGGATACCAGAATCCACACAGATGCTCAAGTCCCTGATATAAAATAGTGTAGTATTTGCATACCCTATGCACAACCTCCTGAATATTTTAAATCATCTCTAGATTACTTATAATACCTAATACAATGCCTACACATCACGTCATTTGCATGGATTCAATGTGGTACTCGATGCGTGGCGAATTCAAGTTTGGCTTTGGAACCTTGTGGAATTTTTTTTTTTTTTTCTAGATGGAGTCTCATTCTGTCACCCAGGCTGGAGTGCAGTGGCACAATCTAGGCTCACTGCAACCTCCATCTCCTGGGTTCAAGCGATTCTCCTGCCTCGTCCTCTAGAGTAGCTGGGATTACAGGCACGTGCCACCATGCCCAGCTGATTTTTTGTGTTTTTAATAGAGATGGGGTTTCACCATGTCAGCCAGGCTGGTCTCGAACTCCTGATCTCAAGCGATCTGCATATCTTGGCCTCCCAAAGTACTGAGATTACAGGCATGAGCCACTGCACCTGGCCTGAAATTTTTTCCTAAGTATTTTTGATCCAAGGTTGGTTGAATCCATGGATGCAGAACCCACAGATACTGAGGGCTGACTGTACATGGGGCGTATTATATTACAAATGTAAGATAGTTATCTCCTACTTAAGCTTGTGGTCAGAAAAGTTTGAAAACACTATTAATGATGATCAATGAATCTTCTCCCTATTTATTCATATCTATCTCCCTTTTTTTGAAAAAATAAGTTATGTCACTAAATATTTCTTGTAATGAGGAACTAACATTTACTTAGCACCTGCCCTGTGCTAAGTGCTTCACACTTAATTCACTTGATTCTCACAAAAGCCTTCTGAGATGAGTGGTCGTGTCCCCAGTTGAATGTAGAGGAAACTGAGGCTCAGATAGCTGGTGACGAGGGCCGTCAACCAGTGGCCATTGTGGTGGGTGTACCTGAGGAAGGTGAGGATGGCGGTGTCCCAAGGACACATCTAATGGTTTTATTTGCCAACACATCTAAAGATGTTTAAAGCTTGCTCTTCCTGCTGTTAGACCTTCCTCCTGTACTTCTCATTAATTCTGCAAAGATAAAGACCAGTTCATGGTCTGCTAACAGAGGTCTTAAGGAGTGAGAAGCCGAGAGAAAGGCATGGTCCCGTATGGTCTGTGCTCACCCTGAAAGGTGAGCTCCAGGCAGGAATTTGATGAGTGAGGCATAGCCAGGAGACCTGCCTTGAGCTTGCAAGTCAGAGAATAACATCAGATAAGTGGCCAGGGCTGGACATGGCAGGCTGGAAGTCTCCTGGTCCTTGCCTGCCTGAGATAGTTGGGGCTGGGGGACAGGCCTCTGGCATCCTCCCTCGGGCTGCCTTCCACACTGGCAGGCCAAAGCCCAAGCCCTGCCTCCTCCTACAGTGTGGCTACGCGGATAGAGCAGAGGAAGAAGATGAACTGCAAGTCCTTCCGCTGGTACCTGGAGAACGTCTACCCAGAGCTCACGTGAGTGCAGCCCTCATCTTGTGCATCCCCCAGGCGGGTAGGGGGTGGTTGGGGCCAGCGGCTTTGGTCCCACCCCACCCTTAGATCTCCTCAACACTGGTGATCTGGCTTTCTAGCTGCCGGGTTTTATCTTCACGTGACGGCTGTGGGGGAACTGAGAGGGCATTACTAGGGGTTATAAATTAGGTGTGGTGGGAACCGAATTTTTAATGGTTTCAGATCTAGATATGGACGTTATCCCCTTAGGAAACAACACTGCATTACATAGCAAAGGCTGCAGAGACATTCGTCCCCTTTAGCCCTGTTCTCTCCCTTCTGGGAGTTTATCCTAAGGAAATAAAGCAACCAAAGCAGAAGCTGTTGACCAGCAGATCAATAGCTGTGGTGAAAAAATGAGAAACCGCCAGGCACAGTGGGTTATGCCTGTAATTCCAGCACTTTGGGAGGCCAAGGCAGGAGGATTGCTTGAGTCCAGGAGTTTGAGACCAGCCTGGGCAACATAATGAGACCTTGTCTCTACTAAAAATCAAAAAATTAGCTGGGCGTGGTGGCACACACCTATGAGTGGGAGGATCACTTGAGCCCAAAAGGTAGGGGCTGCAGTGAGCCCTGGTTATGCCATTACACTCCAGCCTAAGTGTTAGGGTGAGGAAGAGGGAAGGTGAGGGGAGGTGAGGGGAGGGAGGGAGGGAAGGTGGAAGAAGGAAGGAAGGGAGGGAGGGAGGGAGGGAGGGAGGGAGGGAGGAAGGAAGGGGAGAGGGAGAGGAAAAGAAAAGAAAAGGAGAGAATCAACAATAGGGGTTGGCTTCAGTGAATCACTATACATAGATCTAAACAAATATTATGCACCCATTAATATTATAATCATAGAAACTGTGAAGAAAACACAGGGAAATGTTTGCTCTGGCAAATGAGAAAACAAAATGCAAATGATGTGTGCACTCGAGCTGTAGTTACCTGGGAATATGTGTGCGTTCTCACAGGACAGTGGGCAATAAGCTACGATGGCCTTTTCAGTGTCTCAGTTACATCCACGTGGTTCATTTCCTCACCTTCCTCAGGCCTTGACTCAAACGTCCCCTTCCCAGGGAGACTTTCCCTGAACACTCTGAGTTTGCAGCTCCGCCTCCCTCCCCAGCATCGTCTCCTCCATGTTCCTTGTAGCCGTTATTATCATCGGCATTATCTGGCCAATTAATTTTGTTGTATCTCCCTGAACTTGCCTGTAAGTTCTATGAGGGTGGAGGCTTTGATCTGTTTGTTCACTGCTTTATCTCCAGCACCTGGAACAGTGCCTGTCATAAAATGGGCACTCAGTAAATATTTTTAATGGAACAAGTTGCACAGTCCGTACGCCTCAATCATGTCTAAAAGCCGCATGCGCCCTCTATAGCTGTCACCTTGGGGAACACGTGTCCCACCGCTGCCAGCTTTCTCTCAAGGATGCTGCCATGGCTTTCCAGAACACTCCACCCCTCAGAGCTTGCATATCCTTGAAAGAGGCAAATCTTTGTCCTTTGAGGACAGGTTTGATTTTTGGCCAACAGCCACCATTAAGTTGTAGCCAAGTGCAATGAATAAGCTAGAGATGATTAACCCTGATAATTATAATCCCAGGTCCCAAATACAGCATGACTCTAAATGAACAAGATTAAACTGACTCTAGGAGCAATTTCCAAGAAGTTCCAGAACAATGTGAGCACTGGCAGTGTCACTGGAAGAAAGTCAGTGGCCTAGATAACCCCAGCTCCCTGGACACTAGCTGTGATGGGAAGAACATTAATTTATGAAAATGCAACTTCCTGAAGTGGTCACTTCTAGGGGACAGTGTTCATTCAGATGCATCATTTCTGAGACCCTGAAGAAAAAAGAGCAGTCACTTCTTTACACTGTGTCAGCGTTCATACAACATTTGGGTGAAGCCCACTAGTTCCAGCCCTAGGGCAGGAGCTGGGCAGCCTGTGGGAAGAGTGGGGGAGGCCTGGGAATGCCCTTCCTCTCCAACCTCAGTGCCCTGCCACAGGGTCTGATGACACCCCCAAGGACCAAGGGGAAGAAGTGTCTCATAACTATCAGAAACCTGGCTCGATCACAAGGCAGGAGAGTAGATGAACCAGCTACGTCGATGAGGAGCAGAAGTCCTCTTCTGTTTGTTCTGCCACTGTGTGAAAGTTAAAATAATTTTTTGTTGCTAAGATGGAAACCCCAGACCTCATTCCTGTCTGGATTACTCACCCCCAGTTCCTAGGCTGAGGGGCCAGGAGTGGATCAATTTGCTGATTAGAAAGGGGACCCATAGGCCTGAGTGATACCAACTTTCCTCCAAACAGGGGGTCCCTAAATAGTTGCCTACACTTGCAAACAGTCAGTGGGGAGACCGAGGAGGCTGAAAGAAGAGGCTTTTGCTTTCCTAGGCCTGCCGTGGCTCTGCCCCTTCTCCAGGTTAGAGCTCTGCAGCTGGCCTCAGGAACTGCTAATTTATTACTTGCATTAGGACTATCAAGAACAGTTGTTCAGGCTGTGCGTTGCACAAGCACACCATGTTTGTGAGGGTGCTAGTTGCATAGTAGACATTGCACATTCATGACACTAATTCCAAGCAAATGGCAGTAAGCATTCTTCTAACAAAACCAGTATGTCAGTTTTCTAACAGAAAGAAGTAGTGTCTTGGGGAATGGATCTAATGGCAGCCTGTGTACATAGAAGAGACCCATAGAGAAGGAAGTGGATGCAGAGTTTAGAGGGCTGCTGACAAACAGGACAGCTTAGCCTGGCACTGCTGGGGAGCTGGGGAAGGATGGTGACGACTGCTATTCCAGCTGCTCCAGGACTGCTACCACGATGACAGCTTAGGAGCTGCATCTGATCTTGAGATTGCTCCCAAGCCTAGGGTTTCTTCCGTAAGCATCACTGGGCATTGCCACTCTTGGTCAGTATCCACCTCACCTCTGAAAGCTGATCAGCTTGCACAACACCCTAAGCAACAAGGGAGTAGCAGGGTCTGGAACAACCCCTGGCCCTCGTGCTGTATTCCCCCTGTGCAGTTATCAAAGAGGCCTCAGTACCCATCTTGTCTCTATAGAGAAGGGAAATGTAACACATTGCTCCTGGATGAGGCTGAGAGTGTGGAGCTCCTGCCCTCCAACATGCTTGCACATGGCAGGGGTTGCAAACTCAAATTCTTACAGTGGTCAGGCAGGTGATGTCAATAAGTCAAATGGGTAAGGATGAGACAATAGAGAGTTGTGGGGACTGGGGCAAAGTGCGATGCAGAAGCCCCACTCAGAGGGGGCAGCTGCTACTCACTGCAGTGGATTAGTACCATTCTGGAATGCAAGCTCATTGTGGCCTGATCTTCCAATTTTTAAGAGAAGCTAGATTCAGATTTGAAGGTTTCTATGTAACCTTAAAATCATTCAATATTGCCAACTAATTAAAAGCAACAACCACCACGCTATGCAGGTCAGACCATGTCCAGGGTCCAGATTCAGCTTGGCAGCCAGCAGTTTGCCACCTCTGCTAGAGAGTTGCAATGCCTCCCAAAGGGAGTCTGGAGAGGCACAGGCTGCTGCCAGGGGTGTGGGAGAGGAATTGAAAGGGTCTCTCTGAGCCTCCTGTGAGCAGATCAGTTCTGGAACTTTGCGGCTTCTAGCCACCCCTGAGGAAGGAAGACCTGGTTTGGTCTAGATCCTGCAGATGTCCACATCAAAGAATGCCAAACATCTTATAATGGCCCAACCCCCCAGGCCCAGATTGTTTCACTGACAGAGGTAACAGGAGGCAGAGAAGGCACACACGCTGTAATCCCTCCTGCTCCCCTGTAACTCCCAGGCCTGGTGACTCCTTAATCCAAGAACGAACATAACCTGAACTCAGGTATGCAAGCCTGCAGCAGCTGGGGCCGGCAGCTTCCTCAGGTTTATTACCCATAAGGTGTCAGTGTGTGTGTGTGTGTGTGTGTGTGTGTGTGTGTCTGTATGTGTGTATAAGCATATTTTCCTGGGCATATAAAGTGTTTTAATAATATAATATTTTAAAACTTGCCTGTTTTACTTAATAGTGTGCTGTGAACATTTTTCCATACTAGCAAGTATCATTTCACAGAGTCATTTTTTAAAATTTTATTTTATTTATTTACTTTGAGACAGGGTCTCACTCTGAAGCCTAGACTGACATGCAGTGGTGGCATTATGGCTCACTGCAGCCTCAACTACCTGGGCTCAAGTGATCCTCCAACCTTAGCCTCCCAAGTACGTGGGACTATAGGCATGTGCCACTGTGCCTGGATAATTTTTTTTTTTTTAATTTTTGTAGAGATGGGGTCTTTCTGTGTTGCCCAGGCTGGTCTCGAACTCCTGGTCTCAAGTGATCCTCCTGCTTTGGCCTTCCAAAATGCTGGGATTACAGGTGTGGGCTACCATGCCCAGCCATAAGTCATTTTTAATGGCTACAGGGTTTTCTATCGTATGGATGAATCCGAATTTATTTAGCCCAGCTCCTGTTGTTAGATATCTAGAAATTTCTGGTGTTTTCAATATAATCAACCACTCTGAGATGAATGTCTTTTACAACATTTATAATTATTTTTGTAGGATATGTTCCTACAAGGGGCAATATTGGTCAAAGATGTGTGCATTTTTAAGGGCTTTGAGACACAATAGCACACTGCCCTCCTGAGAAGCTGTGCTAATCTATGCTCTCACCAGGAAGGTGTGAGAAGATTCAGTCCCACAGCTGTTGCCGACACTGGGCATTGTCATTAAATTAAGTGTGTGTGTGTACAAATGTACATACATGGTAAATAAACATTGGTGACTCTGATACGTAGTTCTTTAATCATTACTGAGATTAAACACATTTTCATATTTGTGTTTAATTTGCCTCTTCAAAGCGCTCCCTTCCCTGTCATTTTGGGATTGATTATTGAGCATGCATTTTGGCCCCAGGCTCTCCTGAGGCTTTCCTCTTTCTGGACTGAGGGGCTCTGTTTTTCCAGCCTGAGCTCCGCCCATGGCTCCCCCATCCTCTATGTCTCAGGCCCAGCCTCCAGGGCAGAGGGTCCCAGAGCCACTTGGAAGAACCCCTGGGGCCGAGGCCCAGTCTTCCCAGAGGCCACTCCTGCTCCTCACCTCCCCCTGCTGGCCAGGCTGCTCCCGGGCCCCTTCCCACGGAGACCTCGGCGCTCCCAGAGCTGATAGGATGCTGACGTCTGGCAGAGGGTGTAGGTAAGCCTTGGGGGGGAAAGCACAAGCCTGACTGCTGCCTTTTCTCTCAGGGTCCCCGTGAAGGAAGCACTCCCCGGCATCATTAAGCAGGGGGTGAACTGCTTAGAATCTCAGGGCCAGAACACAGCTGGTGACTTCCTGCTTGGAATGGGGATCTGCAGAGGGTCTGCCAAGAACCCGCAGCCCGCCCAGGTAAGGACCTCGGGTAGGAATGGGAGTGGGAGAGAGCTGGAGGCATTGTCCAGGAGTGGGGTGAGGGACTTCCCCCTACTCATTCTCCTCCTCTGTCTACATCTTACACAAACCCACTTTGCCAGGGGCCCCTAGACCCTGCTCCTACACATTCATATCCCCTTTCCAGCCTGTCACTTGGGTATCCTGTGTGCACCACCTGCTTTGTTCTTGCCGAGGGAGAAGAGCTGCCCAGATAGTGCCCAGTTGTCTCCTGAGATCCAGCTGGGGTCGGCTCATGTGACAGGCAATGTCCAAGACTCCTGTGCGCACATGGGTGCAACATATGAGTGTTGCACCCACATCGAAACTAAAGCAGGTCATGGAGACTCCAGTGAGGACCAGCTCTCAGCTGCCTTGGTTCCATGTCTTGTCATTCTCTCTCATCCCCCACAGTCTCTTGGCACAGCCCTGACTGCCCTCTGGCCAGCTCCAGCTAAGCTCCCCCACCCCAGCATTTTATTACCAAAAAATTCAAACATATAGAAAAATAGTAAGAATTATGCAGTGAATACCCATACATCTACCCTAGCTCCTACAATTATTTGTAGAAATCTTACAAAAATATGCCGTGTTTTTGCTTTATCCCCTATCTACCCATCTCTCCACCCATCGCTGTACTTTTTGACTTGGCCTTTCTGCTCCCTGCCTTGCAGGCATGGCTGTTCAGTGACCACCTCATCCAGCAGCAGGGGAAGTGCCTGGCTGCCACCTCCACCTTAATGTCCTCCCCTGGATCCCCAGTCATACTGCAGATGTGCAACCCTAGAGAAGGCAAGCAGGTGAGTCTCCTTGCCTCTGGCCCAGAGGCCCAGCAGCCCGAGGGGCCATGCCTCAGGGTGGCAGACCTTGGCAGGAGAGCCCCTGATTGACTCAAATAAGCCCTTCAGAGCGAGGATCTGTGGGGAGGGGGAGCAAAGTCTACATCTAGGTCAAGCCAATTATTCTGCCCATGAGGAAATACTTCTTTGGGTAATTATTTGTTTAATGCCATCCTGCCAGGCTGTGAGCTCCATGAAGGCAGGGACCACTTGTCTTGTTAACACTGTATCCCTAGCTCCTGACAACCACCACAGTTCAAATAAGTGTTAGCTTTTACTGACAGTCTGTGCTAGAAGTTTGAAATAGATCATCTCATCTAATCCTCCCAGCCACCCAGTGACGTGGGTTCTAGTACTACCTCCATTTTATAAGTGAGTAAGCTGAGGCTCGCTGAATCTAAAGAATATATGTCAGATCACACAGCTGAGAAGGGGTGGAGCTGGGATTCAAACCCAGGTCAGTGACTTCTAGGCCCACAGTCTTAACCCAGCACATAGTAGATGTTCAATAAGTATTTCTTGACTGTTGGCAGACTAGGGAAACTGAGCTCCAGACACAGTGATGTCCAAGCTGGCATGACCAGCCTCACGTGAGCACTGCTTTTTCCATTGATCCGACACTCTCACCCACACTGTCACCACTAATCCTGGGAGACAGGTCAGGGTCAAGGAAGAAAGTGATGCACAGAGAGGTGGAGTCACTTGCTCAGGGTACACAGCAACCAGTGACAGTGGATTTCCAGAATCCAGCCAGCTCTCTTCTGTGCTACTCCCTTCCTGTCTTGGAGGGCTCCCTCACCACCCAGGGAATGGGACCCAAGGCCCAGAGGCTGCTCCAGCACTTCCCCTGCTCACCCTCCTCAGAAGCCCTCCCTGTGCCTGCCACTGGCTAGCCTGCCTCAGTCGGTGCAAGCAGTGAGGAGGGTGCCTGGGTCTCTGATTTGGCCTGCATGGTTTTCCTCCTACCCCTTTTTCTTTGCTTGGGTCAGCACGTTTTTTAAAGGATGAACAGCAGTTTGCTGTGCCATTCTGGAAAGCAGCCACAGCCTCTCCCTCCGGCCTGTGTGTGTCTGAGGGATCTGTGTGCCCAGCCCACTTGCTGGACCTGTGGGACACTTTAAGCGCTTTTGGATGGTGGGGGGATGCAGCCCACCCTCGGCCCTGCCCTGCAGTGGGGCTGGTGCAGTGTCTCCTGCACCTAGAGCACCCACCTCTCTGAGGGCAAATCCTTGAGCCCACGCCCACCCCCTCCCACTGAGGAATTATCTCCGAGCAAAGCCTCCACTCAATTGCCCCTCTGGGGCTGAATCACACATTTCCCCCTTTGTGCTGACCCAGCCTACGGGGTGTGTAGGTATCTCCTTGGCCCCATTCATTCTGCCCCTGCAAGTCCTGCCAGGCTCCCGATGGCATTCTGGGTGCCTGTGCCCCTCTTCTCCCAGGAGGACAGGATGAGCCAGCTATCCCACTGCCAATGCCTTCTGGAATCCGGGCCGTCCTTCTTGGTCCCCTGCTGGTCCTATTTCCAAGGCTAGCTGGGTTTCCTGTATCCGAGAGGCTCCTGTGCCTCAGACCTGGTGTGATGGAGTCAGCAGGCCCCAGCTCAGTCTTCCCTCCCCCTCCCTTCACTCAGTCTCCTCACTTATAAAATAAGGGGCTCCCTCCCCTGCTTACCTCACAAGGAATCCGCAAGAACCAAGATGTGGAGATGGGACAGTGGGTGATGTGACATTGTTTCTCAGACAAGCCCAGAATTGAGTGGCCTGGAGAGTCAAGAAGCCCTGAGATTGTGCCTAATAGCACTGATAAGAAGTGAGAATCCCGCTGTTTGGGGAGCACTTCCTAATGATTGGGTGATTCAGTCATTCGTTCATCTTAAAACAAAATGACGGCTGGGTGCAGTGGCTCATGCCTGTAATCCCAGCACTTTGGGAGGCTGAGATGGGTGGATCATGAGGTCAGGAGTTCGAGACCAGCCTGACCAAAATGGTGAAACCCCGTCTCTACTAAAAACACAAAAATTAGCCGGGCGTGGTGGCGCGCGTCTGTAATCCCAGCTACTCAGGAGGCTGAGACAGGAGAATCGCTTGAACCCGGGAGGCAGAGGTAGCAGTGAGCCGAGATCGTGTCACTGCACTCCTGCCTGGGTGACAGAGCGAGACTCAGTCTCAAACAAACAAAATGTCACTGGGTGCCTACCTTGTGCCAGAGAATGTACAGATCATGTTGGCCACAAGGATGAACGGACATGGTCCTTGACCCCCAGGGAATTTGCACTTTAGTGGAAGAGAAAGAAGGGAGTAAGACACTATATTACAGAAGGCTAGATGCTGAGGTAGCTCCAAGCACCACGACTCCCTGGGGTGAGGATGGCCATACTCTCTCCAGCTGGGCATTGCTGGAGGTTTGGCCTACATGAGGTAAATGTCAAGGACTAGAAGAGCATGAAGAAACAGGAGGGGGGATCCAAAGGCCCTTGACCTTTAGGCTCTCTGCGGGGGCCATGTGGGCCCAGAGAGGCTGGGTCTCAGCCCTACCCATCACGTCCTTGCATTCCCACTGGGAGCCCAGGCTCCGCCCCTGCCTTCCACCCTGTGTGCACATCCCCCCGCAGCCCTAGCCCTATCCCTGCAGCTGGGTGGGCTCATCTCTCTCCCCTCAGCTGCTCCCTGTCCACCAACTGCCCTCAGAGCCCTCTGGGCTTCCTCCACATGGTCACAAGCACTCCTGCCTCTAATCGAAGACACGGTGAATGAGAGAAGATGGAAGAGGGGAGGTGGTTGCAATGGGAGGCAAATAGGAGAGAAACCCAAACTAGACCTATCTTACTATTATTCTTCCCTGAGCCTTGAAACCTGGGTCTCTGCCTCTCATCCCTTCTCATAAATGTTCCAAGCAACACTCCATCCTCCACCCAGGCACTTCCGTAATGTTCTACAGGAGCAACTCTTCTCCCCCTTGTCAAACCCGGGGTCGGGGAGGCACCAGGAGGTGAAGGCACTGACCAGGAGCCCCTGCATGACTCTGTGATGCGAGACCTCCAGTCTCCCACCACCCTGCTGGCCCCACACTTCATCCCTACAAAGAAGGCAGCTTCCCACTAGGGGGTGTAGATTACTGGCCTCACAGGTCAGAAGCTTAGGAAGAATAAATCTTGTTTACAGAAATAAAAGATTTACCTAGGCCAGGACTGACAAGCTCAAGTGCCTACAGGGAGCTGGTGGGAAAACCCCAATAGGAGAAAAGTCGGGACCAGGCAGGAACTATGGTGACCTGCAGAACAAGAGCCCCATCTAAGGCAGAGGGCAAATCCTCAGCCCCAGCAACTGATGCCATGTAAGAAACTGGGTCCAATAACTACATAGAAGCTGGAAATGCAGATTTGCACGTGGCAACCAAGCTAAATTGTAAATAAACACAGGGGACTTCTGCTTTGCCTCCTCCTCTGATCTGGACAGGAACTTCTGCAAACTACAGAAAAGCAAGAGCCCTGCTGGGAAGGGCAGGGCTTAAAGCTGGTGTTAGAGGCAGGATGGGGGCAGCCTCTTACATAGGAACACACAGCCTGATTTAAATGAGGGGCATGACTGGGCATGGTAGCTCATGCCTGTAATCCCAGTGCTTTGGAAGGCCAAGACAGGTGGATCACTTGAGGTGAGACGTTCTAGCTAGACCAGCCTGGGCAACATAGCAAGACCCAGTCTCTGCAAAAAATTTAAAAATTAGCTGGGCGTGGTGGCATGCAGGTGTAGTCCTAGCTACTCAGAGGCTGAGGCAAGAGGATTGCTTGAACTCAGGAGTTCGAGGCTGCAGTGAGCTGTGGTAGCACCACTGTAAGAACAAGGTCATGCCTAAAAAGAAAGGAGGAGGGGGATGTGTCCTAGTTATATACAAGGGCTGTGTGCATACATGTGGAATGAAAGTACAACATTATTTTTTTAAATCATTGTTTTCTCCTTCCTCTTCTAACCCATCTCTGTTCCTCCTAGAAATGGAGGAGAAAAGGATCTTTCATCCAGCATTCAGTCAGTGGCCTCTGCCTGGAGACAAAGCCTGCCCAGCTGGTGACCAGCAAGTGTCAGGCTGACGCCCAGGCCCAGCAGTGGCAGCTGTTGCCACACACATGACGGTAGCCCTGGGGCCTCCTGTACCTTTTGCATGAGACTTCGGGACCGGAAGGGGGTTAGGGTGGGGGAGTGCAAAGTGGGCTGTTCCCATCTCCTCACATTTCTGCCAGGACCATCAGCAAATACCCACCATGACACACGTTCTCCAAAGCTTGTTCTAGGAGGGCGCAGGCGGGCACGCCCCGATGCCCTCAGTGCTGTCCTGGCCTTGCCCCGGGAGAGGAGATGGTCAGGGTGCTGGACTGTTGCTGGGTAGAGACTGAGTAGGTGCCCCTGGCCCTTTGTCCTCTCCCTTGGCGCTTCTTGGGGCTGGGACAATAGTGTGTGGTCTCTCCCTTGTTGCCCGGAGAAAGCAAGGACAGAAGCCCACACAGGGGTCTTTTGGGTCATGAGGCCCAGCTGTGCAGGCAGGCAGGGCCAGGGGAAATTGGGCAGCATGGATGGAGAGGCTGAAGGCTGGGAAGAGGGAAGGGGAGAGGGGCAGCCTGCAGGGGTAGCTGAAGAACAGGAAGGAGGTGAGAAGCCCGGTGACCTGTCAGAGATGCCAAGCCCAGGGTGGCACTGGGTTGGGTGGGGACGGATGGTGTCTTGGCAGCAAAGGATGGGTAATTTGCAAATGAACATGGATAGAAGAGCAGCAAAGCACCAAAAGAACAAGGTCTCTTACCCAGGACACAGTCCCTTCCACACTTTACCAGCCCCAGGGTCTGAGCCCGACGCTGCCTCTTCCGGTCCTGTGCCTGTGGGTGCCCACATTCTTAGCAAGAGGCTGCAGAGGGATCTTTAGGGGAAGATTCGGGCGTAGTTTATTAAACAGACTCCACTTCTATTTGGCCATGTGTCAGGCTGAGACCTCTCTCTCGGGCATTAATGAACAGCTAGTGCCCTGTCCCTGCCGCCAGGACCCACTGAAAGGACGGGTAGCCACACACATCCCTGAGTAGTCCCAGCCTCATTTGTCATTTTTGACTCCTGCTTTCTCAAAGGTTTTTGCCTCTGTCAATACAGCATCATGGGTGGTTGGAAAGAAGGGAACTTCCCTTCTGGACCAAGAACAGCCCCTAAGTCATTAGGGTTCAACCTCACCCTTATTCCCCTCCCCGCTACAGGAGCCCCTAAGTCATTAGGGCTCAACCTCACCCTTATTCCCCTCCCTACTACAGGAGGGATTTTCTTGAAGGGTCAGCTATTGCACTGTGCTGGGAGGCTGGCTGTGGCTCCTGTTTGTGAAGAGAACTCCCAGTTCCTTTTCACAGCCGCTGAGAACACATCCACACATCTACCCCACGGCCTTGTCTTGGAACTGCTCCTGCTATCCCCACACCCTGCTTCCTCACCCCACTGGCTCTTGGGCAAATGACTGTTGGTACCAGGACCCTGGGGGTCTCCCCTACAAAGCAGACCAGCCTGGGGCAGATATACCTACCACAGGAGCCCCCTGTCTTTCATAGGCCAAGGATCCACATACCCATAGAGTTCATGGATTCTAGAGGGTCTAGGAATCTCTTGAAATTGTCCCTAAAATACTGCATGTGTGTGCATACATGCATTTTCCTGGGGAAAAAGTCCATGGCTTCTAAAAGAGGTCCCTGATCCCCAAAGGGCCTGAACCTCTGCTCTGGATTGAAGCCACTGTCTGCCCAAGCTGCCACCCCCTAATCTTCCTCCCTGGCGTGCTCAAACTGCCATCGCCTGCTCCCTCCACACGGCCCTTGGGGTCAGCAGCCAAGTGTCTGTGGTCCGCAGCACCTGCTCTGGAGGGCTCTCCAGCAGTTTCGCCTCCTGACTCTCACCAGCGTCCTCTCGGCAGCACTCCCGTGCCCAAGTGCACCCCTCTGGACTTGCCAGCGCAGGCCCCTTCGCTCCCAGGGCCATGCTTTGCCTGTCCTCTGTCGTGATGTTTCTTCCGCAGCCAGGTGCAGCCTCAGATCCCCTGTTCATCTGGGAAGCCTCCTGCCACAGCTTAGGACAGAACTGGGCCCAGGGCAAAGGCCTCTCCCCAGAGGATGGACTAGAAGGCCTGGGCCACACTCGGGCATGGACCTTTGGGGCTGGGGAGCCGGGGCTGCGCCTGTTGAATGTAAGAGGACTGCTGACCAGAGGGCCTTCAAGAGGGTCTCTCTGTCCTTTGCTGTGGTCAGATCAGGCTCTGCACTTATCAGCCGGTCCTTTGTGGCAACGCAGCCCTGTTCTGTTTTTGCTTTTCCTCTTCTTGACCAAAGCATGTGCCACTAGCTGTCCTTGAGGACCTCGTCTTTATGAAACACACACCTGGAATAAAACCACTTCTTACATGTCCACATGCACCAGCGCCTTCCTTTCTGCCTCCAGGCCTAGCCCTTCAGCACACCCTCCCCCGCCTCGTGGGGAAAGTCCGGGCCTCCTTTCTGTAAAAGTGAAACTGAACATGCTCAAGTCTAGCCCTGTCCTGCACCTGGTAGCTTGCTCGTCGGCCTCCATGCCCTGTGGTGCCCCAGGAACTCCTGACTGCTCTGGTGGGGGCCAACAGGTGGCCCTACTGCAAGGGCAGGCCTTGGACCAAAACCAGGAATCAGCACAGGTCAGGTGGAGCCCAGGCTCCTGTGGCCTCATTATGGGATTCTACTTGGGGCTTAGAAATGGAAAGCAAATTGCTTCTCCAAATAGGTATTGCCCTGCCGCCGTGCTTGCCTTTAGCCAGCCCTCTCTCCTTCCCTGTGAGCCAGGCCTGTCCCCTCGGAGCTGCCCTCCCCTGCTCTACCACACAAGAAGGCAGTGGTACAAATTCAGGCAGGACATACTTCCTGGGTAAAAACAGCAAAATAATTCTGAAAAGAGTCTTACCAGACCAGCTTTGCTTGATTGGGTAGCAGATGCTCTGCCTAATGTTCCCATGGAAACCAATGGAAAACCCCCACCATGTCTGTGATCAGAAGCTGAACCTACCCAGGTAAAAATAAACGCTGCTTCAACATACATATGAACTGCAGCTGGCAGGCCAGCACACCACTAGCCTCTCCTGGACGCAACCATTTCTGCCCTCAGCCCCACTTTGCCGTGGGGCTGCTGATCTGGAGTTACCCAGAACTTCTGACCCCTGGGCCTGAGGAGCCTGGAGCAAAGCCCTAGCTGGCTGCAGAGAATACACCTTGGCTACAATGTCCAGCTTGGTCTGGGCTTAGGAGCAAGTCACTGTAAAAGACCTTGGCTGCAGCCTCCATTCCCCCATCCACCCCTCCGTCCTCTCAGGGAGCACAGCCCACCACCCACCGCCTACTCAGGGCTCCCTCCTGGCGCGCTGAGCCCCATTTCCACTCTCCATCTATTTTCACCCTCAGCCTTGGAGGGCTCTGGTGCTTGCTTCTCCTGAGTCAGGCTCTCTCCTCTTGCTTGCTCTCCTCCAAACCTACCTCTCCCAAAGCCCATTTTCTGTGCCACCCAGTTTTTTCCCTAGGAGATAAGGCTGTCAGCCTTTAGCCAGGCCCTGGAGGAATCAGCAAAAGCCCCAGGCTGGGTATTAACAGTTACGTCACTGGCAGGAGAGTCCCCCGAAAGCCTATGGGCAGGGCAGCAGAAGGGACTTCTGCACCAGGGCCAGACTCCCATTTGTACAGCAGGGAGCTGTTCCTGAGGATCCCTGGGCCTCTGTGACTTGGCTTCAGTTTTTACAAGGGCTGTTCCCCCTGGCCCCTCAGGAAGGCTGTCTCCATCTGCAGTTGGGAGAAATAACCTGGACAATATGACTGTCGTCCCAGGGTTCCAGCACCCCAAGGCCTGCGGGGGATGTCTCCCAGCACTGCATGGGGTGTGGTCCTTCTCCCACCAGGGAACAGGAAAGGAAACCTGGAAGGGAAAGGCTGGCATTTATAACGTCTGTAATTTCATTGCCAACAATGTTCTCAGTGTGTTTGGTATTTGTGTGTCCCTGTGATGGTCTGAGTCAGTGCTCCTCCAGAAGGAGGGGGCAACCCAGCCAGCTTCTCTAATGGGAAGAGGTCTTCACTGCCAGGCACTTAGGAAAGACCTGGAGATGGATCAGGGGAGGGCCTACTCTCCTGGGCTTGCAGCTGGGCTGTCTGAGTAGCCGACCTGGACTGAGGCTCCAGAGCCATCTGAGGACAATTTCTCCTGCTTAATTCAGCCCTGTGAAGCGTGGAGAAGAGTGTACTAGGGGTGCGGACTCTTGGGTCTTTAAGACCCATTCAAGCCAGGCGCAGTGGCTCACACCTGTAATCCCAAATATTCAGGAGGCTGAATTGGGAGGGTCCTTTGAACCCAGGGGAGTTCGAGACCAGCCTGGGCAACATAGCGAGACCCTATCTCTATAAATAAAAATTCAAATCAACTTCAAAAAATACCCATTCAGCTGGATCCCTCACTACTCTGCCATTTGCCAGCTGTGAGCTCTTTTTTTTTTTTTTTTTTTGAGACAGAGTGTTGCTCTGTCACCCAGGCTGGAGAGCAGTGGCATGATCTCCACTTACTGCAAGCTCTGCCTCCTGGGTTCACGCCATTCTCCTGCCTCAGCCTCCCGAGTAGCTGGGACTACAGGCGCCCACCACCATGCCCAGCTAATTTTTTTTGTATTTTTAGTAGAGACAGGGTTTCACCGTGTTACCCAGGATGGTCTCCATCTCCTGACCTCGTGATCCACCCGCCTCGGCCTCCCAAAGTGCTGGGATTACAGGCGTGAGCCACTGCGCCTGACTGAGCTCTTGAATAAGTTATTTCATCTCTCAGCCTTGATTTCTTTACCTGTTAAATGGGGTACTCATAGCCGTAAAGGATTTTTTTGTGAAGCCTGATCGCAAAGCATCTGGCCCTTTCCAAATGCTTAATCAATATGTCATTACTATTATTAATAAACATTTTCTGAGTGCCTGCTACATGCCAAACACTTTGCTAGGGGTGATGACACAAATGTAAACAAGACAGAAACGGTCCCTGCCCTCGAGAACAAATATTCTAGCAGAGGAGATGGACCAATCAGCAGCAACTGTGATACCACATGATAAAAGCTACAGGGGAAGGCAGGAGCTATGGGAGCAAGGAGAGGGAGCTCTCACCCAGAGCGTCAGTGAGTTGGTGCTCTCTCTCCAGAAGATGATGCTTCCAGGACAGCTTGAAATGACATTCCAGGCAATGCCTGCCTCAGGCTGGATAAAGGTTGGACTGGATAAGGTCTGGTGAAGTCCACTGGCCACACTAGCAGAGATGGCAATTCAGCTGGTACCTTGCTGGGTGGCCTGGGCTTTTTACCCTGCAGGCAGCATTGTGGTGACGTAGACCAGCCTGTTACAACAGGAGAATTCTAGAAGGAAGCTGTGGGAGCCATTTCAACCCCAACAGACACAGCCTGTGCTTCTTGAGCTAGGGACCATTCCTCCAGGGCTCGGTATTCTTCCTTCGGGAAGGTGGGTCTAGTTGGTACGGGAATTAGTGATCCTTCTCTGGAGAGAAGGGATACTCATGGTGGAGGCGTTCCAGGAAAGACTTGTTTTTGCCTGGCTCTCAGGTTGCTTCTGATCCCCTCAAGCCATCTGAAAACAAAGCCGGTCTTTCAACAATTTGTCTTTCAAATATGTGTCTCTTAAGATGTGGTCCAGATAACCTGCTCAGTATCCCTGGAGGGATTGTAGACCTGTATGCTCCTGGGTCTGACCCAGACGGGGAGGCTTAGAATTCCTGTGTTTGTATTGAGTGGTCCAAGTGATGCGTTTGCACATTTAAGTCCCATGCACCAGGAAGGAGAGCTGGAGGCCCAGAGAGGGGAAGCTGTGCAGGAGAGAATCAGAATGAGCTGGGCCCTGGATTGAGTACCCTGACACTCAGCACTGGACTCACTACAAGAGGGAGAAGCCAGGGGGAAAGAAGGCTACCCTTGTACTCCTTACTGTACTTCCCCAGGAGCCAGAAGAATGTAGGGACCACATCTTGGACCCGGAGGTCTGAGCCCAGCAGTGGTGGAGAGTCCCCAGCTGGGAGACCCTCAGTTGGATGGGAAACTAGGGATGGCAGGAGAGTCTGGGGGACTCTCTGGCAGGAGAACCAGGAGGTAAGAGTCTCTGGAGACAGTTGCTCTAGGGCCACCTCGATGGGGTCTCTGTCTGGGCCCCTCCCCACAGTTTGAGTCAGAGATGGCTCTCAGCATGGCAGGAGGCTTGCTCCTCTCCCCGTGGGTGGACTGCAGTTCCCACAACCCTGTCAGGCAGCTGCAGAGCTCCAGGTTTCTCTGCCCACAAGGGCAGGGGCTGCCCCTCGCCCAGGATGACTCTGCCTTCCAGAGCCTTGGCCTCCCTGGGGGTGGGAGTGTGGGGGATGCTAAGGTTAAATCAGGTCACAGTAAGTTGTGGGGGCAGCAGGTGGAGCAGCAGAGTGGCACTGGGAGCTTTCTCTTGGGTGTGCGGTGTGGCCTTGGTTCTGCAGCCATCAGGTGGGGGCTTGGGACTGACTTCTCCTTCTGAAGGATGCTGGGAAGGTGAGCTGGCTTTGGCAGTGCTTAGAGCTCCGGGGGGTTCCCCCTCCTAGAACATGCAAGCTCTCACACCGGTGCGTCATCATCACACCCATCATCAAGCCCACAGTGGTATACTGAACACCTGCCCCACAAAGACGGTGGAATGCTCTCAGAGGAGCCCCATGAACCACCGATGGTTACAACTATCCAATGCCTGATGGCAGACAGCCAGGCCAACCTCGGCTTCCACTCTCTCTTCCTCACCCTACAATCAGCCAAAGTGACCTGAGTCGTGTAGTGCGAAGTTGCTTTCTGCTTTCTCTTGTTTGTGCTTTTGCTGTTTCTTCTGCCCCATACTTTGTTAACTCCATGAGTTAAATGCTACCCATTTTCCCAGACAAGTGCTGCTTCTGCAAGGAAACCCTTCCTGATCCCCCACCTGTCTGAAAAGTACCTCTCCAGCTTGCTTCTTCAGGGTGCTGAGCGTTCCTTCCCAGCCTGTCATCACCTTCCTCCATACGCTATGGTGTGTTCCTGTCTTCTCTAGTCTTGTCCTCTTTTTTCTGTTAGATTGTAGCTCCTTGCTGACAGGAACCACGCCTGCTCCAGCTTCATACCTCCCACTGCTACAGCACAGAACCTGCTTCTCAGACTTACAGCAAATGTTTGTTTGCTGAATGAATTAATTAAAGATAAAGCATTCTAACTGGGTTTGTTTTTGTTTTGCTTTGTCTTTTAATGATAAAGCATTTTGGCATTTAGGAATTAGTACACTGCACATAGAAAGCACGCAATATACACTTGTCCATTTTTCGTCTCACTTCTTACAAGTTTGATGTTGCCACAACTCCACCCTCCCTATTCATTAGTTGTCTCAACAGCAATGTGTTGGTGATGCTGAGGACTGACACAGATTGAGCACTTTCTGGGTACCCAGAATCTTAGTAAGGCTACCATATGCACTCCAATGAGGTAGGTTCTCATACACTCACTTTATGGATGAGGAGGGGAGGCTCAGTTGAGAGAAGAAATTTGCCCAAGGATAAACAGCTAGGTTTAAACTCACTCTCACAGGAGCATGTGTCAATGGTCCCACAGACCAGCCCCTTCAGCTGGGAACTTATTAGAAATGTAAACTCTGGGCCAGACGCGGTGGCTCACGCCTGGAATTCCAGCACTTTGGGAGGCCGCGGTGGGCAATCACAAGGTCAGGAGATCGAGACCATCCTGGCTAATGTGGTGAAACCCCATCTCTACTAAAAATACAAAAAATTATCCAGGCGGGTGGCACACGCCTGTAGTCCCAGCTACTCGGGAGGCTGAGGCAGGAGAATCACTTGAACCCAGGAGGCAGAGGTTGCAGTGAGCCGAGATTGTGTCATTGCACTCCAGCCTGGCGACGGAGTGGGACTCTGTCTCAAAAATAAAATAAAATAAAATAAAGAAAAAAAGAAATGCAAACTCTTGGCCAGGCACAGCGATTCCTGCCTAGAATCCCAGCACTTTGGGAGGCTAAGGTAGGAGGACCACTTGAACTCAGGAGTTTGAAACCAGCCTGGGCAAAATAGTGAGACCTCATCTATACTATAAATTTAAAAATTAGCCAGGTGTGGTGGTGCATGCCTGTAGTCCCAGCTACTCAGAAGGCTGAGGCGGGAGGATCACTTGATCCCAGGAGGTTGAGGCTGCAGTGAGTTATGATTGCAGCACTGCACTTCCAGCCTGGGCAACAGAGCGAGACCCTATCTCAAAAAGAAAAAAAAAAAAAGAAGAGGCCGATTAGGAGACTGAGACAGGTGGATCACTTGAGGCCAGGAGTTCGAGACCAGCCTGGCCAACATGGTGAAACCACATCTCTACTAAAAATACAAAAATGAGCTGGGCATGATGCCCAGTGCCTGTAGTCCCAGCTATCTGGGAGGCCGAGGCAGGAGAATCCCTTGAACCCAGGAGGTGGAGGTTGCAGTGAGCTGAGCCTGGGAGACAGAGTGAGACTGTCTAAAAAAAAAAGAAGAAGAAGAAGGAGAAGAAAAGAGAAGAGAGGAGAGGAGAGAAGAATAGAAGAAAAAAAAGGAAAGAAAAAAGAAAAGAAAAGAAATGAAGAAATGCAAACCCTTGGGCCCCACTCAGACCTACTGAATCAGAAACTCTGGGGGTGGGGCCAGCCCTCTGAGTTTAACAAGCCTCTTGGGGATTCTGATGCATGCTCAGGTTTGAGAGCCACTGTTCTGGTGACTGAGATGGGTTCTGGTCCCCTGACGGGGCCACGTGTCACCACGTGGTGCAGAAGGCTCAGAGAGCTGGGTGCTGCGGGCCCTGCCCCTGCTAAGCAAGCTGCCTGCCACAGAGCTCTGGGCAGTGATGGATCACTCTGAGGCGGAGGGAGAGTGGGCACTGGGCTGGGCTGAGGGTTGCCACTGAACCAGCTGCCACATGCCAGCCTCGCTTTGCATGATTTATGAGTTTCTTCCCCAATACCAGCCACATATGGTTGACTTCATTCTAGAAGAGCTTCTGCCTCAGAAGATCTATTAATCAAGGAATCAGTGCTGCATCCTCCAGCCTGCAGGACAGGCATACATTTTACCGTGAGTTACATGGCAAAGCCCTTTCTATGAGTACTCCATTCAATGACATTTATAACTGGTCCTGTCAGTCACTGACCAAACACTGAGACACACATTTTATCTTCTTTGATCTTTACAACTCTATCAGGTAGGTATTTTCAATACCACCCCATTTACAAACTAGATATCAAAGCCCAGAGAAGTTAACATATCTGCCCAAGATTACCCAGCTGGCAGGATGGAGGGCCAGGATTTAAAATCATGAAGTCTGATCCAGGGTCCATGCTCCTTGCTGCTCCTTATTGCCTTTCACCCATCAGTCTGTATATTCATAGAACACTGACATGTTTGTACTGTTATCCCCATGTTGCACTTGAGGACACTGAGGCCCTGTGCAAAGCTCTAACAGGCTGAGAGCTTTTGTCCCCACATCCCGTATCCTTACATGGCTGATTCTTAGAATGGAGGTAGGATGAGCCAACGTTGGTTCCACAATCATCATTTTGCAGATGTAGAAACAGGATGAGAGGCTAAAGCACCTAAAGTCACAGGGGGCCCAGTGCGGTGGCTCACACCTGTAATCCCAGCACTTTGGGAGGCCGAGGCAGGTGGATCACCTGAGGTCAGGAGTTCAAGACCAGCCTGGCATGGATGGCGAAACTCCGTCTCTACTAAAAAAACAATAATTAGCCAGGTGTGGTGGCGCATGCCTATAATCCCAGCTCCTCAGGAGGCTGAGGCAGGAAAAATGCTTGAACCTGGGAGGCGGAGACTGCAGTAAGCCGAAATCACGCCACTGCACTCCAGCCTGGGTGACAGAATGAGACTCCATCTCAAAATAAATAAATAAATAATAAAGTCACAGGGCAGGAAATTGGGAGCACAGGACATGGTAGATCCAAGAATACAATGTCCCGTGATGTAGCTCTGGAGGCGATTGCGAATGGTCTGCCTTGGGGCCAGGCATCTTCTCTGGGGCTCGGGAGGGTGAGACCCCTGACTGAGCTGGCCTGAGGGCCCAGGGCTATGTCCAGCATGGCCTGTTTTCTCCCTGCCTCCTGGCCAGGGGTATTTGTTCCCAATGTCCTCCCGGCCTCAGGGTTCTCTGCTCTGCCTTATTTGTCCTCAGACATTCGTTTTGAGCTTGTTCAGACCCGTGTGTACTCTGCCTTGTGGCTTTGTCCACTTGAGGTGGAGGCTCCAGGGTGCTTTGTGGAGCCCCACAGCTTCCACCAGGTGCCTGGATCTCTGCATGCTCATTAAGCAGTGAGGCTTATTTAAAATTATTATAACCAAATGTGTCCATCTCAGTTATTTCTTGGCTGGTTTTCTGTGTTGGACTGCAGGGATAGAGAGGAGAGTTCAGCCTCACAATAAGAGAACAATTGCTGTAGCTCTGGCCCAGCTATTTCTGAGCTGGGAGACTTTTAGCCAGCTGCTTAGGCATCCTGAGCCTCACTGTTCTCAACTGAAAAATGGGTATGATGTGGGAGCAGATCAAATGGGAAAATGTCTGTCATCAGGTCTTGTAAAGTGGAAACAGCAGTCTGGGAATCCTCAGGATACGTTTATGCGACCCTGGGCAGGCCAGAGCTGCTAGACTCTAAAGCTTTGAATTTTCCAGCTGGTCAGGACTGTCTCCAGCCACCAGGGCAAGACTTTGCAGCTCAGACATGGTGGCCTGAAATGGTGGGAAGTTGACCAGAGAGAGGAGGCTGGGGAGTCCCAGCACCTACTTCGTTCCTGAGTGGAAGACTGCTGGTCTGGCTTTGAAACCTTGCTTCATGACACTTGCTTTACCTTGTGAAGAAAGCAAAGTGAGTTCAGCAGGGGACTTGATGTTTCAACAAGGCTTTGAAAACCATCAGAATATTGGACCGGGAGGGAAGGTTATGAGGCAGGAAGAGTGGTTCTGTTTGGGGTCTTCAGAGCACAGCTGTCCCACCGTTGTCTGCATCCCTGTCTGACATGACTTAGGTTCCCTGGAGCAGGGAAGATGCAGGCTGCGGAGACAGTCCTCGGCCAGTGCCCTCTGCTTGTGGGGGCCGTAGAGCACGCATGGCCTTGCTGCCATCACCAGGCCTGAGGGAGGATGGCAGTCACGCTGCCGAGAAGGACCCACAGATATTATCAACAACACAGAGAAAGCTGCTGTCGGAAGGCCCCTTCCCAGCCCAGGATTCGGTCTGCCCAGCAGAGGAGAAAGAGAAGAGGCTGGGAGTCTAACCTAGAGTTGAAGCCTTTCCCTTCCTAGCTGGGCAACCTGCAGCTAGTTACTTGAACTTTCTGAAACTCGGTCCCCTCACCAGCAAAGCAGGGATAATAATAACTACTTCTTAGGGGTGCTGTGAGATTTAAATAACATTTGTCAATGAGCTGAAGTAAATAAAAGAAAAAGAGGCATGGTGCCCAAAAAACTGCCCCAGTTCCTTGAGGAAGAAGTATTTGTCCTGCTCACGGCTGGATTGCCAGAGCTTGGTACAGAAGTGGTCAGTAAGTGTGTGCTAATGAATGAATGAATGAATGGAATGAGGCTCTGTTGAGGCAAGATGAGCCTCTCCTAGAAGGCACTGACTCTAACCCCAGTCCTAACCCTGGTTCCTGGGCTCTAAAAGGGGGCACGCATTCAAGGCAGATGCATGCCGATCTTGTTAACCTTGCAGATAGAGGAATCCTGTCAGGGATGGATTGGACAAATGGATGCAATCCAAGGGCAAGAATGCCAGGAGCTTCCTTGAGATTCTCCACCCCTATCCCTAGCCACTGGGTGACTGGCCCCCACTAGAGGTTCCCTGAGTGCCTGTACTTCCCCGCTTTTACCTTGAATCAGGGTTGCATTGGAATGGCCTGTGCTCTTCTGTACTCCAATTGGATTGCAGACTACATGAAGACAAAGACTTGTCTATTGCACCTAGTATAGTACCCCGTGCATGGTGGGTGCTTGCAGTAAGTGTTTCTTGAATGAATGAACAAGTGGCGATGAGTACAATAAAACTACTGTTCTCCATCAGTTCTGAGAGTCTTGGGGGATTGTTCTTTGTCAGTTTGTTCTCGGCTTCCTCTTTTAATTTGGCTGTTGACTTGCATTTTCATGAAATTAGGTGAGGTTTGACCCACTGAAAATTCTTTTTCATCAGGCATAGGAGACACAGCATTTGCAAGTGGATGCCAAATCAGTGCTTGATTAAACAGACAATGAATGTGAGAACAAAGATTATACAGCAGAGATGATGCGGTACATACAGATGGGGATGCATCTACCTTGTTAGAAAACTGCCTTCCATACTAATGGATTTGTTGAAAGGCTAAGGCAGTGGAAACTGCAGCTTTGAAATTATCTAAGGTTTTCATTTAAACTGGCAGCAAAGAGAAACTGATGCAGGCTTCTCTGTGGTCCAACAGTCGTCTTCTTCAAGCTTTTGCCCAGGGCCATGTCTCAGCTCAGGATATAGGAGTCTGTATTTGCATACAAATTGCAAATATCTACAAATTCTTTGCTCAAGCAATTTTTAAGCAAAATGTTATTGCTTCCCTGAAGGTCATAATTCCTTGCTTTTTCTCTTCAATATTCTTCTTGCTTAGGAGCCACTCACATTGACCCAGATTTCCCACCCCAGGAGTGGGCAGGAGGGTGGAAGGAGCCAAAGGAAGGGGAGCAGGTGGCTGAGTGATGGAACCCGCTTTTCAGGATGCCCAGAACCTGACCTAAGTGTTTTAAGTATTATTTCATTTAATTACCCAGCCAGCTCTTCAGGGTAGACACTATTATGATATCCATTTATAATGAGGAAATCAAGGTTCAGAGATGTTGTGTGAGTCTCTCAAAGTCACACAGCTAGGAATGGCAGAGCCTGGAATCCAACGATGTCTGATTCCCAGAATTGAGTCTTAATCTATGCTGTTTCTGTAAACCACTTACTCTTTATGTCCCCTTAAATATATTAGGCAATTCTATTAAAATTATTAACAATAGTATGCCAAGTCTACTGACTTGTCCCTAAACTGTTTCCAAATGTGAATGTGCTAGGAGCTTTCTGGAGTTAAAGTGGGGGTAGGATCAGCTACATAATTTGGAGGCTTTAGTGAAAAATGAAAATATGGGTCATCTAATTCATAAATAATTAATAATTTCAAACGATGACAGTGGAGTATTGAACCAAGTGTGGGGCCCTTTTAAGCTCAGAGCTCTGGGTGGAATGTATGTCTATTTTGTCTTGGTACCTGGCATTGGGTCTGGCACATGGTAGACAGTAAAAGCTACTGGCTAATTGATACAAAGGAACGAGATCATGTCCTTTGCAGGGACATGGATCGAGCTGGAGGTCATTATTCTCAGCAAACTAATGCAGGAACAGAAAACCAAATACCACAAGTTCTCACTTACAAGTGGAACTGAATGATGAGAACACATGGACACATTGGTGGGGAACAACACACTCTGCAGCCTGTTGGAGGGCTCAGGGACAGGAGGGAGAGCATCAGGAAGAATAGTCAATGGATGCTGGGCTTAATACCTAGGTGATGGGATGATCTGTGCAGCAAACCAGCATGGCACACGTTCACCTATGTAACAACCCTGCACATCCTGCACATGTACCCCTGAGCTTAAAAGAAAAAAAAGAAAACACTGCTGGCTATTTGAATGAAATAATGCAATAAATACTTATCATTACTACATACCAAGCAGGGTTTAGGCACAGGCGACACAGCAGTAGACAACATACGTAAGGTCCCTGACCCCATAGCACATATAGTCTAGAGGGACAGAGAAACAAGTAAACCAAAAAATGCACAAGTTTATTCCAAGATAGTAATAGGTGTTATGTACAAATAAAACGGGACAACGGAAAGTCACTAGGAAGATGGTGTGGAGGGGTAAGGGCTAACTTCAGATGGGGCATCAGTTGGCATTTGATGCAAGACTTGGGTGATAGGAGTCAGAAAGATTGGGGAAGAGCTTTCTGGGCAGAGAAAGTAGTGATGTAAGATTTCACAGAGGAATGAATGAATGACATGAATGAATGAGCAGCATGGGTAGAGTGGATGCATGCCCATGGGGGTTTCCCATGTAGTAAGCTCCAGTCCCTTGGCTATCCCCCACCTCAATCCATGATGGCCCCCTCCCTACCTATCCAGTTGCCCTCTCATTCACTGTGCCAGTCTTCTCTGAATCCTTCGAAGGCACCAAGTTATTCTCTGCTTAGCACCTTCCCACAGCAGATCCTCTGCGTGCTTCCCCGACTCTGCCTGAGGGGCTCCTTCTCATCTTTCAGGTCTCAGCTTAAATGTCAGCCCTTACAGGGCCCTCTGCTCATCCATGTTCAAGCAGCTCAAAATATTATTCTCTCTCATAAAACCCTGATGATTTCCTTCATAACTACAACTAAATTAGCTTCTAGTTTTTGCTGTAAAACTCTCTGAGGGTATCATGGATCAAGGGTCATGTGTACTTAATTTGTTTATGAACCTTAGTTAATAAAAATGAAAGCTGACCTCCCTCCCTGCCTCATACTCCTTTATAATGGAACCAGTATGAATAGGCATACACAAGTGAGAGTAATTCCCTGATACCAAAAATCAACTAACTAGCTAATTGATTAATGAATCACAAACATATGTTGAGAACCTATGATTTAGAAGGCACTGGGGATTCCAATGTGAAATATGTAGTTCACTCTTCAAAGAGCAGAGATGATTGAGGGAAGTAGACAATCACACCAACAGTCCCACACAGTGCAATATAAGCCATGTCAGAACATGCTGGGGTGGAGGGATTAGGTTATCATGGAAGGCTTCCTGGAGGTGGTGACGCCTGAATGGAGCCTTAACCTATGATTAAGGGTTAAAGTGTATGAGCCTTGAGGAATGAGATGTACCCCTAAAAGGAAGAAGGTATAAGAGGCATGGAGAGATTGTGGGGTGTACTTGTGGAATCGCAAGAAGTGTGGTCCGTACAGGGAACAGGGAGGCGGATTTTTGGGGGCTGAGTTTTGACAGGTAGGCAGGTGCTGATCATGAAGGGCCTTGGGCGGTAAGCTAAGAAATTTGGATTTTATTTTAAGAATGTGCAATGGACTGAATGTTTGTGCTCCACCCCCGCAAACTCATATGTTGAAACCTAACCCCCAAAGTGATGGTATTAGAAAGTGGGGGCTCTTGGGAGGTGATTAAGTCGTGAGGGTGGCAGCCCTCATGAATGGGATTAATACCCTTATAAAAGACACCCTAGAGAACTCTCCTCCATGTGAGGGTACAACAAGAAGGTGGCCATCTGCAACCTGCAACCTGGAAGACTCCCCTCACCAGCACCTAACCATCCTGGCACCTGATCTTGGACTTACAGCCTGCGGATCTGGAGCAATACATTTCTGTTGTTTATAAGCCACCCAGTCTATGGTACTTCGTTGTAACAGCATGAACAAACTAAGAGTGATAGAGAGCTTCAAGAATTCCAAGCAGGGGCTGTGCAAGGCAAAAAAAAAAAAAAAGAAAAAGAAAAAAGAAAAAGAATTCCATACAGGAAGGCCAGGCATGGCAGCTCACACTTATAATCCTAGCGCTTTGGGAAGTGGAGATGGGGCAGGGTGGGGGGGAACTGCTTGAGGCCAGGAGCTTCAGACCAATTTGGGCAACATAGGGAGACCCTGTTTCTACCAAATAAAAAATTAAATATTAGCCAGGCATGGTGCTGCACAGCTTTAGTCCTAGCTACTTGGGAGGCTGAGGTGCGAGGATCGCTTGAGCCCAGGAGTTCAAGGCTACAGTGACATGATTGTGCCACTGCACTCCATCCTGGGCAACAGAACGGGATCCAATCTCTAAATAAAGAAAAAAAGAAGAAAAAGAAAAGAGAAAGAATGGCAAGAAAGTGATATAATCAGATTTTCATTATGAAAAACGTCCTCTTCCATAGCACAGAAGAGGACAGACTATTAGAGGGTAGTGATGGATGTCTATTCTTTATCAGCCAAAACCTCCTGCCTCCTTTTTCTGGGAAAAGCTCTTTCCCTTGTGGGTTGAATAGAAACTTCCATTTTATTATAGACTCTATTAGCTACCTATTGCCGTGTAAAAAATTACCCCACAATTTAGTGGCTGGAAACAATTAACATTTATTATCTCACAGTTTCCATGGGTCAGGAATCCAGGAGTGGCTTAGCTGAGGGTTCTGGCTCAGAGACTCTCATGAGGTTGCAATCAGTGTGTCAAGCCAGGGCTGCAGTCATCTCAAGGCTCAAGCAGGGCTAGAGAATCTGCTTCCAAGCTCACTTCCATGGGCTGTCTCCATAGGGCTGTCTCACAACATGGCAGCTGGCTACCCTTGGAACCAACAGTCTCAGAGAGACTGAGAGAGCACACCTAAGATGGAAGCCACAGTCCTTCTGTAACTTCATACTGGTAGTGAGATCTCATTACTTCTGCTGTATGCTATTTTAGGAGAGTCATTCATAAGTTCAGCCTTCCCCTAAGAGGAGGGTTTACACGAGGGCTTGACTACCAGGAGGCAGGAATCACTGGGGGCCACCTCAGAGGCTGCCCACCACACAGATCCCACCATGTCCTCAGGGCAGGTAACCCAAGCTGGGCCAGTCCAGTCAGAACATTTCTTGGGATCTTTTAACTCGACTAGAAAGAAGGAATCTTTCTAAAGTGGTAAAACTCGAAGACAATGGGCATCCCTGTGGGAAAGAGCTGGCCTGTGATGGGAATGACACTAACACTTCAAGGGAAGCAGGGACCAGAAATAGCAGGCATTCCTGTTGCCCATCAGCTTCTGGTTCCACTTGATCCTAAGACTCACCTGTGCTCTGGCCATTCCTGTAATTTGTTTACACAACTCAATAAACTATACCCCTCACTCTTGTTGCCTGAGCTAAGTCAGGATGGGTTTCTGTCATTTGTAACGAGAGAATGATGACTGACTAACTGATCGAGAGTCACCCTGAGGTAGGAAGATCAATTAGGAAACTATTGCAGATGATAACTGATGAGGGCCTGATGAAGGCACTGGGGTTCTGATTAGGGCCCAAACAGGAGGACACATAGGAATGGAAGGAGGGATCATGGCAGACGGTCTTATTCCATTATATCCCCAGATGTTAACATTGTGTCTGGCACATAGTAAGTGCTAAGTAAATATTTGTGGAAATGAATAATTAAATAAATGAATAGAGGCAGAGAGACAAAGATAAAAGCAAGACTTGCTGACCAACTGGATGTGGAAAGTGAGGAAGAAAGAAATGAAAGCTTGTACCCAGACCTCAGCCGTGAAAGGTTGGCTGGCTAGCAACACCATTCAAGACAGAGCTGCTTTGGATGGGGTCCATGAGGAGGGGTGGTGAGCTCCACTGTGAACCACTGGCATGTGTCTTCAAGGCAAGCGGCTGATCTTAGGGAACGGAGTGGTTAACTTTTCTTCAATAGGAACATCCATGTTGTTGGCCTCCCCAGCTCTGTCCACGTTACCTACAGAGTGACGCAACCACGTGCACTCAAAACTAGAGAAAGACCTACTTTTACAAGTAGGCAATGAACACAACCACCTCAGGGACTAGTGGCTCCTGATTAGGAACAGTCTAAAGTTAGCATGACAAAATCAGCTGTCAACTGTCAGCTTAATGAGTCTTCCGACTCCCTGAAGGAGCTCTCTAAGGTCCCCCTGAGGACAGCTTACTTCCCAACCAGACTGGGGAAGATTGTAGAGATGAGTGGAGAGGCCTGAAATTGGGAATTCAGAAAACACATTTGCTCTTCTCCTTTGGGGATGCCCACACTGAGTGAGGCTGGGCACATTTGGCAGCTTTTTATAAACTGGCATTGGAAAGCTGTCAGAGGTGGGAAATGCCCCCTTTTCTATTGGCATTCTTGTGTCCAGTCAGAAGCAGTCTAGGGAGGTGGTTAAGCAAGGGTTGTTAAATGTCACCAGAATTTAGTTTGAAGTGCTGACTCTGTTTACATCCCTGGGCGAGCTCATTAGCATGTGTCAGAAATGCAGCTTCAGTGGCCCCAAACATTCCCCACTGCTCCCAGGCTTACAGAACACCAGCCTGACATAGCAGAGCTACCTCGGGCTTCCTTGCAAGCTCCGCCTGCCAAGCAACCAGACAAGTCGTCCTCAACAAAGGCTTCTTTTGTGGCCCAAATATGCCCTGCTTTGATAATGCATCATTCCCTCTTCTGCTCAGGCTGAGGGGAGAGGGTGGGGCAGCGTATCCAGGTGGAGTGGAGCAGTGAATGTGGTCTGTGAATGGTAAAGCCCTATGGAGGAGTAAGGATCATGGATGCATTGTCAGTCTTAGAAGTGTTCCTACTGGCTTTAGCACTACCGCTATGCAGTAGCCAAGATAGGATATAACTTTGTGATCGAATCTTTTATTTTTTTTTAACTTTTCATTATGGAAAGTTTCAAGCATATGAAAAAGAAGAGGTGAAACCCACCACCCAGGTTATCAATTTATGGCTAATCTTGTTTCATCTACACCCTTCCACTGGATTATTTGAAGCACATCTCATATATGTCATTTTATCTGTAAATATTTCAGTATACACTCTAAAAGAGAATTTGAAAAAATAACCACAATGGCATTATCAAATCTAAAAATCACAATAATTCCTTAATACTGCTGGAATCTTATACTGATGGGCAAAGGAGCCTCCTGGTGCTATCTTCTCCTTTGCCCTCCATCTCCAACAGGAACAGTGCGCCAAGTGCAAATCAATGCAAAAGGCAAGATCCCACCTATGCTAGGGTCATTACTGCTTTGTGAGCAGCTTTAGCAATTTAAAAATATTTCTTGAAATAGCTTGATACAATTTTAAAAACCAAATAAACAGTCCTTATGTTTTTATCAGATCTTTTGGCCCTTACCAAAGGGCCAAGGACAGCCTATTAGAGAATCAAAGTGCTACAAGGATAGCCTATTAGAGAATCAAGAAGTGCCGGAAGTTGAACAAGATTCCTTGCCTGAGCAGCTGGTGACTGGACTGCCCTGGGGTCCTTGGCCTCCACTAAGATACAGGGGTAACTTCACGGTAACATGAATGTTTTTAGACTTCTTTCTGGTAGTATTGTATTAATAGTAATTTTTTTATTTTTTTTTGAGATGGAGTCTCACTCTGTCGCCAGGCTGGAAGTGCAGTGGTGCGATCTCAGCTCACTGCAACCTCCCACTCCCTGGTTCAAGCGATTCTCCTGCCTCAGCTTCCCGAGTAGCTGGGATTACAGGCACGCACCACCACGCCCAGCTTATTTTTGTATTTTTTTTTAGTAGAGACAGGGTTTCACCATGTCAGCCAGGATGGTCTCGGTCTCCTGACCTCGTGATCCACCCGCCTTGGCCTCCCAAAGTGCTGGGATTACAGGCGTTAGCCACCACACCCGGCCTAACAGCAATATTAAATATTGCTGGGGAATACATTTGATTAAGTATAACGTACATATAGAAAGTGTGCAAAACTCTTAAGAGTTTGTTTTGTAATAATAGTTATCATTGGCCAGGCGTGGTGGCTCACGCCTGTAATCCCAGAACTTTGGGAGGCTGAGGTGGGTGGATCATGAGGTCAGGAGTTGGAGACCAGCCTGGCCAATATGGTGAAACCCCATCTCTACTAAAAATACAAAAATTAACCGGGCGTGGTGGCGTGAGCTTGTAATCCCAGCTACTTGGGAGGCTGAGGCAGAAGAATTGCTTGAAGCCGGGAGGTGGAGGTTGCAGTGAGCCGAGATCGTGCCACTGCACTCCAGCCTGGGCGACAGAGCAAGACTGTCTCAAAAAAAATAAAAAAATAAATAATAAATAATAATAAGTTATCATTCACCTGGCTCTACACTTACCCGAGGATTAAGTTAAACAGTGAAAATGAGGTGGAAACAGCATAACTGTTACTAGGACAGCCGGTCACATAAATGTGGAGTTACCTTTATGGATGAGCAGGATGAGTAGGGCATCCCTGTGCAGGAGTGGCCTGCAGTGAGGAGTTAGAGCCCAAGTAGGAAGAGGAGCTTGTCTAGGCAGAAGGTGGCTGGGGGTTGGAGTGCCTATCAAAGCTGGTGATGGGCAGGGGGAGGTGAGGCGGTTGTCCTTGTTGGGAAGCCTGAGTGATCCATCCACAGGCTCTTGGGGCAACATACTCCGTGTTGGCTGCAAACACTGACTCACTGATACGGGGTCTGTTGACATAGAATCTTATACAAACTGTGGAATCCCAATATCTACACTGGTCTGTTGCAGGAATGCTGGGTAGTATTCAGAGATGCTCACCATTCACACATAGGTCACAAGGCTCAAATACATAATTGTCTTAGTAGTGATCATTAGCCTTTTTTTTTTTTTTTTTTTTTTGAAATGGAGTCTTGCTCTGTTGCCCAGGCTGGAGTGCAGTGATGCGATCTCGGCTCACTGCAACCTCCACCTCCCAGGTTCAAGAGATTCTTCTGCCTCAGCCTCCCGAGTAGCTGGGATTACAGGCGCATGCCACCATGCCTGGGATCTTCAGCCTTTTCTAAGAAGGAAAGAAGTAATTTCTCAATCCAAGTACCTGAAAAGATTCAGAGGGCCTGGCTTAAGAGAAGCAAGGGTATCAAGGATACGTTGAGGTATCAAGCAGGACTTTGATCTCTAATCAACTTCATTCTAATAAGCATTTGTCCTCAACAGCCTTTCAGTACCTGCACCTTCAAATCTTTTCCTAACACTCTGCAAGAAACATGAGGTTTCCTGCCCTCTGTCATTATACCTGCAACCTCCCATTGGGATTTGCAAAATAATTGGGATGAGCATTGTGGTAATCCTTCCTGGAGTTGCATTGTAGGTGGAAGTTGGTGACCATACTTCTAACAGGTCTCTGAGCTCACTGACAGTGTCAAGGACAAAGTGATCTCTAGAATGGCCAGGGGCATTGCAGGGCAAGGACCCAGAACTGTGGGATACTCTTCAAACTACTCACCATGGAACAGACACTAAAAGACTCAACTATACTCTTTTTCTCCAAGGCTAGAGAGGCAATATAGTTGGCCAAGCCCAAGGGTCCTGTAACAGAGTAGGTACTCCACAACAAATGCTTGTAGGTAAAGGTGGGAGTTAGTATTACCATGACAACTCCTCCAACCCTGGGCTTCCAAGAAAGAAACCATGATCTATCCCATTTCTCTTAAATTACAGCCCACACACTTTAACTTCAAACATCTATTGACAAGAATGCAGGGCCTGTCTCAGTTAAGCGATGTCATCAGTTCTCATTAGCCTCTTCATAGTCTCTTGAAAAGCATAAAGAAAATTACCTCTGGCACAGAAAAGGCTTTTAAACCAACCTTTTCACAGTATGTCTCAAACTGAACATCCACTTAAGTGTATAATTACAAAAAAGAAAGGGTATGCTAGATATGTTGACACAGGATCTCTAAATGTAGCTGAAGGAGTTACTATTATCTTCAAAGGCAAAACATCTTTCTTAGGCTTACAAGACAAACTATGTAGTGGAGTAGACAGGAAAGCAAATCACTAAGAGATTATCTCCCTCTAAGTCTTCTTTCTCTTTTTCTTTTCTTTTTTCTTTCTCTTCTTTTTCTTTCTCTTTGTTCTTTTCTTTCTCTCTCTCTTTCTCTCTTTCCTTTTTCTTTTTTGACACAGGGTCTCAATCTGTTGCCCAGGCTGGAGTGCAGTGGCACAATCTCGGCTTGGCTCACTGCAGCTGTGACCTCCTGGGCTTAAGCAATCCTCCCACCTCAGCCTCCTGCATAGCTGGGACTACAGGTATATGCCACCACACCCAGCTAATTTTTGCATTTTTTGTAGAGATGAGGTTTTGCCACGTTGCCCAGGCTGGTCTCAAATTCCTGAGCTCAAGTGATCTGCCCGCCTCAGCCTCCCAATGTGCTGGGATTACAGGCGTGAGCCACTGTGCCTGGCCCTCCTCTAAGGTATCACTGAAATTCCCCTCAGACCATCATCTAGCTTCTTTCAACTTCTCCATCTTTCAAGTGCCCTCATGATTTCAGCCTCTCAGCCCCTCCTATCTCCTAGCCCATCATTCACTTGCCTTAATGTCTAGCCTAGAGTGTGAGTAGTCTTTCAGTGTTATGCTTGTTACTTACTTATGATTCCTTGTCCACTTAACACTCCCCCAGCACTCCCTCCCATAAAAATGTTATACTGCTTCATGTACTAAAGTTTATGCTCTTCTCTATCCCTACTGCCTAAGATCATTCTTGTTCATCTTTGTTGCCATTTATGTGCCTTGTTCTGTTTAGTCAGATTCTATCACTATTTACTGTTCACCTACTATATACCAGGCATTTTCCTATGCTACCTCATGAAAAGCAGTATGTGTAGGATGTCTTGCTAGTCAAAGTGTGGTTACCTGGAAGTTTGTTAAAATTGTAGACTGTGAGTCCACCACAGACCAACCAAATAAAAATCTGCTCAAGATACTCAGGTGTGCAACATTTTGAACAGTAGTGGTATATTGCACATTGGAATATCCCGAGGTTTTTAATTCATGTATTTTGAAGTTCTGTCACTGAGTGATGTGTTAGTCTATTTTCTGTTGCTGTAACAAAATACTTACTGGGTAATTTATAAACAATAGGAACTTATTTGGCTCACAGTTCTGGAGCCTGGAAGTCCAAGAGCATGGCACTGGCACCTTGCAAGGGCCTTCATGTCATCCCATGGTGGAAGGCAGAAAGCAAGAAAGAGAGCAAGAAAGAGAGCAGGGGGACTGAACTCACTTTTATGACAAGACCACTCATGATAACTAACTCACTCCTGCGGAAATGACATTAATTTATTCATAAGGCTCATACCCTCATGACCCAATCAACTCTTATTAGGCCTTACTTCCAACACTGTTGAATTTGGGATTAAGTTTCCAACACATAAACTTTGGGAGACACATGCAAACGACAGCAGGTGCACGTATTTTTAGGATTGTTATGTCTCTTGATGAAGCTACACTTTTATCATTACAAAGCATCCCCCTTCATCCCTGGTAATATTCCTTGTTATGAAGTCTCCTTGCCTTATATTAAGTATGGCCACTCCTGCTTCTAATGCTTAGTGTTTGCATGACATACTTTCCGCATCCTTTTCACTTTTATTGTATCTGTGTCTTAACATGTAAAGTGGATTTCTTATAGACCACATATAGTGGTGTCTTGCTTCATGATCCAGTCTGACAATCCGAGTCTTTTCATTGAAATGTTTAGACCATTTACATTTAATGAAATTATTAATGACTGGGTCTAAATTTACCATATTGCTGTTTGTTATCTATTTTCCCACCTATTCTTTGTTCTGGGGTCCTGGCACACAGTAAAACAAAAGCCTCCACAACAAAAGCCTGTAGATGAAGGTGGGAGTTAACATTACCATGGCAACTCCTCCAACCGCAGGTTTCCACATTATCCTGATATCCTATCTTCTTTTGGATTCTTTTTTTTTAAAGTGATTTCTCTAGGGTTTACAAATAGAGATCTTTATTTTATTGTGAGACAAGTTCTCACTCTGTTACCCATGCTGGAGTGCAATCATAGCTCACTGAAGCCGTGAACTTCTGGGCCTGAGTGATCCTCTTGCCTCAGTCTCCTGAGTAGTTAGGACTACAGGCACATGCCACCACATCTGGCTAATGTTTAAATTTTTATTTCGTAGAGACAGGGTCTTGCTATGTTGCTCAACTGCAGTCTAGAATTCCTGGCATCAAGTGATCCTCCTGCCTTGGCCTCCCAAAGTGCTGAGATTATTGGCATTAGCCACCATGCTTGGCCCTCAAATAGACATCTTTAACTTTTCAGTCTACCGTCGACGTTAAAAAACATTTCAACCATGTATTCCATTTCCCCCTATTGTCCTTTACACTATTGTTGTCATACTTTTTATTTTTGAGATACTGTCTCACTCTGCTATCCAGGCTGGAGTACAGTGACGTGATCATAGCTCACTGCAGCCTCCAACTCTTGGGCTCATTTGATCCTCCTGCCTTGGCCTCCCAAAGTGCTGGGATTACAGGTGTGAGCCACCACACCTGGCCTAAGATCCATTTTTAAACTTTGCTATGGTAAATCCATAGTAGCCTTAATTTAAGGGACCACTGGTCTTATTACAAATTTTAACACTTTTGGAGGCTTCAGTGAATCCCTTAGTTGGTGACACAGGACTCTAGTGGTCAGATTATGTTTCCTCACCCTGTATGAGCTCTGAGAATTGTTCTTCTGACTCCCCATTCTATGCCCAGCCTCCTTTCCTCCAAGATAGTAATTCATTTTACTCATTTAATGAGTTAAGACCATTTAACACAAACTCTTTCAACTTTCCATGTCACTTTTTCTTCTGAGGTTAATCATTCCATCAGTATCCTGTTTAGTAATACATTGCACCATTATGTTTCCTCAGGAACAGAGCTAGAAAGTTAACCCAAGGTAACCACTTAGGGCCATGCTTCTCATAAGCAATCTGGTCTAGTAATACATTGCACCATTATGTAATACACTGACTCATGGTCAACTTGGGTTAACATTGTAGCTCTGTTCCTGAGGAAACACAATGGTGCAATGTATTACTAGACAAGACTGCTTATGAGAAACATGGCCCTTATGTGATAAATTACACCTAGACTGGGAGAAACAATGAATACCTGATGGGAAGACATGGCCTTGTGTTTCTCTGAATACAATGACTTGTAAATGCGGCATGCTCCTTGCAGGGACCTAGAAACTATGTCCATGAAGCTATTACAAGAGTTAGTGGCTCTTGTTGTACATGAAGCTTCTAAGTTGGGGTAGCTCTTGCACTTACCTAAGTCTTATCTCTTGCATCTGAGCTACTGTGTGTTTCCGTGTGTTCGGAGGATAATTCTTGGATGGCTGTGTGAACTGCCATGAGGAATACTCCCGTGGAAGAGAAACACTTGATGATGCTGGGCTGGCAAGCTGTTTTCTGTGTCCCCTGTGCTTTTGATTAAATTGGTGCCAAGTAAGACCTCTTCAGGTCTTGTGAATCCAAATATTTGATTGAGTCTAAAAAGGTCCCTTTGACAAGAATTAGAGGTCCATTATTTAGCACAGCTATTCATATTATGGGGCTCCCCTTCAAGGTCTTTGAGGTTAAAACCTTGTCTTTTTCATCTAGCAAAATTTTGGTATTGCTTTGTGATCTGGTGAATCACTTAGGCAATCTAAATTTTTATTTTTATTTTTACCATTAATAGAGATATAATTATTTCCTATCTCAAAGGGTTGCTGTGATGATAAATATGTAGAAATATTTCCTAGGCAGTAAAATGCTATGTCTAAGTGGCAATACTAGTATCATTATGCTAACATATAAATTAATATTTCTTCCAAAAGTATCCTTAGGTTGGGTGCAGTGGTTTATGCCTGTAATCCCAACACTTTGGGAGGCCAAGGCAGGTGGATCACTTGAGTCCAGGATCTCAAGACCAGCCTGGGCAACATAAGGAGACCTCATCTCTACAAAAAATAATTTAAACAATTAGCTGGCCATGGTGGTGTGCACCTGTAATCCCAGCTACACAGGAGGCTAAGGTGGATCACCTGAGCCTGGGAGATTGAGGCTGCAGTGAGGCATGATTGCACCACTGCACTACAGCCTGGGTGATAGAGTGAGACTGTCTCAAAAAAAAAAAAAAAAAAAAAAAAAAAAAAAGAACATGAACATAAAAGTATCCTTACAAATATAGTAACATTAATCAATTTATGTATCAATCCTGATTTTCATTCCAACCTTCAAATGATTAGTTAAAACAATTTGATAAAGGAAGACCATCCTGATGTAAAGTTGACAATCATACTGAGAAAACTACCCTGTCCTCTCTCCCCCAACCCAGCCTGGTCTGCTTTTAGGACAGTACAAAATTATTTGCTCATCCCTTAAGTCCCTCTCTTGCTGAAAGTAAAACAGTTCACTACTACTTCTGTCCCAACAATGGGAGTTAAGACACATAACCTGTTTGAGCATTTAGTAAGTTGCTGGAAATATATTAAGCCAGAGAACTGGAAGGGAAGTGAGATCGTTGAACTCTTTTTATACTCCTGGGACCTCTTAAATCAAGCACTACAGGACAGAAATGGCCATTATCAAGAAATATTTTAGAAATTCTCAGGTATATAAATTTAGATTATAAATCTGGATTAGAGAATCGGAAATTGTATAATCTGTCTGGGAGGTTTCACCTTTATGTAGCAGTATAAAATATCACTTAATAAGCGGAAATCAAACCTGTTTTACTTGTGGTTGGGGAAAGGCCAATCAACCAACACTCTAAATCTCTAACACAAGGACAGTGGTTGTACCTAGGCCAAACCACAGAAACTTTCATTGCACATTTCACCTTCACAAAAAGGCTACTTTAGGCTCTTTTTCTGTGTATTATGGGACATAGACAAATGTTTCTTTGTATTTATTCCAGTTCTAGTCTTCCTTAAGCTTTTAATGATTCCAAACACTGCTCCCCTTCTTTTTGTTCTCATCACTCAACATCTAGAACCCAGATACTTTCTCACATTCCTTTCTCATATTTTCCTCTGTAAGCCCAACACCAGAAATGGTACTATATCTGAGAATCAAGGGAACTCATTCCCTTCAGATCTGCTCTAGAGTATTTAAAAAATAAATTAATAAATAAATAAAGCCAAAGATCCTCTATTTGTTAAAGAAATAAAACTATTTTAGCAGGACAGGCCAAATGAAAAACAGGACAATCAGATTACTTTTGGATCTATTTCTTTTTGTGTGAGATTATTTTAGCTTTATTTATTTTTTTTTTGAGACAGAGTCTCTGTCACCCAAGCTGGAGTGCAGTGGTGCAATCTCGGCTCACTCACTGCAACCTCTGTCTCCCTGGTTCAAGGGATCCTCCTGCCTCAGCCTCCTAAGTAGCTGGGATAGTACAAGCGTGTGCCACCATGCCCGGCTACTTTTTGTATTTTTAGTGGAGACAGGGTTTCACCATGCTGGTCAGGCTGGTCTTGAACTCCTGACCTCAAATAATCTGTCCACCTCAACCTCCCAAAGTGCTGGGATTATAGGCGTGAGCCACCGCACCCGGCCTATTTTAGCTTTAAAATTTGGTTGGTTTCACAGTGAAACATTAACTACAACTCTACTTAATTTTGTCAGGTACCCTAAAATTCTAATAATCTCTTGGTACAGTGATAACATTTCATTAACCAGATTATTCTATAGAAAAACTGAGCACATATGAGTATGTTCTAGGTAAAATTTTGTCTTGCATAAAACAACAAAAAAAATAGTTAAGGCCCTAATGTGCAAGTAGAGGCAGGAACAGGGGGATATTAAACCAATCATGAGCCTTCCAAAAAACTTTCAATCTTATGCTGTGTCAAGATATCACTGGCTGTTGGTAAAGTGCTAATAGCAGAATCAGAGAGTGCTCATGTACTTGCTGATTGAAAATACATGATTGACATGATTGGAAGTACACTCCAGCTTGGGTACAGAGTGAGACTGTCTCAAAAAAACAACAACAAAAAAGAGACAAGACTATCTTACACTTTTTTGTGGTTTTTCCCTTGCCCTTATAGCTTCCCTACAGTAGTGGGTAACTAGTATCCAACTGAAGGCTCTGAAAAGGGCACAAAGACCTCCTAGAAAGAGTACTTCATCTGATCAACACTAAGAAGTTCATCTGTCTGCTGCTGCTGCTGCGGACAAGCTTTATCACCAGAAAGTCATTTATAACGTTTGCGTCAATAGTAGGTACAAACCTTGGAGCTATAATTAAGATTCATTTAATTATGCTGGAAAAGTGAGGTAAAAGTGTTATTAGCTTCACAGCAAAATGTGTTGCGCACTACTTAAACTTTCTTCAAATTCTTTGTGTAGCAGCTATTGGTTTTTAAACTTAAAATGAAAAAATGCTTTGCAAGAAAATTCAATGTTCAAAGACAAAAAAAAAAAAAGCACTCAGGGAGAAAATATAACTAAAGGACATTTATTTATTTTTACCAAGACTTTATCTTGAGGACATGGCTAAACTGCATTTCCACCCCCCACCCCATCTTGAAGAAGGGTTAGTATGTGAATGTTATAAAGTAGATATGAACAGTTGAAGGACTGGAACCAACATTAAGTGACGAAGAACAACTTCCATCTAAATCATCATAAAAATGTTTAAGTAAAAAAAAAAAAAGAAAGAGAAAGAAAAAGAGGAGGTAACGGGGGTTTCCGATTGAACAAGATCCTCACATTTCATCTAATACAGTCAATCTTGGCTAGAGTATAACAAAGTGGAAACAGGATTACTATGATACAAAACTTCCACTACAGCACGCTGTACACACCTGTGTTCCAAGCCCACCCCAACCCCCCCAGTGCTTCCAACACAATTATTTCCCAGCCTGTTGGGCCTGCCGACGAAGGAGCACGTAGATCTTCTCTTTAATCCAGTCTTTGTTATAAGGCTGGTATGTCTGGGTATCAGCTCGGTAACTGAGGAGAGAAAGGGAATAAGCAAAGTCACAGTGGTCAATCACTGCCAGGTGTTTAAATCCCCAAATTATAACTGCCCAATGATGGCATAGATGTGCACATTTCCAAAAATGAACTTAATGAAAAGCTGAAAGAGCTACTTACACAGTCGTTGAATTTTAAGTGACATGAACTTTATATCACCTAGTACAATCTTATAGTGGAAAAAGAAAACATGACTTAGAATTTTTAAGTTAAATGCCCAATATGTTACATATCTACTTCTTGACAGAGTATGACCAGAAACCATGTGTTCTTCCTCCTACATAGTTTCTATTTTTATGGTTCCTTTAGTGATTAAAAAACAACAACAAAAAAATTGGCTGGGTGCAGTGGCTCATGCCTGTAATCCCAGCACTTTGGGAGGCTGAGGCGGGTGATCACTTGAGGTCAGGAGTTCAAGACTAGCCTGGCCAACATGGTGAAACCTTGTCTCTACTAAAATACAAAAATTAGCTGGGCATGGTGGTGCACGCCTGTAGTCCTGCCTACTCAGGAGGCTGAGGCAAGGGAATTGCTTCAACCGGTGGAGGATGCAGTGAGCCGAGATCGTGCCACTGCACTCCTGTGAGTGAGACTCCATCTCAAAAAAACAAAAACAACAATACTAGAACAAACTTTAGATTTGCAATGTTTATTCTGAATTAACTAAAAAACCTTTAAAAAACATGTACTGGCAACAAAGATTTCTTGCTAATTTCCTTCCCCCTGTAAAGTATTAAGGAAATCTTAAACCTATATTTTAGGATTTGCTTTTTAAAATAAATAATGCTAGAGGCCTATGGAGAAGAATTATCAGAAGATACAGTAAGCTCCAAAATATCTCTAATCAGAACGAAAAGGAGTACACAGACTAGCATTAGCAGTAAAACTCCAATGGGACTGTGAGTAGTATCTAGTAAGATGTCACAGAGTACTGGGTGTCGCTTTAAATTCTTATCTGAATTAACTCATTTTTACAACCCTGTGAGTAGGTACAATTATCCTCACTTCCCACCACCCCCACCACCGACCCCTGCTTTTTTTTGAGACAGAATCTCACTCTGTAACTCAGTCTGGAGTGCAGTGGTGCCATCTTGGCTCACTGCAACCTCTGCCACCTGGGTTCACATGATTCTCCTGCCTCAGCCTCCTGAGTAGGTAAGACTATAGGTGTGTGCCACCACGTCCAGCTAATGTTTTGTATTTTTAGTAGAGACCAGGTTTCACTATGTTGGCCAGGTTGGTCTTGAACTCCTGACCCTCAAGTGATCCAGCCGCCTCGGCCGCCCAAAGTGCTGGGATTACAGGCGTGAGCCACCGCACCTGGCCTCCTTTTTCATAAATGAGAAACCAAGGCTTTAAAAAGTGAAGCAAGTTATTAGCTAGGTAATGCTGGACTGGAGATAGATTTTAAATACTCCTGACTCCAGAGTCCTCACTGTTAATCACTAAGTTAGAAACCTAAACTACAATTTTTGGCAAGGGAAATAAATTCCAAAGTAGGAATGCTTTATACAATTAACATCATATTCTTCCTCTGAACAGTAAGGTCACAATCTGGTTTATTAAAAATGTACAAGATTCCCATTTTTAAAAATGCTTAACCAAATTTAAAAATTCTAAAATTTAATTTTTTCTGAAAACTCTTTGTCCATGCTTCCTAATTAAATAAGCTCTAAGCTAGTCTACTGCAAAATGTAGCAGAAGAGACTATAACATTTATATTAACACTGGAAAATAACTTAAAAAGGAACAAAATTTCTCACAATTATCATATCTGGGTGGGACAGGCTTTGTTTATACCATTCCCCCCAACAAAAATCACTCTGGTTTGTGAACATTAAGGAATCCATCAACTTGCATGCAATTTTCCAACTCATCAAATAGTAGGCCAGGTGCCAGTGGCTCATGCCTGTAATCCCAGCACTTTGGGAGGCTGAGGCAGGCGGGCCACAATGTCAAGAGATCAAGACCATCCTGACCAACATTGTGAAACCCCGTCTCCACCAAAAAAAAAAAATACAAAAATTAGCTGGGCGTGGTGGCGCGCACCTGTAGTCCCAGCTACTCGGGAGGCTGAGGCAGGAGAATCGCTTGAACCCTGGCGACAGTGCAAGACTCTATCTCCAAAAGAAAAAAAAAAAAAAAGCAATAATGCCTTCTTTATGGAAAGCTGTGTGTCGATGGCTGTTAACTGGCACTTGAAAATGAGACAATTAAATGTTAAATACTTTAATAAAATGCCTAGTCATTGGCACAGATGAATCTTTTAACCTATTGTTATGGTCAATGAATGTAGGTTTATATAAGAACAGAAGCTGTGGGTCTGGGCAGTGAAATCAGAAATGTCTTCAGTGATAACTTCTCTTACTGATCAGGAATACCTCTTGTCATTATAATAACTGACAGTTTAAATGTTCTTTATGTCTCTAAGCAAACAAGAAAATACTGCATAATCAAAAGGGCATTATTTTCATCTTACAAAAAGCTTATTTAAAAAACATACAGATCAGAAAACTGGAAAAATCTGACTCTGACTTTAAGTATACGAAATACAAATTTTCATGCCTACATTTTATTATTAATGCATGGTCAGTTTGCTCTGGGTTTAGTCATGTTACAAAGTAGAATCTTATTTATTCCATTTCCACCTACGCTGTTTAAAAAGAATTAATTTAAAAAAGTCCTAGGTCACTGCCATGTAAATTTAATAGAAACTATGAGCACACAACCATCTACAAACCAAAAACGGACCCAGTCTCTGGTCTGAGGAGTAACGGCCCAAATCACAGGATGTGCTGTGGCAGTGGGTTACCTCTTTGGAAACAATACCTTATTTCTCCTGAATATTCAAAGAACAAAAAGGACATAACCAAAGTCACCTGGGGAAAATAGTTTTAAATCCTAAATTTGATTCTGAAAGTTTTTCAGAGGCCAAAAAATTTTCAACATTAGAAACAAACAAATAGTTACAGGTTTTCAAGCTATGATAATTTACGGTTTTTAACACTCTGAAACTACTAAAAAACCATAAATTATCATTAACCTCTCTTCTATATTTCTGGAAATACTGTAGGTGGGAAGAATTATCTAGGTAATAATTAAAGCTTTCCCCCTATGTTGCTTTAATATAGCAAATATTGTATTAAAAATCAGTTTAGTATGCTAGATATGGTTTCTAGTTTACATTTTAAAGTCTAATGCAGCCGGGCACAGTTGCTCATGCCTGTAATATCACTCCTTGGGGAGGCTGAGGAAGGAGGATCACTTGAGCCCAGGAGTTTGAGACCAGCCTGGGTAATATAGCAAGACCCTGTCTCTAAAATTTTTTTTTTATAAAGTCTAGTACAAAGTTAGAAAAGTTATGTTATGTCATTAATGACATACTTGTATATCATTAACATGTCACTTGTAACTGTTTTACTCTGCTCAATTTTCATATTGTTGAAAAAACCTCAACACCTTTTAAATCTCCCTTGAAATTTATAATTTATCTCACACGTAGACATTAAAATTCATATCATTCTACTCCTGGCAAATTTAAGAACATGCTTGTAATTAAAAATAAAACTCTATCCTGACTTCTTCAATCTAGTTGAAAAGGGAGTTGCTGCATATCTAATAATGCTGTGCTCAGCAAGCACTTGATCCTCACAAGGAGTCTTATGAACTAGATTTGTCTGAATTTTACAAATTAGCAAACTAAAGTTTAGCAATACAAAGCTGCCTTGTCAAAGGGAGCTAGCAAATGGTAGACCCAGGATTCAAACCCAGCTATGTCTAATTCTGCCACTCCAGCTAGCTCTTAACCACAGCCTCCCAAGACAAGTAAAACATGATCCTTTGCTTCAAGTTTACTTCCCACTTACTGGGAGTAAGTATGACATCCCAAAAGCGTCAGGATTACATCCTGAATGTTTCAGTAAGGTTCTTTTATAAAACCATAAAGACAACCATTAATTTTTAATCAATGCAGAATATAGCTCTGTAATATAAATAAGGGAAATAGAAAATTATCAATAATTTTAGAAAGCTATTCCTCAAATAACAACACAAGTGACGTGCATTTATATAACCAATATTTACTCAGCACTAATTATGTACCAGAGATGCAGCAGTGAACAAACACAAAGCAACTTCTTCTTAAATTCTATCAATTAATATACACATTATTGGTAATTTCATATCCAGTGGATGATTCTGTCAACACTTAGGCCTCCCAATTCCATGAAGTCTTTTCCTCTAATGATCTCATCTCCTACCCTCTCTTGGCCAGATCCCTAGACCTTGTCATTTCCAACTACTTCAATTTCCTAATTTCAAGCATGTCATTCTCTGATCACCACTTCCTAACACTCTAATGTGAGCAATCCTTGATCCAGTGGGACCTACAATGAACTGATCTACCTCTGTTTCCAGCACCTCCTCCTACACCCCCAATTAAAGCTCATGGTCATTCAGTCGTTGCTGTTGTCCTCATATATGCCCTCAACCTTTAGCAAAATCTTTACTCTCTACCTACTCCTCACCTGTAACCATCCAGGTGAGAGAGACTAGGAAAAAAATCCCATGATCACAATGACTGATTTCACTTTAAATCACTATCAGATAGGTACTTTGGAGGACACTTAATGCATCCCTGAATTAATTGCAGTTCCCTAATTCTTTCACCTTCCTAGCTTATTTCTTACTTTTCCACAAACCTGTAACACCTGTTTCAAATGATGTCCTTGCTCCTTATCTTTCTGAGATAACTGAAGCATACAGAAGATAATTCCCCCCAGCTCCCAAATTTGCCTGTCCTCCCTTTTTTATGATTGAACTGTCCAAGAGCCAATTTGAGCTATCAGTTTCTCCTTCTCTGGTACATCATCCCATCAGCCTGCAAACTTACCATTACTTTTCCCACTTAAAAAAAAGCAATTTCTTTCTCCAGCTACAACCCCATTTTTCTGTTCTTTCAAGCAAAATTCTTTAAATAAAAAAAAGGAAAAAAAAAAAAAAAGCAAGCCTGTAATGGCCACCTATAAATCCTCTCTTTTCATTCCCTTCCATACACTGAAATCTGTAAGCATTTTACTCCTGGCACTCTACCACAACCGTTCTGGAAGTCACCAAAGACTTCCACAGTGTCAAATCCAGGGGTCAATTAAATTCTCAGTCCTCACATATCTGTCCTATCAATGATATGACACACTTCTGCATTTGGCTTCCAGGATATCATTGCTCCCTGCTCCTCCAATCTCCTAAGACACTCTCCTTCACTCATTCCTCTGCAGCCTCAAAGGCTTCCTTAATGACTTCAAACATGCTAGGCACTCCTACTTCAGGACTTCTACACTAGCTGTCCCTCATCCCCTCTGTCTGGTATGTTTTTCCTATAGATGTCTGAATGGCTTAAAGTACCATGCAACATTCATTTGAATGTTCTGAGTGATCAAAGTGAAATGGCTACAACCGGAACACAATGAAGAGGTACAGAAAACAAAACTCAAACATCCCAAGGAAATGCGTGTTTTGGAACTTTTGGGGAGACAGCATGGTGCAGCCACATTCCATGATTGGCTCCAGTGGTGATCCAGGAAGTGCCTATGAGTAAGACTTGTATATTTCTCATCACTGCTCTTTCAACTTCTAGCACAGCACCTGACATGTAATAAATATTCAAGTATCTGATGATTGAGTATTGTATCATAAGGTGCTTCCATTTTCCTCGGTTAAATGAGCTGTATTTACACTCAATTTCTGTTCGCTAATGTAAAAAAGATTAGGTAAGTCTACAGTAACACTTTATGCTCCTTGTTAGTAATTGTCAGAAGCAGATTATCAATACAAACTATAACAAATATGTTAAAAAATCTCACTCTAACATACCAAAATATACGTACTTACACAGCGTAGGATTGAAATTAAATTTCAGCTATACGCATATTTAAGTTTTTGAAATGTCATGAAAAAAAGATAATCTTAGTTTTAATCCAAAACCAATGGCTTTAAGACAAAGACTGTAAAGGAAAAAAAAAATTAGGTATAAGGAACAAAGAAGAGGCACATGGAACTTCTGAATTAGGATCCTTTCTGGATACTAACTATATCAATTAGCAAAGTTATTTTTTTCTGTGCCTTTGGCTTTATGTTGCCAATCTCTTATTTCTGTAAGAGAAATATTAATTACTATACACTATGCAAATGCAAAGATCAGTATCAGGCACATAATTAGCTCCCAATACCATAAATCACCTCAAACAGACAGAAAAGCAATAGAAAATACAAGATAAAAGACATGTTGGCTAATACTTACACCAGGCAGCTGAGGTCTGCCAGATCATCGATGAAATCAAACAACTGACTGATGTCATATGTGATAGAGGGACTGTTGGGATTCATTCTTTTCAGATGTTCTTCATACATTTTACAAACACCTAAGAAAGGATAGGAAAAAAAGCAAAATCTTACAATCGCATACACTTCTAGATATGAGCAGTGCTTATGAGCTGTGCTATATGTTGATATCATATTTACTTTAATAAAGTTGGGCTGGGGAAAAGATGATAGATTGATGGCTTTTGATTATTGCCACTAGCAAATACTTTTTTATTTTATAAATTCACCAGGTCAGGTGTAGTGGCTTACGCCTGTAATCCCAGCTCTTTGGGAGGCTGAGGCAGGAGCATCACTTGAGCCCCACAGTTTAAGACCAGCCTGCCTGGGCAACACAGGGAGACCTCATCTCTACAAAAATTAAAAAATTAGCCAGGCGTGATGGCGTGTGCTTGTGGTCCCAGCTACCTGGGAAGCTGAGGTGGGAGAATCACTTGGCTGCAGTGAGCCGTGATTGCATCACTGCACTCCAGTCTGGGCAGCTGAGAAATTCACCACAATGTTGATGTAACTATTTTGTGTCTTAATAATAAAATGATTACTTCAAACCACTGGAGCTAAGGGGCTTTAAAGACTTGCCATCTGATGGCTCAAACAAATAACACTGTGGGTCTTAACAGGTTTTTCAGTAATTCTTCCTAAAGCCACAGAGCAAAAAAAAAAAAAAAATTGGCAACAAGGAAAGAGATTATCCTAATGTATATTTAAGATCCTAGACTAGGCCGGGCACAGTGGCTCACGCCTGTAATCCCAGCACTTTGGGAGGCCAAGGCGGGCGGATCACGAGGTCAGGAGATAGAGACCATCCTGGCCAACACAGTGAAACCCTGTCTCTACTAAAAAAATACAAAAAATTAGCCAGGCATGGTGGCAGGCACCTGTAGCCCCAGCTACTCGGGAGGCTGAAGCAGGAGAATGGCATGAACCTGGGAGGTGGAGATTGCAGTGAGCCGAGATCGGCCACTGCACTCCAGCCCGGGTGACAGAGCAAGACTCTGTCTCAAACAAACAAACAAACAAAAAATCCTAGACTATGGATTCAGACAGACTTTAGTTCCAACTCTGCCCCTGTCAAACCGAGGACAAACGACGCCATTCCCTGAACCACACCTGTCAAACAGAGTTAAGAGTGCCTCTTCATAGAATTGTGAGGTTTATTTGAAATAATACACATAAAGCATTAGCACATGAACAAGGATATAAGTACTTAAATATAATAAAAAAGATAATGAGCAAAATCATTAATAGCAAGCCCACATTACTAATTATAATTAGCTATAGAGTATATTATCTATTTAGTTTTTATTCAATAATACTCTCCTTTTTTTTTTCTTTGAGATGGAGTTTTGCTCTTGTTGCCCAGGCTGGAATGCAATGATGAGATCTTGGCTCACTGCAACCTCCGCCTCCTGGGTTCAAGCGATTCTCCTGCCTCAGCCCCCCAAGTAGCTGGGATTACAGGCACCCGCCACCACACCCAGCTAACTTTTTGTATTTTTAGTAGAGACGGGGTTTTACCATGTTGGCCAGGCTGATCTTGAACTCCTGACCTCAGGTGATCAGCGTGCCTCAGCCTCCCAAAGGGCTGGGATTACAGGCTTGAGCCATCGTGCCCGGCCTGATACTCTCCTTTCTTATTCCCACAAAAGGAGAATACACCTTTTCAGTCTATTCCCGCTGTCAACTATTTTAAGACTACTATGATGAATGGCTAAGTGACATAAATGCTAGTTATCTAGAAAAAACATGTCCTATACTGTATACATAAGCCTTTTATTAGCTCCAAATTAACTTTATAAATTTCCTAATAAAAACACTATTCAACCACAGAACTATTAAACAACTATCTTAGGGCTTTTTATTGCTACTGGCATACTACATTGTGATCACAGAATATCACCCATGAGTTAATGAATGGAAAGAAAATAAAAACTAGGAAAATAAATTCGTATATGTTAAAAAGGCATTGACCCACAGTTATACTTTTTTTTTTTGAGATGGATTTTTTGCTCTTGTTGCCCAGGCTGGAGTGCATTGGCACAATCTCGGCTCACTGCAACCTCTGCCTCCCGGATTCAAGCGATTCTCTTGCCTCAGGCTCAGCCTCCCGAGTAGCTGAGATTACAGGTGTGTGCCACCACACCCGGCTAATTTTTGTATTTTTAGTAGAGACGGGGTTTTGCGATTTTGGCCAGGCTGGTCTTGAACTCTTGACCTCAGGTGATCCACCCGCGTCGGCCTCCCAAAGTGCTGGGATTACAGGCATAAGCCACCATGCCCGGCCTCCATTATACTTAATGGTTAAAGACGGGATGCTTTTCTGTTAAGATTAGGAAGAATACCAGAATATTTATTGCGCTACTTGTATTCAACATTGTACTAGAAGTTCTAGCCAGGGCAATTAGGCAAGAAAAAGAGATAACAGGCCTTCAGATTGGAAAGGAAGAAGTACAGCCATCATTATTTGCAGATGACATTATCTTACAGATATAAAATCCTAAGGAAACAATAAAAATCTATTAGAACTAAGAAATGAGTACAGCAAGGTTGCAGGATATAGGATTGGTATATGAAAATAAATTTTATTTCTATGCCTTAACAACAAGTCTGAAAATAAAATTAAGAAAACTCCATTTATAACAGCGTAAAAAAGAATAAAATTCTTAGAAATAAACGAAACAAAAGTAGTACAAAACGTGTACACCCTACACTATAAAATGTCATGGAAGGACTCTTTTCTTTCCCTTGAGACACAGTCTCATTCTGTTGCCCAGGCTGGAGTGCAGTGGCCCAATTGCAGCTCACTGCAGCCTTGACCTCTTAAGTTCAAGTGATCCTCCCAAGGATCTGTGACTACAGGTACGCGCCACCATGCCCAGCTAATTTTTGTACTTTTTGGAGAGCAGGGGTTTCATCATGTTGCCCAGGCTAGTCTCAAACTCCTGGGCTCAAGCAATCCGCTCACCTTGGCCTCCCAAAGTCCTGGGATAACAGGTGTGAGCCACCACGCCATGCAGAAAGTAAAGCCACCACACCATGCTTAATAAATGGAAAGACATCCCATGTTCATGAGTTGGAAGACCTGATGCCAATACTCCCTCAGATGATCTACGGATTCAACGCAATTCCCATAAAAATCCAAGCTGTTTTTGCAGAAACCAACAAGCTAATCCTAAGTTTGACACAGAAATGCAGGAGACCCAAGACAGCCAAAATAATCTTGAAAAAGAAAAACACTGGAGGATTCAAACTTCCTGATTTCAAAACTTACTATGAAACTACTCCAATCAAGACAATATGGTATTGGCATCAGGATAGGTATCTACATCAATGGAACAGAAATGAGAGTCCAGAAACAAACCCTCACATTTATGGTCAACTGCTTTTTGACAAGCATGCCAAAACAATTCAACAAAGAACAGTATTTTCAACAAATGATGCTAGGACAACAGGATAGTCACATGTGAAAGAATGAAGTTGGACACATCTCTACAACAGACCAGAGACTTAAAAGTAGGAGCCCAAACTATAAGACCCATAGAAAAAAATAAAGGCATTAATATTTGTGACCTTGGATAAACCAATGGTTTCTTAGATATGACACCAAAAACACAAAAATATGCAAGTTAAAGTTTATAAAAATAAAAAACTTTTGTGCTCCAAAAGACACTATTAAGAAAGTGAGAAGACACCACAAACGGGGAGAAAACCTTTATAAAACATCTATCTGATAAAGGACTAATGTCTAAAAATATACAAAGAACTCCTAAAACTTAACCATAATCACTCAATGAAAAATAGGCAGAAGATCTGGATACCTCAATAAAGATGCAGATGGCAAATAAGCACATGAAAAGATGACATTGTATGTCATTAGGGAATTGCAAATTAAAACAATAAGATACCTTAGAATGGCTAAAATCTAAATCAGTGACAACACCAAATGCTGGTAAGGATGTGGAACAGAAACTCATTCACGCTGGTGGGAATGCAAAATGGTCCTGCCACGTCTGAAGACAGTTTGGCAGTTTCTGACAAAGCTAAACATACTTGTACCACATAATCTAGCAATCACTCTCCTACGTATTTACGCAAATGAGCTGAAAACTTAGGTCCACACAAAAGCCTACACAGAAATGTTTATAGCAGCTTTATTCATAATTGCCAAAAAATAGAAGCAACCAAGATGCTCTTCAATAAGTGAATGGATAACCAAACCATGGTACATTCATTCAAGGGAATATTATTCAGCAATAAAAAGAAATCAGCTATGCAGCCACACACACAAAAAGTAAGAACCATAAAAGCATACTGCTAGGTTGGCCAGGCATGGGGGCTCATGCCTGTGATCCCCAGACTTTGGGAGGCTGAGGTGGACGGATCACTTGAGGTCAGGAGTTTGAGACCAGCCTGGCCTACACAGTAAAACCCGTCTCTACTAAAAATACAAAAAAAGGTAGCCAGGCATGGTGGCGCAGGCCTGTAATCCCAGCTACTTGGGTGGCTGAGGCAGGAGAATCGCTTGAACCAGGGAGGCAGAGGTTGCAGTGAGCTGAGATTACGTCACAGCATTCCAGCCTGGGTGACAGAGTAAGACTCTGTCTCGCACGCCAAAAAAAAAAAAAAAAAAAAAAAAAAAGCATATTGCTAGGTTAAAGCAGCCAGTCTGAAAAGGCTTCATACTCCGTAACTCTAACATGACATTCCAGAAAAGGCAAAACTACAGATATGGTAAAAAGATCAGGGGTTTGGGGGTGGTGGCAGGGAAGGAGGTATAGGTGGAGCAATGGGGATTTCTGGTAGTGAAACTACTCTGTATGATACAGTAAAGGTAGATACACGTAATTATACATGTCAAAACCCACAGAATGTTCAACACATACAGTAAACCCTAACATAAACTGCGAACTTTAGTTAATAATAATCTATGAATATTAATTCACCAATCCCAACAAGTGTAATCAGACTAATAGAAGATGCACTAATAGGGGAAACTAAGAAGGGGAGGAAAGAAGGCGTATGCTGGAGCTCTGTACTTTCCAAACAATTTTCCCATAAGCCTAAAACTGCTCTAAAAACATGGTCTTAAATAAAGTCTTTAACTGCTCTTAAAAAAAAGGGGGGAGGAAAAAAATGCTCTGATCTACAGGGGAATATTTACTACAAGAAAAAAAAAAAAAGAATAATAAAATTACCATTTGGCAACCACATCATGTGAGAACTTATTTAATAATTATTTTAACATTTTTTTGTTTTAGTTTTTTAAATGGGAAATAAATCACCACTTTTAATTTTTAGAAAAAGAGCTACCAAGTCATGAAAAGACATGGGGGAAACATAATAAATGCACATTGCTAAGTAAAAAAAGCCAGTTAAGAAAAAGCCACACACGATAATGATTCCAACTATATGACATTCTGGAAAAGACAAAACTATGGAGACAGTAAAAAGACCAATGGTTCCCAGAGGTTGAGGGTGGGGTAGGAGGGGATGAATAGGTAGAGCACAAGAAATGTTTAGGGCAGGGCAGTGAAACCATTCTGTGTGATGCTGTAATGGCGGACACATGACACTGCGCATTTGGGAAAATCCACAGTAATGTAGGACATAAGAATGAAACCTAGTATGAACTATGAACTTTACTTAATGACAATGTATCAGTAATGAATACTGGTTCACCACTGTTACAAATGCACCACACCAGTGAAATTCATTAATAATAGGGGAAATTGTGTAGGGGTGAAGAAAGAGAGTAATATCGGAAAAACTGTAGTTTCTGTTCAATTTTTCTAGAACCCTGAAACTGCCCTGAGAAATAAGAGTATTGCAGAATCAAAGACCAAACATGATAATGTAGGTTAGGTAACAATTTGCTAAGAGAGCCTGCATACAAAATCTACATCAATAGCAGGCAGAAATGTCAGCAGAGAAATGGATCTGTAAAGAGATGAAGAAAAAAATGCCATGTTCTTCTTTAAGAATTAGAGTAGATGGCCTGGAGTGGTGGCTCACGCCTGTAATCCCAGCACTTTGGGAAGCCGAGGTGGGTGGATCACTTGAGGTCAGGAGTTCGGGACCAGCCTGGCCAACGTGGCGAAACCCTGTCTTTACTAAAAATACAAAAATTAGCTGGGCGTGGTGGCACACACCTGTAGTCCCAGCTACTGAGGAGACTGAGGAAGGAGAATCATTTGAACCAAGAAGGCAGAAGTTGCAGTGAGCTGAGATGCACCACTGCACTCCAGCCTGGGCGACAGAGTGAGACTCTGTCTCAAAAAACAAAAAGAAACAAAGACACCTGCACTCATACGTTTACGGCAGTACTATACACAACAGCAAAGTCATGGAATCAACTACGTATCCATCAATGGATGACTAGACAAAGGAAATGTGGTGTATGAGAATGCATGCACACACATCCCATGGAATACTACTCAGCTATTAAAAAAAGAATAAAACCATGTCTTTGCAGCAACATGGATGGAATTGGAGGTCATTATCTCAAGTGAAGTAACTCAGAAAGTCAAACATTTAATGTTCTCATTTATTAGTGGAGGCTAAATGATGTGTGCACATGGACAGACAGAGTGGAATAACTGACACTGGAGACTACAAAAGGTGGGAGAATGGTGAGGGATGAAAAATCACTACTGCGTACAATGTACACCAGGTGATGGCTACAATAAAAGCCCAGACTTGGTTGGCGCGGTGGCTCATGCTTGTAATCCCAGAACTTTGGGAGGCTAAGGCAGGAGAACTGCCTGAGGCTAGAAGTCTGAGACCAACATGTGCAACACAGTGACCCCATCTCTATAAAAAAACCAAAAAATTAGCCAGGTGTGGCGGCAGGTGCCTCTAGTCCCAGCTATTTGGGAGGCTGAGGCAGGAGGACTGCTTGAGCCCAGGAAACTGAGACTGCAATAAGCCATTATCACCACTGTACCCCAGCCTGGGTGACAGAGCAAGACCCCGTGTCTTAAGGAAAAAAAAAAAAAGGCCCAGACTTTACTACTATGCCATATATCTATATAAGAAGACTACACTTGTATCCCTTAAATCTATTAAAACAACCTATTAAAAACAGACAGACACACAAGCCTATAGTGTTTGAGCTTAACCAGAATATATAAGGGATACCTGTAAAATATTTCCATACTGTAACAAAATAACATGTGACAAATAAGAAGAGAATATTTATAAAACAACAAGCAGCTCTGGAAAGTCACTCATTATATACATTAGTTTAAAAAAAAAAAACACCTAATACTTGTAGCAAGGAGGATACTATATACATAATTAATGTTTAAAATGTTCAACCGGCCAAGGCGGATTACTTGAGGTCAGGAGCTCGAGACCAGCCTGGCCAACATGGTGAAACCCCATCTCTACTAAATACACAAAAAATTATCTGGGTGTGGTGGCCCATGCCTGTAGTCCCAGCTACTTGGGAGGCTGAGGCACAAGAGAATCACTTGAACCTGGGGGGCGGAGGTTGCGTAAGCCGAGATCGCATTACTGCACTCCAGTCTGGGTGATAGAGCGAGACTCTGTCTCAAATAATACATAAATAAACAAACAAATAAATAAAATGTTCAATAATTATGGTCCATCCTAAATATCTGCTTTCCCTCCTAAAATTAGCAATTCAATAAATTTGGAGGGTTGGAAGTGATAAAGGCAGGGCCTGGGGTGGATGGACTATTAAAAAAAAAAAATTTGGAGGGGAAAAACCCAGTTCCTAAATGAGACATTTTTCTACCCCTTGATTAGTGTTAAACTCACCTTCCATGCATTCATTCACAGATTCGTAGTCAGCATAAGTTCTGCCTTCTGGCCTCTTGGTAGGCTGTACCAGCAAAATGGTGTGAGACTGCAGGGGAAAACATGATTTCAATATAAGTTTCTATTTGAGAAATTCATAGTATGATAAAAAAAAATCCCCATTTGTAATGCAATAATGATTGCTAGTTATTAAAATGTAATTAGAGAGGCCAGGCATGGCATCCCATGCCTATAATCCTCATCCTCTGGGAGGCTGAGAGGGGGAAAATCACTTGAGGCCAGAAGCTTGAGACCAACCTGGGCAACATAGCAAGACCCTGTCTCTACAAAAAAATAAAATTTGCCGGGTGCATGCCTGTAGTCCCAGCACTTTGGAAGTCTAAGGCAGGAGGATTCCTTGAGCCCAGGAGGCTGAGACTGCAGTGTGCCATGATCACACCATTGCATCGGAGAGTGAGGCCCTATCTCTTAAAAGAAAAAAAAAAGTCATTAGGATACTTTTCCCACAAAAATATTGATGTCTTAGTCTAAGTATAGTATCTAGCTGGATTCACAACTCTGCTGTACGGTCTCCCTAAGTCTCCCAGTCCTACCGTACTTACTGCCTACAAGTAATCAGTATAAGCTACCTTGCCCTCCTTTTCCTTTTCTATCTTTTCTTCCCAACTAAATTATAAACCTGCTTAGGTTTTCTGTCTCCAGTGGTCACTTTCCATCTTTAATGCTCTTAAGTCACTAATAAAAACTCAGATGGGCTGATGAAAGGAAACAAAAGGGGAAATAGTATAATAATCACAAGCATGGTTTCAACTTAAGCTTTTTTTCCAACCTCAGCGTAAGAGCAAAGTCACATTTTATCCAGGGGTTAGACTTAACATTAAAGCAGTAGATAAATTAGCAATATAAACATATCATAAGAATTACCCTTAAAAATCCATTAAACTATTCACCTAGTAGATGACTTGCCTTACTGGGCTTTCTCATACCAAAATCACATATTAGAATCACACAGAAAGTTAGGTCATCACACTATGAGAAATGTGAAATAATGCCCATAGCAGACAGACTTGTCTTCCACTTCGTGCTCACTGGGAAACATGTTTTTGTTAGTGATCAGTCACTAACAAATCAATCTCAGTGTTTTCTCAACGTGGGCTCTATTACCTTTTGGGTTGACTGATTCTTTGTTACAAATGTCCCTTGGGGAGCAAAAAATCTCATCCAGCTGAGAATTCACTGGTCTGTTGAAAATATGACCCATCCAATTTTCTGCTACATGTGTAAGGTTAATTAAATGCAAGTATGATGCAACTCCACTGTAAATCCAGTCCCAAATCAAACTATTCACCTTTTTCCTTCTCTTCTGCTGTACTAGTATTTTTCAGCCAAAAACCAGAAAACAAAAATTTCCTAACAGGAACCCTAAACTGTTTTGGAATAACATAATTTTTTTTTGGAGACAGTTTTGTTCCTGTTGCCCAGGCTGGAGCGCAAAGGCGCGATCTCAGCTCACCGCAACCTCTGCTTTCCGGGTTCAAGCGAATCTTCTGCTTCAGCCTCCCAAGTAGCTGGGATTACAGGCATGCACCACCATGCTCGGCTAATTTTGTCTTTTTAGTAGAGATGGGGTTTCTCCATGTTGGTCAGACTGGTCTTGAACTCCCGACCTCAGGTGATCTGCCTGCCTCGGCCTCCCAAAGTGCTGGGATTACAGGCGTGAGCCACCGCGCCTGGACAAAATGATCAGAATTTTTAACCATCAAATTGGAACAGAAATAGCTGAAGCCCAGACTTTCTGAATAAACAATGGAAAAATAGTACATTTAACATGACATGCAAAACCAAGGGTTATCATACCCTTCTCTCCCCATCAAGAACTAAACCACTTTGACTAAAAGTTTCAGAGGGTTTGACATAAAAACGGAACTTGGTGACAAGAGACGAAGGATTAACTCTCACCTGTAATAACCTGAGCAGTCAAAGCCTTTGTTAAATCGATTTAAAAGCCACAGAAAGCATCATATTAGATTATTTGTTATACAGAAGTCTTTGTAAGCTAGCTACTCAAAAAGTTTCAACGAGTCATTTAAGAAAAAATAATTTTGTAGAAACCACGTGCATTCTTGCAACAGAGGTTGCCCTATACACTAGCTATCTCAACTGCTACTATAATAATTGTATTCCAATTCTAATGCAAATTAAAGGACTAATTTGAAAGGGTAAGAATGGAAAAAGCTATACAGCATGTTGCTTTTTATATCTAGTCTTAAAATGAACACCGGGCAAAGTTTACTATTTTCAGTACTTACTGCCCAAAGACAAGGATTAAAAATCACTAAGAACATAACATGATACATTTTAAAAACTGTGGTCAAGTGGTTATCATTTTTAAATGGCAATGCTTTCCTGCTCAAATTCTTTACAGATTATACCACCTCTCAAGCCAGTTTTGGTCACTTTCTTCGAATTGGAGCTTACTGATCATCCCGGTTGGGTTCTAATAGAGCTGGTCTCTGAGCTGAGCCTACTTTTCAGCCTCCAGCCCCAAGAGGATATAAATACAGATAAGTACAGGATCGAGGGCTGAGGGACGCGCCACACGCAATACCTAGAGGTCTCAAAAACAGGAAAAAAAAAAAAAAGGCAGAGCACAGGAAAACGAAAGCTGAAAAAACACTGCAAAGCAAATACGTCCTCTCCTGGCCCACATGCTGGGTATAGCTGGATCTGTCAGCTTCGAGAATAGTTAGACAACCCTGGCCCATTGTTCCTACAGCAGGCTAGAGCATTTGGAGGGAAAAATACCATATCCGGCAGGGCCCGGTGGCTCACGCCTGTAATCCCAGCACTTTGGGATGCCGAGGCGGGTGGATTGCTTGAGGTCAGGAGTTCGAGACCAGCCTGGCCAACATGGTGAAACGCCGTCTCTGCTAAAATAAAAAAATTAGCCGAGCGAGGTGGCGGGCGCCTGTAATCCCAGCTACTAGGGAGGCTGAGACAGGAGAATTGCTTCAACCCAGGAGGCAGAGGTTGCAGGGGTCTGAGATCCCGCCACTGCACTCCAGCCTGGGCGATAGAGTGAGACTCTCTATCTCAAAAAACAAAACACCTCCCCCACGTCTCCCTCTACCGAGTAACAATCGGGAGAGAGTTCATCCTCAGGCCCAAGGCACGCCGGACCCGAGCGAGCAGGCGGGCGCGCAACCGCAGGGCGGACCGGGGCTCCGAGGCCTAGAGTCAGGCCTGGCGTCCCTGCGGCGGGAAGAAGGGTCAATCCACCGACTAGAGTGGCGGGGAGCATCACGCGGCGCTGCATGGGGCTCGTGGGGAGGGGAAAACGTATGGGGCTGGGGTCGCTCTGGAGGCCGGGGACTCGGACTCGGGTAGCCGCGGAGGCCTTTCTCACCATCGCGCCAAACTCTCTTCGCTACAGCAGCTGCCGACACCGCCGCCGTTACACGAGCTTAACTACAACGCCGCTAACAGCCAATCCTCGCGAGAGGAGCCGCCGGAAGTCGTCGAAAGTGCAACGCAAAAGAGCCTTTTGGATCATAGAGGCACAGTCACTTCCGGCAGCTAGAGCAGCTACTGACTCTGTTTCAGCCATCTTCGATAAAGGCAAAAAGGTAAGGGAAAGTTTCCAAGCTTTAGGAAGAATTATTTTTTTTCAAGACGCTGTCTTCCGTACTTTCGTTATTAAACATACGGCTCAAGTGATCACCGGTATAGACAGTGACATCAGACATCTTTCATTAGCCCTACTCAAAAATGGCGGCAACGTAAGTATCCTGGGCCGGAGGTCGGTTGTAACCCGGAAGTGCCTTTGTAAAGGAGGGGGTGGTTAGACAATCCGGAAGTGGATGGAATGAAGAGATGCCACTTGGCGGCCATGGCAGCTGTAGTATCGGCGACTCCGGGTCAAGGCCCGGTCGAGTGCAGTACCATGGGCAGCACCGGGTATAGGGCAGAGACAGCTTTGTGTCAACTTTGCTGCTGAACCCCTAGGACCCATCGTTAGAGACCTGCAGGACTCCTTTCCTCATCCCAGGCTCGGAGGAGAGTTTGCTGGGACTGGTGGGCTGGTTTCCTGCTCTGGGGGGCGGATCACCTTCGGGGCCGCCTCTTGGAGACAGGGGCGCCTAGGGAACGAACAGGTTCGCTTGAGTCACTTACCCGCCGCCGCCTAAGACATTGTGCCACCCTCAATCCGACAATCGAAGAAATCGATCATTCGCACATTTTCCCCATTGACTTTTCCCATCTCTGTTAACCCACGAGAATCTAATGACTGGCATCTGAGAACCCAGAGCCTGGGACCTTAGATTGCTGTAAGCTTTCTCTGGTGCTAATATCAGCAAAAAGGGTCTGTTGCCGGGTACGTTCAAGAGGAAGGTGCCTCGTGAACACATCTGCTGGTGGGAAGGCCTAAAGAACTGGAAAGCCCACTCTCTTGGAACCACCACACCTGTTTAAAGAACCTAAGCACCATTTAAAGCCACTGGAAATTTGTTGTCTAGTGGTTGTGGGTGAATAAAGGAGGGCAGAATGGATGATTTCATCTCCATTAGCCTGCTGTCTCTGGCTATGTTGGTGGGATGTTACGTGGCCGGAATCATTCCCTTGGCTGTTAATTTCTCAGAGGTAAGAAATTCTCAATTTTCTGTCAGCTGTCAGGATGGCTGTGAGATAGTAGTTTTAGTTGCAAAGGGAAGCTGCTTCCCTAGTTAAATCTCAAAGCTGAAGGTCTCATTAAGAAAGACTATCTTTTTTAAAAGATACATGACACTTAATAATAGAAAGAAACCTCATATTCATTAGTGGAATTCTTAACCTGGGGTGGATAGATATTCCACGGAAGATCCTGGAGTATTCTGAATCCCCTAGAATTGCTTACAAAAATTTGAGGTTCTGTGCATTTACCTGGAGAGAGGCACCATAACATTTCTTTTGATTCTCAGAGGTTTCATGGAATCAAGATTCCAGATTGTTATCAAGAAAATAAATGGAGGGCTGGGCGCGGTGGCTCACGCCTGTAATCTCAGCACTTTGGGAGGCTGAGGTGGAAGGATCGCTTGGGCCCAGGAGTTCTAGACCAGCCTGGGCAACGTGGCGGGACTTTGTCCCTACAAATGAGGCTGAGGCAGGAGGATCGCTTGACCCCAAGTGGTTGAGGCTGCAGTGAGCCGTGTTTGGGCCACTGCACTCCAGCCTGGACAGCAGAGTGAGATCCTGTCTCCAAAAAAGAAAAAAAAAGAAATGGAGAATGTTATTTTTCTACATGAACTGAAATCAATATGATAACTTCCTTTTGAGAAAGTCAAACACACCTTTCTGAGGAAAGCTGTTTTGTTTTTTGGATGTCTGTACTAGAATGAATGTAAGAAAAAACTAAGATTGTTCTTAACTCACATTTCCTTTTAAAGAAGGGGAGCCTTGGAATTGATATTCTGAAGTTGTTTCAAATCTATTTGCTTAGCAATGAATTTTTGGTTAATACGTTTTGACATTTTCGTTAATTTGATTGGCACCTTGAACAGATGTTAAGCGAGGGTCCCGGGAAGAGGGATAGATGAAAGCACTGTTCAGTGAACATGCTGATAGGTCCTTTAGGTAGGCAAAAGGAATTCACGAAGTGCACAGCGTTCAAAGATTTAGGGGGGAAAAACTACTACATTCAAAGGGAACAAGATTTCATGAGTTTGTCCTAGAGTTCAGCAGTAAAATAGGCCCTAGTTTCAGTGCCATTCCTGAAAGTACTTTCAAAGGAGGCCTGAAGTAGAAAGGAAAGGTATAAATGAAATATTAAGTACACCTTGAAGAAACCTGAGGAAGAGGAGACATTACAGGTGAAAATAGCCTGTGGGTGGGAAAGAAGGTGGGACAAGGTGTTGTCAGTTTGAGGAAAAGTAAAGCCCATAGCCAGATGGAACAGATGCTTAAATTGTTGTTGTTCTTTTTCTGTTTCCTTTTTAATCTGTACCCCTCAGCATCTAATGATAGCATTTTAAAAAATTACGTGCATTACCTAACTTCACTTAAAAAACTCAAGCTGGGTGCGGTGGGGCGCGCCTGTAGTCCTAGCTACTCAAGAGGATAAGGTAGGAGGATTGCTTGAACCCAGGAGTTGGCCTGGGCAACATTGAGACTCTTTCTCTTAAAAAAAAAAAAAAAGAAAATAAAAATCAGTGACATATAGATGAGGAAACGGAGACTGGATAGGTTCATGAAGTTTGTTAGAATCAGAAGAGAGGTATTTTTTCAGTCTAGCTTTTCTGACTCAGACTAGTTCGTAGCCACTAAGCATTTCGGCAAAGGTACATGGTACATATACATGGTAGCCTGTGTGCCAAATCCAGCCTGCAGACTGTTCCATTAGCAGAAGTTTATTATTGTTGTTCTTTACCAGTATTTCCTAGAGGCAAAGGTTGGGTCGGGCTGAGTAGCAGCTGTTAGGCACAGTCCTCCTTGCCCTTGAAGCCTGTTTCACTTATTTGGGTTACCTGCCTGCCCAGTACTTTGTGAACCTGCTATGTTTCCTTTGACATAACCATATTTTCTTATAACTATATTAGAATTGAATTGACATTAGTAGGGCTGACATGTGTGAGATTTGGGTTGGTTTGTGTATTTTTAAACATATTGAAGTAACATTTATGAATAATCATAATTAATTCTGATAAGCAACCAGTAAAACTTTTTATTTCTATAAAATGCCTTTAACTTTACCAATTCCAGTATTTTTTCAAACTACCTTGAATGATTATTGCAATATGCGGATATATACTATTTCCTTTTTCACTAGAAGGAAATGTTTACAGGAGTGGTGTTAATAACTGGGTCATTAATACAGATAATTAGTATGTCATGTCATTTGTGGCTTTCTTAAATTGACGGTCAGATGGTCTTTTCCAGCTGTAGGTCTTAAAATGCTAAAATCAGCATTCATAATATCTGTTTATTATTAGAGTAGATGCAATGCATTTTGAGCTATTAGAATAAAAAATGAAAGTTATATATAACTTAAAGACATCCTAGAATTCAACTAGGATTTCTATCTCCTAGGAACTAAACATATTTTCTAGGTAAATTATGCCATTATTATGGACCAATGTTGTAATGAAACTAGTGAGATGGTAAATTTGTAAAAATAAATTTCATTCACGGGGGACTGGAAAGCACCATTTCTTTCCTTAGAAAATAATTCCCCAAACTCCTACACTGGATAAATGACTTGCCTTTTTAAGGAAGTCTGGCTTTCTTAGAGGCTAGTGTTACTGTTTTACAGTTCACTTTCGTTTACATCAGGGGTGTCCAATCTTTTGGCTTCCCTGGGCCACATCAGAAGAAGAATTATCTCAAGCCACACATAAAATACACTAACACTAAGATAGGTGATGAGCTAAAAAAAAAAAATGCAAAAAAAAACTCATAATGTTTTAAGAAAGTTTATGAATTTGTGTAAGGCTTCATTCAAAGTGCTCCTGGGTTGCATGCGGCCCACGAGCCATGAGTTGGACAAGCTTGATTTACATGAAAAGATATGCTTTTTATTCATGTTTTTAATCTTGCTGCTGCTTTCTCATTCAATACTTTTTCTAAAAATATCTCAGAACAGGAATAAAAGTCAGATGATCAATTATGGCAAGATTAGTATTTAAAAACGAGTTAAAATTAGGTAGTCTGAAATTGCAGTAGTGGTGGGGTCTACCTGCCAGATGTGCCCACCAAGAGGTTTATGTGACATTGATTTCTCTGTCAGTTTCTCCTCACCCCAAAACTACCTTTCTTGATACTTTTGTGGCCTTCTTCCTTGCCCTTTGACCTGGCAACTGTACTTTCATGCCTTAAAAATTTATAAAACAAAGGAAAAAAAATCCGATTCTCAAATGCAATTATAAGTAACTATGATAATCAGGATGTAAATTTTTTCAGTATACAGGAAAGAGAAACACTTTTAACTTTTAAAGGAGGCCAGCCAGGTGCTAAGTGGCTCACGCCTGTAATCCCAGCACTTTGGGAGGCTGAGGTGGGCGGATTACCTGAGGTCAGGAGTTCGAGACCAGCCTGGCCAACATGGCGAAACCCCATCTCTACTAAAAATACAAAAATTAGCTGGGCGTGGTGGCATGTGCCTGTAATCCCAGCTACTCAGGAGGCTGAGACAGGAGAATTGCTTGAACCCAGGAGGCGGAGGTTGCAGTGAGCCGAGTCCCACCATTGCACTCCAGCCTGGGGAACAAGAGCAAAACTTTGTCTCAGAAAAAAATAAAAATAAATAAATAAAAATAAATAAATAAAGGAGGCCAAAGCATGCTTTACACAAAGGAAGCCCTGTTTGGTAAGGGAGTGAGACCCGTTGGTTTATAGTTAACACTGTCTTATGTTTTTTCGATTGAATTGCTAATGAGTAGTTTTCTTTGGCTCTAAATAACAATGTTACATAAGTAGGTTGAGAGCCTATATTACCTAGTATAAACTCAGTGCTGCTGCAGTTGATAAATGGAGCTATGATACAAAAACAGATGGCTCAAGTGGGATTTCAGATTGATTATCTGAGGGTTGTTACTCACCTGAGTATGTCTCCTCTTTGTCACAGAGCTGGTAACAGAGAGCAAGCTGTTTTTGGCTCAGAGCTCTACAGCAATATTCCTCAAACTGCCTGGTAAAGGATCAGTTTTTGTTTTTAATTTTTATTTCAATCCATACCAATACACTTATAAAAATGAAATAGTAGGAAAATGAAGTGAAAAAAAGACATAGAAAATACAAGCCCAAATGTATTGTTAAATTCAACAGATAAAAAATTACTACTATAATTGTAATAATCATATTGCTCTAAAAATTTCTGAAGGCTTTATCTCAGTTGCCATACTTTTCTTATTGCAGACCAGTTTGAGTTATAATGCCACATTTTTCATGTATTAAAACAGCAAAGCAGGCCAGGCGTGGTGGCTCACGCCTGTAATCCCAGCACTTTGGGAGGCCGAGGCAGGCGAATCATCTGAGGTCGGGAGTTCGAGACCACCCTGACCAACACGGAGAAACCCTGTGTCTACTGAAAATACAAAATTATTTGGGCGTGGTGGCACGTGCCTGTAATCCCAGCTACTTGGGGGGCTGAGGCAGGAGAATCGCTTGAACCTGGGAGGCGGAGGTTGCAGTGAACCAACATTGCGCCATTGCACTCCAGCCTGGGCAGCAAGAGCAAAACTCCCTCTCAAAAAAACAAAAAACAAACAAACAAAAACAGCAAAACTGGATGTAGTGGCACACACTGGTTAGTCCCAGCTACTCCAAATGCTGATGTGGGAGGATCACTTGAGCCCAGGAGTTCAGGGTTGCAGTGAGCTATGAGTGTGCCTGTGAATAGCCACTGGCAACATAAGGAGACCTACTCCCTAAAATAACCAACAGCATAAATCCATAAGTTGGCAGATGAAAGTAGTGCTATTCTTAGGATGATTTTAAAGATGAATATGATTAATAATGCACTGATTTCAAAAGGGACTGTCTGAGACAGTATCATTCAAAGTCAATGTTACTACTTGAACAAGCTATTAAAATCCAAATCTCTTCTGTTAAATGACCTTCTAGGATTGTTGTGAGGTTGAAATAATATAAGCACAGGCTTAACACTATGTCTAGAACATAATAAAAACTTTCAAAAATATTGAGGCAGATTCTCAATACTGATTAGAAAAACTTGTAAAGATTTTCATTTTTATAACTTTGTTCTAATTTATAATTGTTAAACCTTTTATTTGGAAACAGACTTAATAATGGGAAGCTCCTCCCCCTCCTCCCCTTCGCAGTCATGGAAACTTCTCGGCAATTTGTTTGGAATCCAAAGGTCTTGTTGTGGGGTTTGGTTTGCATTACTATTTACCATTCTATTTGGAGAGGCCAGGGCTTTTCCTCTACCCTCCCTGCTTTATACTATTTTTCTTAGTATTTAACTCTCTTTTCTTCATTATACTTACTCTCATTTTAAGCTTTGTTTTGTTCTTTCGTGTTTTAAAGTTTTGTGTCTGTATTAGTCCATTCTTACACTGCTAATAAAGACATTTCTGAGACTGGGTAATTTATAAACGAAAGAGGTTTGATTGACTCACAATTCAGCATAGCTGGGGAGGCCTAAGGAAACTTACAATCATGGCAGAAGAGGAGGCAAACACATCCTTCTTCATGGGGCGGCAGGATGGAGAAGTGCTGAGCAAAAGGGGGAAAGCCCCTTATAAAACCATCAGATCTCGTGAGAACTCACTGTCACAAGAACAGCAAGAACTCACTATCACAAGAACAGCATGACCTCCCACCAGGTCCCTCGCATGGGAACTACAACTCAAGATGAGATTTGGGTGGGGACACAACCAAACCATATCAGTGTCTGATTATAATAACTGACTCATTCATAATAAGTATCTTTAGGGGTTTGAGTTACCCGCAAATCAAAGGTTTATTGTGTCTGAAGAACAGATTTATTCAGTATGCTTCTGCCTCTACAATAGGTTCTCTTTGAAGTAGATTTAACAATGTTACATTTTTAAGGACTTTTATATTGTCTGGTACATTGCTCTTACCCTCTTATGGTAATACAAGAGATTTTATACCTGTTTGGAATTTCATTTGTAAATTCTAAGATTTGAGCCGGGCATGGTGGCTTATACCTGTAATCCCAGTGCTTTAGGAGGCTGAAGCTGGAAGTTTGCTTGAGGCCAGGAGTTTGAGACCAACCTGGGCAACAAGTGAGACCCTGTCTCAGATGAATGAACGTAAATTATAAAATTTTAAACTTTGCAATCTCAGTAAATTTATCCATATCTGGAAAGAAATCATCAGCTTGTCTTTTCTCAGATTGAACTACAGATTATTGTTTCATAAGGATCCTTGATAAAACTAAGTTTGGATCAAATAAAATCCGGTTGCAATATGATTCAATATTATTTTCCTGAAAAACTTTGTTTTCTCCAGGATACTATATTGATAAACATAATTAAGACTTATCTGCATAATAATATTAATAATGTTTATTGAGCTCTTTCTGTATACCAGGCAATGATATGCACTATCTTATTAATCCTCAGGACCAAGACTATGAGATACTGTTAAACCTCACTTTACAAATGAGCAAACTCAGGCTTGAAGAGGTCACAGACTCTGGTAGAGGTGTGATTTGGAACTAAGTCATTTTGATTCCTGTTGCCAAATCAGTCACTTGACTACTAAATGTTGCCTTTCCTAATGAATGCTGTGTAAAGAAGGAATGAAAATAGGATCTACCTAAATTGATGCCTTTAGCTCCCCAAATTAGGAACATCTTTCATACCTTCCACAGTATATCTCATGCTTTCTGCCTAGTCAGTGGAGTAGAACTTGAAACTCCAGAGGTAAACAGTCTCCAAATACCATTGAAACCTATAAGAAATAAGTTAATATGTCTTAGATGCCTTTTAAATTAACACCTGCCAATTTGGAATCTGAAGTAGTTCCTATTGTGAACTATCCAAGATGAATTTCACACTTGACATCCTCACAGGTTAGTCGTAAATTGTGCTGTTCAAGAAGTGACATCCTTTTCAAGAGAAGATGACATGAAATGGATTCAGAATGTTTCTGTATATGATAGTCTTAACCTCTCCTCTAATTAAAGAATTTAATGATGAGACTTTTGTTGAATGATAAGATCCCCTTCAGCTCAGTATGGAATTCCACACTGGGCTGAGCGCAGTGGCTCACGCCTGTAATCCCAGCTACTCGGGAGGCTGAGGCAGGAGAATTGCTTGAACCTTGGAGTCGGAGATTGCAGTGAGCTGAGATTGTACCATGGCACTCCAGCCTGGGCAACAGAGCGAGACTGTCTTAAAAAAAAAAAAAAAAAGTAGTAGTACTAAGTATGAGTACTGGTATTTCTTAAAACCTATAATGAAATTACAGAAATCTCAGTCTTCCTTGAATACTAATATTCAGTTTTTAACTTATTGAAATAAAATGGAAATAAATATTAGTTAGACTGGAAATTCTTTGTTTTTTTTTTTTTTTTTTTTGAGATGGAGTCTTGCTCTGTCGCCCAGGCTGGAGTGCAGTGGCGTGATCTCAGCTCACTGCAACCTCCCCTTCCCAGGTTCAAGCAATTCTCCTGCCTCAGCCCCCCCAGTAGATGGGATTACAGGTGCGTGCCACCATAACCAGCTAATTTTTTGTATTTTTAGTAGAGACAAGGTTTCACCATGTTAGCCAGGATGATCTGGATCTCCTGGCCTTGAGATCTGCCTGCCTCGGCCTCCCAAAGTTCTGGGATTACAGGCATGAGCCACCACACCCAGCCCTGGAAATTCTTACATGGAAATTCATTTTTAAATGAAAAGGTCTTGAGGGTAACTAATAGATAATTACATCAAACTATCTATTGCAAACCCTGTATTTATCTGACGTTAATTTCCTTCCTTCCTTTCTTTCCTTTCCTTCCTTCCCTTCCTTCCCTTCCTTCCTTCCTTCCTTCCTTCCTTTCTTCCTTCCTTTCTTCTTTCCTTCCTTCCAAATTTCACTCTTGTTGCCCAGGCTGGACTGCAATGGCATGATCTTGACTCACCATAACCTCCGCCTCCCAGGTTCAAGTGATTCTCCTGCCTCAGCCTCCCAAGTAGCTGGGATTACAGGCATGCACCACCACGCCCCACTAATTTTGTATTTTTAGTTAGAGACAGGGTTTCTCCATGTTGGTCTCAAACTCCTTACCTCAGGTGGTCTGCCCGCCTAGGCCTCCCAAAGTGCTGGGATTACAGGCGTGAGCCACTGCGCCCGGCCAATTTTCTTTCTTTTTTTTTTTATTTTGAGACAGAATTTTGCTGTTGTTGCCCAGGCTGGAGTGCAATGGCACGATCTCGGCTCACTGCAACCTCCTCCTCTCAGGTTCAAGAGATTTTCCTGCCTCAGCCTCCCAAGTAGCTGGGATTACAGGCGCCTGCCACCATGCCTGGCTAGTTTTGTAGTTTTAGTAGAGACAGGGTTTTTCCGTGTTGGTCAGGCTAGTCTTGAACTCCCGACCTCAGGTGAATCCGGCCTCCCAAAGTGCTGGGATTACAGGCATGAGCCACCGCACCCGGCCCTGCTATTATATTCTTTACGGTTCTCTCTTAGTCAATTCCTCATCATTCTAGTCCCCTTTTATGCTTTTATAGGTATTCCTTTTTTCTTTCTTTCTTATTTTGAGATGGAGTCTTGCTCTGTTGCCCAGGCAGGAGTGCAGTGGTATGATCTTGGCTCACCACAACCTCTCTCTTTGGGTTCAAGTGATTCTCCTGCCTCAGCCTCCCAAGTAGCTGAGATTACGGCTGCCTACCAACACGCCCGGCTAATTTTTGTATTTTTGGTAGAGACAGGGTTTTGCCATGTTGGCCAGGCTGTTCTCAAACTCCTGACCTCAGTTGATCAGCCCGCCTTGGCCTCCGGAAGTGCTGGGATTACAGGTATGAGCCACCATGCCCAGCCCCCTTTTGTAGGTATTCTTTATGTTAAACTTTCTCTCTTCAAATTACTTTATGCTTTCTCTTTGATGAAAGGACCCTGACTGATAGAGGTAGGTAATGGATCATAAAATCAAATAAGGCTGAACAGAGAATTAAGCCTGGAGTAAAATAAGACAGCCCCAGTGTCATGATATATGGCAGCTGACCTTCAGTGTCAGTGCCTGGGAGTCATTAGGGAGAAGTGAGAACTGTGGGCATCTAAAGGGCACATATCATTTGATGACACCAAATCTTCCTATTTTTCCAAAGCTAGAAATCTGGATTTTTATATGAAGTCTCCTGAATTTTATCCTTTGGCTACTTATTCAAATATTGTATCAGTGCGTGGGCCAAACAACCCATGTTTGTGAGTCTACAAGCCTCTAGACTGCCTGATTTCTAAGCCCTCTGAATGTAGAAGGGGTGGGCAAGCAAGTAGAGGAAGTAAGTTACAGCATGGCAGTGGGGATGGGAGAGACAGAAAAACATTTTGAATTATTACACAACGTCAAAGTGCAGTTGTTTAGAATCACTTAGTAGAGGGGAAAACATCTCTATGTTCACATTAAAGACACTATGTTCTCTAATTTGACTATAGTATAATAATTAATGACACATGTCAACTGATATGTCAGGTTCTACGTTGATTTTAACAGTAACCTTGAAAGGGAAGAATTCTTGTCCTGCTTGTAGATAAGGAAACTGGGCCTCAAGTTTAGTAAGTACAAATCCCCTATTTATATAGGCTTTAATTAAATTAACAATTTTTTAAAAGACGCTGTGGAAAATTTGGAAAATACGGTAACGTATAAAAGGAAAATAAAATTATCTATTATCCAACTGTTCAATTAGAATCACTAATAACATTTTTGTTTCTTTTTTTCTATTTGTTTGCATTTTTAACATAGTTAATTATGGTTGATATGTACCATTTACATTCTCCCTTTTATAACCTGGTAGTATATCATAAGCATTTTCCTTTATTCTTAAAAACTTGTTCTAGTCATTTGTTGTTGTTGTTGTTAAGGCAAGGTCTCACTTTCTTACCCAGGCTAGAGTGCAGTGGCATGTTTGTTTTGGTTCACTGTAGCCTCCGCACCCTGGGCCCAAGCGATCCTTCTACCTCAACCTCCCTAGTAGGTGGGACTCAGGCATGTGCCACCAGGCCCAGCTAATTTTTGTATTTTTTTAGAGGCAAGGTCTCACTATGTTGCCCAGGCTGGTCTCAAACTCCTGGGCTCAAGTAATCAATCGTCTTGTCTTGGCCTCCCAAAGTGCTGGGATTGCCAGTAGGGGACCCTGTGCCCTGCCTTGGGCATTTTAAAAAATGTCCTCATTACATTCAATTATGTACAGAAATTCTTAATATGCATTTAATATGTTTTTACATTTTTGTCATGATAATAGTGTTGCATGAATATTTTCTTGTCTCAAGCATTGAGTGTATTTCAGATTATTTTTTTCAGGGATAGAATGATGGGGATAAAGGGCATGAATGTTCTTCAGAAGGTTCTCAATCTATATTACCAGTTTTTTAAAATGCATTTTTACAACAAATGCAAATAACGCTATATTCTCACAAACATTATCATTATTCATTTTTAAAACTGTACCAATTTCATAGAGGAAAAGGTATATTTACTATTTTAGTCTGCTCGGTTCAGTTGAACTCTTATGTATCAATGATATATTTGTTGGCAATGCTTTTCCAGGTTATTTTTCAATGGATTTTTGTTTGTTTTGGCTTTGTAGTTACATCAAACAATCTTACGGGATTTATATTTATTTCTTTTATGTTTAGAAAGGAATTTTATGCAAAAAGAAAAATAAATTAATCTTATTTTCCAAGATTGGAGGAAATGGCATTAATAAAGTACTTGCTTGTTATTACTGCCTTAGAAGGTGTTAAGTAACCTTGATGTCAAATGAGTTAGGAAATAGGAAGCTTATATGCCCCTGGCAACATGGCAGAATTGTAACTTCGTTCACTGGAACTTTCATTATTCTTGCAGTGGAGGTGCTTAGAAGCTTTTTTTTGCATGCTACTGATGATGTTGAAGACAAGTAATAACAACCCCTACTCTGCTAAGTGCACTAATATATCCTGCTCCTACACAATAATAATACTAGTAGCAGTAGCCCCTTCTTACAGAGGAGGCCATGAAGCCCAGGAAGGTTAAAGACTTGTCCTGTTTCACACAGCTGCTCCTTAGAGCCAGGAAGCTTTTGGGCATCTTGTTTCAGCTGTAAGGACTTGAAGAACCAAATTAGATCTGAGTTTTCTTTATTATCTGTTACTAACACTTAGCAGCAGATAATGTAGTGGCTAAATTGACATTAAGAAATATCTCTTTCTTGAAGCAGGTTTGTTTGTAAGAATATGGGGGAAAACTTTGTTGCCTGAACAAGAGTTACTTCATAGCCTGTGATATTTTATCTCTTCAGTGCCTAAAACTTTGAAGGGATCAATCTTATGATAAGAGATGTACCTTTGATTTTTTTTTTTTTTTAGGAAGCTGTAGTTGACACTTTGACTACTAAAATGGGCATGGCACAAGGAAAATTGAGATAAAATGTTTTCCGTATCAAAAGCTTTTAAAGACTGGATGCGGTGGCTCATGCCTGTAATCCCAGTACTTTGGGAGGCCAAGGCTGGTGGATCACTTGAGGTCAGGAGTTTGAGACCTGCCTGGTCAACATGGTGAAACCCTGTCTCTACTAAAAATACAAAAATTAGCTGGGCATGATGGCACATGCCTGTAATCCCAGCTACTCAGGAGGCTAAGGCAGGAGAATCGCTTGAACCTGGAAGGTAGAGGTCGCAGTAAGCCAGGTTCACACCACTGCATTCCAGCCTGGGTCATAGAGTGAGATTCCATCTCAAAAAAAAAAAAAAAAAAAAACTTTAAAAATTGTTGGCTTGTCTTTAGGTGAACCAATTTGTTGACTGTTTCTGTGAGCAGGGAAAGAAAGACCATTTAATTACCTTGGTGTCTGCCAAGAAATATTAAACTGACTTCAAAGCTTGTGCTGATGGTTAACGGCATAGAGTGCAAGCTGTTGTTTTAATTAATGTATCTAGCAGATCCTTTGGTTCAGTCAGGCTGCAACTGTGAACTTCTAAAATGAGATAACATAAAACCAATGGCATTGCACAGTTCATGCCTCTCCTGAGCAAATACTTCATTTCACTGACAGAAACTGTTGGTTTGGGAACTGTCTTTTGATCTTGAATGACACTTGGAATTTGTAGTTCTCCATTTAAATAAACTTTTTAGTGATTTACCATAAGCAAAAGAAAGAACCTGTCAGCATTTTGTTAACTTTAATATAAACACAACTTGAGATTGAATCCCAAGTTGTGTGAAAGAATACAGCCATACAAATACATGAAGCCACAATTCTAGCGCTTAAAATAAATCAGATTGAGTCTAAAATGATCAGGTAAAGAATTTTTTTTTTTTTTTTTTTGAGACGGAGTCTCGCTCTGTCGCCCAGGCTGGAGTGCAGTGGCGGGATCTCGGCTCACTGCAACCTCTGCCTCCCAGGTTCAAGCGATTCTCCTGCCTCAGCCTCCCGAGTAGCTGGGACTACAGGCACATGCCACCATGCCCAGCTCATTTTTGTATTTTTAGTAGAGATGGGGTTTCACCATGCTGGCTAGGATTATCTCGATCTCTTGACCTCGTGATCCGCCTGCCTCAACCTCCCATAGTGCTGGGATTACAGGCATGAGCAACCGCACCCAGCCTATGGCCCTTTATTAAATGTATTTGCCGGCTGGGCACAGTGACTCACGCCTGTAATCCCAGCACTTTGGGAGGCCGAGGCGGGTGGATCACGAGGTCAGGAGATCGAGACCATCCTGGCTAACACGGTGAAATCCTATCTCTACTAAAAATACAAAAAATTAGCCGGGCATGGTGGCGGGCGCCTATAGTCCCAGCTGCTCAGGAGGCTGAGGCAGGAGAATGGCATGAACCCGGGAGGCGGAGCTTGCAGTGAGCCAAGATCACGCCACTGCACTCCAGCCTGGGCGACAGAGCAAGACTCCATCTCAAAAATAAATAAATAAATAAATAAATAAATAAATAAATAAATAAATAAATGTATCTGCATGCCCCTTGAGTGAAACTATCAATTCTGAATCAACTAATCACTGAAAATTCTTGATATAGTTACAAGGAATATATGAGGTCTATTTCCTGGCACAAATATTCTAAAGAGGTTCCGCTACATTTGTGTAATTGTTTGTATCAGAGCCCAGTGGCCGGTACCAAGTCCCCAGTGCTTTGCTTGGTGGTGGGCATTTAATTCATTCTTTCAATAAATATTTAGGGGAAACTGCTGTGTGCCAGATACTTCCTTATAAATTGAGAATTCAGCAGTAAATTAAAGATCTCTGCCCTGACAGAATTGGTAATTTTGTGGGGAAGGGGTTACAGGGACAAACAGTAAACATAGTGTTGAGTGGATATTTAACTTCATTTGGTAAATAAATGCACTTAATTTCAAAGTGAACTGAAAACAATACAATAGTTTTACCTCACGCTGCCTTTCTTCGAAGGAAATACTGCAAAGCTAGATGATTCATTCAGATTTACCTTGATGGTCTCATCCTACAAACTCAAATTCTTTGTTTCTGAATGTTTGATGGCATTATAATTTCATGTTTGCACTTAGATCAGGGTTTTCCAGCTTTTGGGTTTCATAGATCAGTCATATATTTAAAATTTCAAAGACTCGGCCAGGCGCAGTGGCTCACGCCTGTAATCCCAGCACTTTGGGAGGCCGAGGCAGGCAGATCACAAGGTCAGGAGATCGAGACCATCCTGGCTAACATGGTGAAACCCTGTCTCTACTAAAAATACAAAAAATAAGCCAGGCATGGTGGCAGGCACGTGTAGTCCCAGCTACTCGGGAGGCTGAGGCAGGAGAATGGCATGAACCCGGGAGGTGGAGCTTGCAGTGAGCCAAGATCATGCCACTGCACTCCAGCCTGGGCAACAGAGCGAGACTCCGTCTCAAAAAAAAAAAAAATTTTTTTTCAAAGAATCGATACAGGATTACCTCCTTTTAATTTTGCCATGTAAGGACACTAAAAATAAAAACAAAAACTGTTGTCACCATCATTTCTTAAAAGAAAGGACATTATAACCAAAATTAGGTAGGATATAATCTCAGAATAAAAAATAGATCTTTATATTGAAGAAATAAAGCTTTATGATGTGCTCACTGTATTGTCCTTATTTTATTTTGTCATGAACCATTAGAAACTGTCAATAGAGAAGAATTACAACTATTTATGATTTTGTTTTTTCTCTCGGTGTTGCTGAGGGATTTTGCTGATTCATACTATTTTGAAAGGTTGCATGAATATCATCTTTTTTGGAGATAAATTTTTTTATAATGGATTGTATGTATTATGCTATGCAGTGAGCATTGTCATGGAGTGCAATGCTGAATCTAATCATCCCTGTAACCACTAACTAGCTTAGTCATGTGATCTTGGGCAAATCACTTCTCATCTTTGGCCTTCGATTCTCCATCTATATATTGAGAGAAAATCATTTTTTATATTTTCTCCCAGTTCTTTAATTTGAATTGATAACTTTGGTAGCTAATATCCCTATTTTTAAAACATGGGTCTAAAGATTAATAAAAACCTTTACTGTGGCTTTCTAAAAACTTGCACCAAACTCCTGTTTATATTTCATATTCTTTTTTTTTTTTTTTTTTGAGAGAGGGTATCGCTCTGTCACCCAGGCTGGAGTGCAGTGGCACAGTCTCAGCTCACTGCAACCTCCGCCTCCTAGGTTCAAGCGATTCTCTCTCAGCCTCCTGAGTAGCTGGGACTACAGTTGTGCACCATCATACTCGGCTAAGTTTTGTATTTTTAGTAGAGACAGGGTTTCGCCATGCTGGCCAGGCTGGTCTCGAACTCTTTTCCTGCTTTTAAAACTTATCTCAATGTAGTTTTTCATGTGACCCTAGGGTAGAGTATTATGAAGCACTTGGTAAGTGCCTAGTGAATTGTGGGTTGATCCAGAATTGTGAACACCACTGGTTTCCCCATAATGTTACTGACATAAAATTGTGGTGAATTATTTTTGAGAAGTATCTGAATGGCAGATGAGATTGTTTAAGGAAAATTTTTGGAAGGGCCTTTTAGTATTCGAATTAGATCTCTGACCTTGATTTCAGAGAACTGCCGTGAGGAAAGAAGCCTTGTTAAAACTGAATATTCTAAAATGAATCCTTTCAGAAATCCTGGCTAAGTAAATTACTGCCCAGTTAATTTTTTTATAAATAGATAATTTTATAGAATGAAAGGTACAGATCTTAATATAGGTTGATGAATTTTAGCAAATGTTTACAAATGTAACATCCCAATCAAGATTTAGAACATATCTGTTATTCTAGAAAGTAACCTGATGCCACTTTCCAGTGAATCCCCACTGTGTGGCCACCCTCTCATCACTGGTCACCAGAGGCAGTCACTGTTCTGATTTCAATCTTTATAGATTAGTTTGGCCTGTTTTTAAACTTCATATACATTTATTCATACAGTATATACTCCTTTGTGTAAAGCTTCTTTCACTCAAACATCAGGAAAATGTTTATGAGATTTGTTCATTTATGTGCTGTATGTAGCCGCAGTTTATTCCTTTTTATTACCAAGTGGTATTCCATTGTTTAAATATACCACAATTTGTTTATCCATTCTCCTGTCAATGGACATCTGATCCAGATTGTGGCTATTCTTGATGTAGCTTCTATGAATATTCTTGTACAAGTTTTTTGTGGACATATGTTTTCATTTCTTTTGGGGAAATGAAAAAGGGGAATGCTAGTTTAACTTTATAAGGGACTGCTAATTTTCCAAAGTGGTTGTACCATTTTATGCTGCCACCAGCAATGTGTGAGTTTTCCAGTTGCTCTATATCTTGTAATTATTTAAAGTTGTCAGTCTTTTCAATTTTGGCCATTTTAATGGGTATGAAAAGGTATCTTGCATAGTTTTGATTTACATTTTTCTGATGACTAAATGATGTTGAGCACCTTTTCATGGGCTTATTAGCCATTCATACATCTTTTGTGAAGTGTCTGTGCAGTGTTTTACCCATTTTTAATTGGTTGTTTGTCTTTTATTATTGAGTTGTAGAAGTTCTTTCTACTTCAAATACAAATCCTTTGTCAGCGTCATGGAGTCTGTTCTGCCTCCCAAGCCAGTACCCCAACCACTGGAATACTCTCAGTTTACAAGTACCTAGTAGCCATTCTGAATGTATAAGGGTTGACCTGGCTGTGTGCTGGGGATCAGGGGGGATTCTTCTCTTGCTATATGGCAAGTATTAATTGGTGTTGACGTTGCAGCTTTAGTTTCCCCTTTTTCAATAGATACCTAGATCCCTTTCTTCCTCTCCAAACAAGGAGGGAGTGATGTTTCAACCAGCCTTTCAGCTAAAAAAAACTATTTTCCCATAGAGATAATATTTACAAAAGCTAGTTAGGCTCCCAGCCCCTCAGTCAGAAGTTCAGTAATGTATCAGAGATAATAGAGCTACTGTTTTTGCTAACTAACCTCTTTATTATTATTATTATTATACTTTTAAGTTATAGGGTACATGTGCACAATGTGCAGGTTTGTTACATATGTATACATGTGCCATGTTGGTTTGCTGCACCCATTAACTCGCCATTTACATTAGGTATTTCTCCTAATGCCATCCCTCCCCCAGCCCCCACCCCACGACAGGCCCTGGTGTGTGATGTTCCCCACCCTGTGTCCAAGTGTTACCCCATGACAGGCCCTGGTGTGAGATGTTCCCCACCCTGTGTCCAAGTGTTCTCATTGATCAGTTCCCACCTATGAGTGAGAACATGCTGTGTTTGGTTTTCTGTCTTTCCGATAGTTTGCTCAGAATGATGGTTTCCAGCTTCATCCATGTCCCTACAAAGGACGTGAACTCATCCTTTTTCATGGCTGCATAGTATTCCATGGTGTATATGTGCCACATTTTCTTAATCCAGTCTATCGTTGATGGACATTTGGGTTGGTTCCAAGTCTTTGCTGTTGTGAATAGTGCTGCAATAAACATACGTGTGCATGTGTCTTTATAGCAGCATGATTTATAAGACTTTGGGTATATACCCAGTAATGGGATGGCTGGGTCAAATGGTATTTCTAGTTCTAGATCCTTGAGGAATCACCACACTGTCTTCCACAATGGTTGAACTAGTTTACACTCCCACCAGCAGTGTAAAAGCGTTCCTATTTCTCCACATCCTCTCCAGCATCTGTTGTTTCCTGACTTTTTATTGATCGCCATTCTAACTGGTGTGAGATGGTATCTCATTGTGGTTTTGATTTGCATTTCTCTGATGACCAGTGATGATGAGCATTTTTTCATGTGTCTGTTGGCTGCATAAATGCCTTCTTTTGAGAAATGTCTGTTCATATCCTTTGCCCACTTTTTGATGGGGTTGTTTCATTTTTTCTTGTAAATTTGTTTAAGTTCTTTGTAGATTCTGGATATTAGCCCTTTGTCAGATGGGTAGATGCAAAAATTTTCTCCCCTTCTGTAGGTTGCCTGTTCACTCTGATGGTAGTTTCTTTTGCCGTGCAGAAGCTCTTTAGTTTAATTAGATCCCATTTGTCTATTTTGACTTTTGTTGCCATTGCTTTTGGTGTTTTAGTCATGAAGTCCTTGCCCATGCCTATGTTCTGAATGGTACTGCCTAGGTTTTCTTCTAGGGTTTTTATGGTTTTAGGTGTAACATTTAAGTCTTTAATCCATCTTGAATTAATTTTTGTATAAGGTGTAAGGAAGGGATCCAGTTTCAGCTTTCTACATATGGCTAGCCAGTTTTCCCAGCACCATTTATTAAATAGTGAATCCTTTCCCCATTTCTTGTTATTGTCAGGCTTGTCAAAGATCAGATGGTTTGTAGATGTGTGGTGTTATTTCTGAGACCTCTGTTCTGTTCTATTGGTCTATCTTTCTGTTTTGGTACCAGTACCATGCTGTTTTGGTTACTGTAGCCTTGTAATATAGTTGGAAGTCAGATAGTGTGATGCCTCCAGCTTTGTTCTTTTTGCTTAGGATTGTCTTGGCAATGCGACCTGTTTTTTGGTTCTATATGAACTTTAAAGTAGTTTTTTCCAATTCTGTGAAGAAAGTCATTGGTAGCTTGATGGGGATGGCAGTGAATCTGTAAATTACCTTGGGCAGTATGGCCATTTTCATGATATTGATTCTTCCTATCCATGAGCATGGGATGTTCTTCCATTTGTTTGTGTTCTCTTTTATTTCGTTGAGCAGTGGTTTGTAGTTCTCCTTGAAGAGGTCCTTCACATCCCTTGTAATTTGGATTCCTAGGTATTTTATTCTCTTTGTAGCAATTGTGAATGAGAGTTCACTCATGATTTGGCTCTCTGCTTGTTATTTGTGTATAGGAATGCTTGTGATTTTTGCACATTGATTTTGTATCCTGAGACTTTGCTGAAGTTGCTTATCAGCTTAAGGAGATTTTGGGCTGAGATGATGGGTTTTCTAAATATACAGTCATGTCATCTGCAAAGAGGACAATTTGACTTCCTCTTTTCCTAATTGAATACCCTTTATTTCTTTCTCTTGCCTAATTGTCCTGGCCAGAACTTCCAACACTATGTTGAATGGGAACGGTAAGAGAGGGCATCCCTGTCTTGTGCCAGTTTTCAAAGGGAATGCTTCCAGTTTTTGCCCATTCAGTGTGATATTGGCTGTGGGTTTGTCATAAATAGCTATTATTTTGAGGTACGTCCCATCAGTACCTAGTTTATTGAGAGTTTTTAGCATGAAGAGCTGTTGAATTTTGTCAAAGGCCTTTTCTGCATCTATTGAGATAATCATGTGGTTTTTGTCTTTGGTTCTGTTTATGTGATGGATTATGTTTATTGATTTGCGTATGTTGAACCAGCCTTGCATCCCAGGGATGAAGTCAACTTGGTCTTGGTGGATAAGCTTTTTGATGTGCTGCTGCATTTGGTTTGCATCCTCAGTATTTTACTGAGGATTTTTGCATCGATGTTCATCAGGGATATTGGTCTAAAATTCTCTTTTTTGTTGTTGTCGTGTCTCTGCCAGGCTTTGGTATCAGGATGATGCTGGCCTCATAAAATGAATTAGAGAGAATTCCCTCTTTTTCTATTGATTGAAATAGGGTTTCAGAAGGAATGGTACCAGCTCCTCTTTGTACCTCTGGTAGAATTCAGCTGTGAATCTGTACCTCTGCTAGAATTCGGCCGTGAATCTGTCTGGTCCTGGACGTTTTTTGGTTGGTAGGCTATTAATTATTGCCTCAGTTTCAGAGCCTGTTATTTGTCTATTCAGGGATTCAATTTCTTTCCTGGTTTAGTCTTGGGAGGGTGTATGTGTCCAGGAATTTATCCATGTCTTCTAGATTTTCTAGTTTATTTGCGTAGAGGTGTGTATAGTATTCTCTGATGGTAGTTTGTATTTCTGTGGGATCAGTGGTGATATCCCCTTTATCATTTTTTATTGCATCTATTTGATTCATCTCTCTTCTTTATTAGTCTTGCTAGCGGTCTATCAATTTTGTTGATGTTTTCAAAAAACCAGCTCCTGGATTCATTGATTTTTTTGAAGGGTTTTTTGCATCTCTATGTCCTTCAGTTCTGCTCTGATCTTAGTTATTTCTTGCCTTCTGCTAGCTTTTGAATGTGTTTGCTCTTGCTTCTCTAGTTCTTTTGTGATGTTAGGGTGTCAATTTTAGATCTTTCCTGCTTTCTCTTGTGGGCATTTAGTGCTATAAATTTCCCTCTACACACTGCTTTAAATGTGTCCCAGAGATTCTGGTACATTGTGTCTTTGTTCTCATTGGTTTCAAAGAACATCTTTATTTCTGCCTTCATTTCGTTGTTTACCCAGTAGTCATTCAGGAGCAAGTTGTTCAGTTTCCATGTAGTTGTGCGGTTTTGAGTGAATTTCTTAATCCTGAGTTCTAGTTTGATTGCAGTGTGGTCTGAGAGACAGTTTATTGTGATTTCTGTTCTTTTACATTTGCTGAGGAGTGCTTTACTTCCAACTATGTGGTCAATTTTGGGATAAGTGCAATGTGGTGCTGAGAACAATGTATATTCTGTTGATTTGGGGTGGAGAGTTCTGTAGATGTCTATTAGGTTGGCTTTGTGCAGAGTTGAGTTCAAGTCCTGGATATCCTTGTTAACCTTCTGTCTTGTTGATCTGTCTAATATTGACAGTGGGGTGTTAAAACCTCCCATTATTATTGTGTGGAAGTCTCAGTCTCTTTGCAGTTCTCTAAGGACTTGCTTTATGAATCCGGGTGCTCCTGTATTGGGTGCATATATGTTTAGGATAGTTAGCTCTTCTTGTTGAATTGATCCCTTTACCATTATATAATGGCCTTGTCTCTTTTGATGTTTGTTGGTTTAAAGTCTGTTTTATCAGAGACTAGGATTGCAACCCCTGCTTTTTTTTGCTTTCCATTTGCTTGGTAGATCTTCCTCCATCCCTTTATTTTGAGCCTATGTGTGTCCCTGCATGAGAGATGGGTCTCCTGAATACAGCACACTGATGGGTCTTAACTCTTTATTCAATTTGCCAGTCTGTGTCTTTTAATTGGGGCATTGAGCCCATTTACATTTAAGATTAATATTGTTATGTGTGAATTTGATCCTGTCATTATGATGTTAGCTGGTTGCTTTGCCCGTTAGTTGGTGCAGTTTCTTCCTAGCATTGATGGTCTTTGCAATTTGTTATGTTTTTGCAGTGGCTGGTACTGGTTGTTCCTTTCCATGTTTAGTGCTTCCTTCAGGAGCTCTTGTAAGGCAAGCCTGGTGGTGACAAAATCTCTCAGCATTTGCTTGTCTATAAAGGATTTTATTTCTCCTTCACTTATTAAGCTTAGTTTGGCTGGATATTAAATTCTGGGTTGAAAATTCTTTTCTTTGAGAATGTTGAATATTGGCCCCCACTCTCTTCTGGCTTGTAGAGTTTCTGCTGAGAGATACGCTGTTAGTCTGATGGGCTTCCTTTTGTGGGTAACCTGACCTTTCTCTCTGGCTGCCCTTAACATTTTTTCTTTCATTTCAACCTTGGTGAATCTGACAATTATGTGTCCTGGGGTTGCTCTTCTCGAGGAGTATCTTTGTGGTATTCTCTGTATTTCCTGAATTTGAATTTTGGCCTGCCTTGCTATGTTGGGGAAGTTCTCCTGGATAATATCCTGAAAAGTGTTTTCCAGCTTGGTTCCATTCTCTCCATCACTTTCAGGTACACCAATCAAACGTAGATTTGGTCTTTTCACATAGTCCCATATTTATTGGAGGGTTTGTTCATTTCTTTTTACTCTTTTTTTCTCTAAACTTCTCACTTCATTTCATTAATTTGATCTTCAATCACTGATACTTTCTTCCACTTGATCGAATCAGCTACTGAAGCTTGTGCATGTGTCACGTAGTTCTCATGCCATGGTTTTCAGCTACATCAGGTCATTTAAGGTCTTCTCTACATTGTTTATTCTCGTTAGCCATGCGTCTAATCTTTTTTCAAGGTTTTAAGCTTCCTTGCGATGGGTTTGAACATCCTCCTTTAGCTTGGAGAAGTTTGTTTTTACTGACCTTCTGAAGCCTACTTCTGTCAACTTGTCAAAGGAATTTCCATCCAGCTTTGATCCATTGCTGGCGAGGAGCTGCAGTCCTTTGGAGGAGAAGAGGTGCTCTGGTTTTTAGAATTTTCAGCTTTTCTGCTCTGGTTTCTCCCTGTATTTGTGGTTTTATCTACCTTTGGTCTTTGATGATGGTCACCTACAGATGGGGTTTTGGTGTGGATGTCCTTTTTGTTGATGTTGATGCTATTCCTTTCTGTTTGTTAACAGTTTTCCTTCTAACAGTCAGGTCCCTCAGCTGCAGGTCTGTTGGAGTTTGCTGGAGGTCCACTCCAGATGCTGTTTGCCTTGGTATCACCAGCAGAGGCTGCAGAACAGCAAACATTGCTGCCTGATCCTTCCTCTGGAAGCTTCGTCTCAGAGGGGCACCTGGCTGTATGAGTTGTCAGTCGGCACCTACCGGGAGGTATCTCCCACTTAGGCTACACAGGAGTCAGAGACCCACTTGAGGAGGCAGTCTGTCTATTCTCAGAGCTCAGACACCATTCTGGGAAAACCACTGCTCTCTTCAGAGCTATCAGTCAGGAACGTTTAAGACTGCAGAAGTTTCTGCTGCCTTTTATTCAGCTATGCCCTGCCCCCAGAGGTGGAGTCTACGGAGGCAGGCAGGCCTCCTTGAGCTGCAGTGGGCTCTACCCAGTTCGAGCTTCCCGGCCATTTTGTTTACCTACTCCAGCCTCAGCAATGGCAGACGCCCCTCCCCCAGTCAGGCTGCCTCCTTGAAGTTGGATCTTGGACTGCTGCGCTAGCAGTGAATAAGGCTCCATGGGTGTGGGACTCGCTAAGCAAGGAGCGGGATATAATCTCCTGGTGTGCCGTTTGTTAAGACTGTTGGAAAAGCGCAGTATTTGGGTGGCAATGTCCCGATTTTCCAGGTACAGTCTGTCATGGCTTCCCTTGGCTAGGAAAGGGAAATCCCCTGACCCCTTGCGCTTCCCTGGGTGAGGTGTCACCCCGCCCTGCTTCAGCTCACCCTCCCTGGGCTGCACTCACTGTCCAACCCGTCCCAGTGAGATGAACCAGGTACCTCAGTTGGAAATGCAGAAATCACCTGTCTTCTGCGTCGATCACACTGGGAGCTGCAGACCGGAATTGTTCCTATTCGGCCATCTTGGAATGGACCGCTTGTTTGCTAACTAACCTCTTAAAAGAAACAAACAGATGAAGTTCATGATGTACCATTAAATTATTGAAACTTTTTCATAAACAACATATATAATTATTCCCTTGTGGTTTTGTTTATTTTCAAAAATGGGGTCTCTTTATGTTGCCCAGGCTTGAGTATAATTCAGTGAGATCATAGCTCACTATAGCCTCACCCTCCCCATATCTGGGACAACAGGTACGTACTACCATGCCTGGCTTCTTGTAGTTTTTTATTATTTTTTATTTTTTTAAAGACAGCTCTTACTATGTTGCCCAGGTGGGAGTGCAGTGATTATAGCAGATGTGATTATAGCACACTATAGCCTTGAACTCCTGGGTTTAAACGATCCTCTGCTTCCACCACCCAAGCAGCTGAGACTACAGGTGCACACCACCGGGCCTGGCTCTCCTTGCCGGTTTTTTTGTTTTGTTTTGAGATGGAATCTTGCTCTGTCACCCAAGCTGGAGTGCAGTGGTGCAATCTCTGCTTACTGCAACCTTCACCTGCTGGGTTCAAGTGATTCTCCTGTCTCAGACTCCCAAGTAGCTGGGATTACAGGCACACACCACCACACCCAGCTAATTTTTGTATTTTTGTAGAGACGGGGTTTCACCATGTTGGCCGGGCTGGTCTCGAACTCCTGACCTCAGGTGATCCACCCACCTAGTTGTAGTTTTTAAGATCATTTTTCATACTTCTAAGATCCCAGTAAGTCATATTAGGGTATACTGCTGCTTCAAGAAACTTTGAAACCTAATCTTTTTGTATGACAAGAGGGAGTCCCTCAAACTTGGCTAAAAAGAAGACAATTAGGATTAAGTTGGATTAAAACCACAGAAGAATTTTAGCATTGATGTCTAAATACATTTTTTTCATCGTATGAGTAATACATGTTTATTGTAGGTAAATTATAAATGTTTTAAAAGTTATGTATTTATATATTGCAAGTTATAAATTTTAAGTAAAAAATTGTTAATGTTTAATATAACTTGTTCTACTTATAAATATTTTTTATAAATATGAGATTATCAATACATATTGATTGCCATCAGCTTTTTCCTCATAGCAGCATATTGTGACTTCCTATATCCATTAACATATTTATTTCTTAATTTTTAATGGCTGAGTGGTGTGGTACTCTGATGAAATTTATAGTTTATTTAGCCAGTCTCCTTTATTGGACATTTATTTTCAGGTTTGCATTAGTAATAAGCACAGTGGTCATCTTTGCACAATTCTTTCTTAGGATGAATTTCTAGAAGTAAAATTTCTGGATCAAAGAGTTCACATTTTTGAGGCTTTAAATCTAAATGCCAAACTGTAGTCTCCAGAGGTTGTAGCAATTCACATTCCTTCCAGTATTAAAGTGTACTCATTCTTCCTATCATGGATAGTAGACATTTTCCCAAATCATTGTTAACCTGGTCATTTAAAAAATTTCATCTCAGTCAGGCACAGTGGCTCACGCTTGTAATCTCAGCACTCTGGGAGACCGAAGCGGGCGGATCACCTGAGGTCAGGAGTTGGAGACCAGCCTGGGCAACATGGTGAAACCCCGTCTCTACTGAAAATACAAAAATTAGCCAGATGTGGTGGTGCACGCCTGTAATCCCAGCTACCCGGGAGGCTGAGGCAGGATAATCGCTGGAACTTGGGAGGCGAAGGCTGCAGTGAGCCGAGACCACGCCACTGCCTCAAGCCTGAGCGACAGAGCAAGATTCTGTCTCAAAAAAAAAAAAAAAAAAATTCATCTCTTTGTTTTACTTGGCATTACTCATGCAATTGATCATTTTTCATCTTCGCTGTCTATTGTAGATGTTGGTCTCACAAATGAGCAGCTCACAGTCTTGATTACAGATACTTGAGAAACTTTTTCCCATTAATTAATCAAAGTTTGCAATTATTTCTTTTGCTTTCTCCCCAGGAACGACTGAAGCTGGTGACTGTTTTGGGTGCTGGCCTTCTCTGTGGAACTGCTCTGGCAGTCATCGTGCCTGAAGGAGTACATGCCCTTTATGAAGATATTCTTGAGGGTGAGAAAGGGAAGAGCATTATTTGAGATATGTTATTGACTTGGAGGGTTAGCAGGATGAAGCTTAGTGGTATGTTTTCTGAGCACAGTTCATGTTTACCATAGAGTTCTACCCTGAGAAGATTTGTTGAGAGATATCTTGATATCTTTGATATTGACACATCCTTAGCAGTTTGTCAACTGAATGTCCCAATTCATGAATACCACTTAATGTTTATTTGCCACAGTGCATGAATGAGTCATTTTAAGTTATGACAGTTCTTTTTTAATGCTTACTCAAACACTTCCCAAATCCCACATGATAGTGGCTGCATTTTTTGTTTAATTTAAAAATATATAGATATAAATATTTAAATTTAAGGACCCTTTACAGTAAACTTTATAGATAATTGATGAGGACCCATGCAGTAAAGGATAACTGAAAAAATTAAAGAGGCCTTTCCTGACCCTAATAGCAACAAGCAGAGGGAACAGTATAGCTGTGTGAGAGTAAATGCTTGGTGGTCAGCTTGGCTTACTCACCAGCAAAGTAATTTGGTCCTTCACACAGCTGAAAAGCATACTTGATTCACATTTGTGACTTAGCAAAATCCGATTACTACATGTCATGAAACTTCACAGTTACCTGTGAAGGATTGACACCACAGCTGTTAAATCCATGAGCTGAATCCTCAAGTACCAAGTCTACCAGATGTTAAGAATAGTATAAAGAGGTAGGCACTTCCAAATTTCTTACTAGATACAATATAATAAATACTTTTTCAGATCTTGGTAGAGGAAAAGAACTGTGTCCTTTATCCAGAATGGTGATGCTCTTAGGCCTGGGGTTTGATAGACAAAGAGTTTTGGCAGATATAAATGAGGATTGCAGAAGTGTTGCAAGATAGGACAGGGGCTGAGGAGTGGTCAGCTGCATTGGGGAACAGTAATAAATCAGGAGCCTTAAAGCAGTGGTCTCTACTTTTTTTATGGTCACACATCCTACAGAGGGAGGGAGGAATGATTTACATGCACTATTGCACTGATTTAATGTGTACATTATAAAATACACTCCTAAAACAGGAATATTTTTGAGACCTGAGATTTAAATATACATAGAACAGTATTTTCTTTCATATTCTAGTGGGTCATCTTGAATTTTTCTGGGATGTGATTCCACTATAGAAATCACTATCCTAACATTTGTCCTTTTATGGGTGGCAGTTGTTTTCTAAAGTTGTCTGATAATGAAAATTCCTTGAGGAAGAGGCACATTTTAAAAGTATGATTTCCTGACCTCCAGGAAGGATCCCGGGAATATCTATTTTTAACAAGCTGTCTGCAATTCTTATGAAACAAGTTTCAGAAACACTGGAGTAGAGGAAAGAAGTGCTTCAAGTATAGTTTCTTTGTGTTATTTTTAATATCAATTTGAGATATAATTTACATACCCTGTTTCAGGTATAGTTGGGGGTTTTGGGTTTTTTTTTTTATTTGTTTGTTTTGAGACATGGTCTCACTCTGTCGCCCAGGCTATAGTCCAGTTTTGCCATCACAGCTGAAATCTCTTGGGTTTAAGCAATCCTCCCACCTCAGCCTCCTGAGTAGCTGGGACTATAGTATAGATGCACACTGCTATGCCTGACTAATGTTTAATTTTTTTTTGTAGAGATAGAGTCTCCTTCTGTTGCCTAGGCTGGTTGCCAATTCCGGGACTCAAGCGATCCTCCCAAGTTGGCCTCCCAAAGTGCTGGGATTACAGGTGTGAGACACCTCACCCAGCCCAGGTGTAGTTTAAGACTAAAATTATCTACCGTGTGTTAGGTTGTGTGTAGAGAAAAACTCTCTCTAACCGTGTTTTTCCTGTGCTCTCACACCACAACAATCATAAACACAGAAGAAAAACTTCTGTAACCAGATGCGTGGCAATATCTCCCCACTACCAAGCAGTGGACACCAGCCAGGTGTCCTCCAATTTAATTCTGACGCTGTCTACCTGGAGGCAGTATCAGATCCCACAGATCTAGGGCTCAGTCCCCAAGACTGCTCCCTCCTTCACCCATCACCAGTCGCAAGCCTGGGCCTCTGGAACTTCTGACCAACTGGCTTCAAGTTGGGGTTCCCACAACCCCCTCTTTGGGTTCAGTCAATTTGCAAGAGTGGGTCACAGAACTCAGAGAAACACTTACATTTACCAGTTTACTAAGAATGATATTTTAAAGGATACAGATAAACAGCCAAACAGCCAGATGAAGAAATACAAAGACTAAGTAAGGTATGGAAGGGTCCTGGGTCCTGGAGCTTCTGACCCTGTGGAGTTGGGGTGCGCCACCCTCCTGGCACATGGATGAATTCTTCACCTTTCTATCAGCCTTCATATATGTTCAGCTAGCCAGAAGTTCCCTGAACCCTGTCCTCTTGGGTTTTTATGGAAGTTTCAAGATGTTAGCATTCCTCCCCCAAGGGTTTAGGATCGTACCCTCTCATGGGAGCTTAAGACCCCAAGTCCTGCCTTGGGGCAGGTGAAAAGAGGGCAGGAGAAGGTCAGAAGCCTGCTGTTGAGGCCTAACACACCCAACAGTATAACAAAAGACTGCAACAAAGGCTATGTAAGTTATGAACCAGGAACTGTGGACAAAAACCAATATATACACATAACGTTTGTGTGTGTGTGTATATGTTTGTAAGTGTATAGTGTATATACTATGTATATATGTGTTTACATATATACACATATGTACACACATACACACACACACATACATAAAATAACACCACAGGTTGCATTCCCTTATTTTCAGTTTTCCTGATTTTTGACCCAAAATAATTTTTTTTTTTTTTTTTTTCAGACAGGGACTCACTCTGTCTCCCACGCTGGAGTGCAGTGGTGTGATCACTGCAGCCTTGACTTCCCCAGGTTCAGGTGACCCTCCTACCTCAGCCTCCCAAGTAGCTGGGACTACAGGCTCATGACACCACACCCAGCTAATTTTCAGATTTTTTTATGGAGACAGGATTTCACCATGTTGCCCAGGCTGGTCTCGAACTCCTGGGCTCAAGTGATCCACCCACCTCAGCCTTCCAAAGTGCTGGGATTACAGGTGTGAGCCACTGTACCCAGCCAGAGTAATTTTGTGGTGTCATTTGAAAACAGATTACAAAGTGCTTTATAAGTCTCTTCTGAAAATAAGCATTCTGGTCTCTTTAACCTTTCATCATAGATTAGTTTCCAGCCCTAAGTCATTTAAATTTTTTAAAAAATATTTTCATTTATATATTTATCATTCACACTTTAGGTGTACACATCTACAAGTTTTGACAAATGCATAGAGAGTGATGTTATCACCACTACAATCAAAATACAGAATAGTTTTGTCACCCTAAAAAGTATGCTTGTGCTGTCCATTTGTAATGTTTTCTCCACTCTCAACCCCTGGCAACCACTGATCTCTGTCTATATAGTTTTGCCTTTTCAGAATGTCATAAATGGAATCATGTAACCTTTGGGTCTGGCTTCTTACTTAGCATAATGCATTTGAGGGTCAGTATATGAAGGGAAAATGTGTATTATGGAAAAACTATGCATGGATTTCAAAAAACTTTTTTGCACTAAAATGAACTTGCGCTAACTTGTTATAACATGTCTGAACAGGATCTACTTAGAGGCACTAAGAAGGTTAAGACAGCAGTTTGAAAAGAGCCCATATTGGAGCAACATGAATTCTGCTAAGATAGAAACAAGAATAAACATCAAATTTATGGGGAAGGTTGGGTGTAAGAATGATAAAATCATTGATGGTTTACAAAAAGTTTATGGGGGCTGGGCATGGTGGCTCACGCCTATAATCCCAGCACTTTGGGAGTCAAGGCGGGTGGATCACAAGGTCAAGAGATCGAGACCATCCTGGCCAATATGGTGAAACCCCATCTCTACTAAAAATACAAAAATTAGCTAGGCGTGCTGGCGCATGTCTGTAATCCCAGCTACTGGGAGACTGAGGTAGGAGAATCGCTTGAACCTGGGAGGCGGAGGTTGCAGTGAGCCGAGATTGTGCCATGCACCCCATCCTGGCGACAGAGCGAGACTCTGTCTCAAAAAAAAAAAAAAAAAGTTTATGGGGACAGTGCCCCAAAGAATTCAGCAGTTTACAAATGGCTAACTTGTTTTAAGAAGGGACAAGATGATGTTGAAAATGAAGCCTGCAGCAGCAGACCATCCACACCTATTTTCAAAGAAAAAATTAATTTTGTTCTTGCCCTAACTAAAGAAGACCAACAATTAACAACACAAAAAATAGCCAACCCCATAGCCCTCTAAATTGGTTCAGCTTACACAATTCTGACTGAAAATTTTACACTGAACAAACTTTCCACTCGATAGATGCCAAAACAGTTGTGCCCAGATCAGCTGCAGACAAGAGCAGAACTTTGAATGGAAATGGGACCCAAGTGGGATCAAGATCCTGGAGGTTTTTTTCAAAGAATTGTAACAGAAGATGAAACATGGCTTTACCAACGATCCTGAAGGCAAACCACATTCAAAGCAATGGCTACTGAGAAGTGGAAGTGGTCAGTCAAAGCAGAAGTGGGTCGGTTAAGAGCAAAGGTCACTGGCAACAGTATTTGGGGATGTGCAAGACATTTTACTTGTTGATTTTCTAGAGTGCCAATGAACCATAACATCTGCGTATTATGAGATGCGTATTATGGTTTTTAAAAAGTTACCCAAAGTTTTAGCAGAAGAATGCCCAGAAATGCTTGATCAGAGTCCTCCACCACGACAATGTTCCTGCTCATTGCTCTCATCAGACAAGGGCAATTTTGCCAGGTTTTCAATAGGAAAGTTTTGGGCATCAGCTTTATAGTCCTGATTTGGCTCCTTCCAACTTCTTTTTGTTTCCTAATCTTAAAATCTATAAAGGGTACCCATTTTTCTTCAGTTAATAATGTAAAAAAGACTGCATTGACATGGTTAAATTTCCAGGACCCTCAGTTATTTAGGGGTGAACTAAATAGCTGGTATCATCATTTACAAAAGTGTCTCACACTTGATAGAGCTTATGTTCAGTAATAATGTTTATATTTTTAAATTTTTTTAATCTTTTAATTCCATTTTTCCACAAGCTTTTTGAAGTCCCCTTATATTCTGTGTATCAATAGTTTGTACCTTTTTTTTTTCTGAGTGGTATTTCATTGTTTGCATGAACCATGTTTGGCTATTCCTTCACCAGTTGGAAGATGTATATATGGGTGGTTCCTGGTTTGGGTGACTATGAATAAAGTCACTATTAATGTACTGGTTGTTGTATGAACATGAGTTTTTATTTTTCTTGCATACTTACAGGTGCCAGCCTGGGCAACATAGTGAAACCCTGTCCTTACAAAAAATTAGCCACGCATGGTGCCTCACACCTGTAGTCCCAGTTACTCGGGAGACTGAAGTGGGGGGATTGCTTGAGCCTGGGAGGCAGAGGTTGCAGTGAGCTGAGATTGTGCCACTGCACTCCAGCTTTGGCATCAGAGCAAGACAAAAGAATACTTGCAAGTAGGATTGCTGGGTCACATGACAAATATATGTTTAATTTCATAAAGAAACTGACAAACTCTTCCTAAAGTGGCTGTAATATTTTGCATTCTCATCAATAATAGATGAGAGTTCCAGTTCTCCCCTTCCTTGTCAACACTTAGTGTTGTCTGTTTTGTTTTAGTTTTTTATTTTAGCCATTCTAATAGCAGCATAGTGATATCTCAGTGTGGTTTTAATTTGCATTTCCCTGTGATGATGCTGAACATCTTTTCATATGCTTAATTGCCATTGTTATAGCTTCTGTGGTGATAGCAAACATTTTGTTCATTTTAAAAATTGAGTTTCCTTATTACTGAGTTTTGAGAGTCCTTTATATATTCTAGATACAAGTCCTTTATCAGATACATGTTCTGCAAACATTTTCTCCTAGTTCATGGCTTATCTTTTCATTCTCTTAACAGTATCTTTTAGAGAGCAGTTTTTAATTCTGATGAAGTCCAATTTATCAGTTACTTCTTTTGAGATTTTGCTTTTGGTGTCATATCTAAAACCCCTTGCTGAGCCCGAATTCACAAAGTTATTCTCTTTTGTTTTCTTCTAGAACTTTTATGATTTTCAGTTCTACATTTAATCCTATGATCTATTTTGAATGCAGGTGAAAGTTCATTTTTTGGCATATGGGTGGATATTCAGTAGTTCTAACACTATTTTTTGAAAAAAAATCCCTTCTCTATTGAATTATCTTTGCACTTTTGTCAAAAATCAATTAACTGTGTTTGTGTTGGTCTATTTCTGGATTCTCTGTTCTGTTTTATTGATCTGTATGTTTACCTTTTACCAGCACTACGTTGTCTTGATGTAGCTTTATAGCAAATCTTGAAATCAAGTAGTGGAGTCCTTCTTTGTTCTTATTTTTCTTTCTTTTTTTTTTTTTTTCTTGAGACAAGGTCTCACTCTGTCACCCAGGCTGGAGTGTGCAGTGGCATGATCATAGCTCACTGTGACCTTGAACTCCTGTGCTCAAACAATCCTCCCACTTCAGCCTCTCCAGCAGCTAGGACTACAGGTGCATGCCACCATGTCTGGCTAATTATTTAAACTGTTTATATAGAGACAGCCTCACTCTGTTGCCCAGGCTGGTCTTGAACTCCTGGGCTCAAGTGACCCTCCTACCTTGGCTGGGGTTATAGGTGTGAGCCACCCCAGCCAGCCCACTTTGTTCTTATTTTTGAAAATTGTTTTGGCTTTCCATAAACTTCTTTGCCTTTCCATAAACATTTTAAAATCAGCTTGTCAAATATCTATGGAATAAATCATGCTGGGATTCTAACCAAGATTAATCTATAAATTTGGGGGAGAATAGACATCTTAAGAATATTGTATTTTCCAACCCATGAGCCCAGTGTATCTCTCCATTTATTTAGATCTTCTTTGATTTATTTCATCAGTGTTGTAATTTTAGCATACAGATCTGCAGATAGTTTATTGATTTATGCCTAAATATTTCATGTTTTTAGTAATTGTAAATAATACTTTTATAATGTTTTCAATTTCTAGTATTCTAGTATATAAAAAGTTCTAATATAAGAAATTTCATTACGTATAGGCACTTTTTTGTAGATTCCTTGGGATTTGCTACGTAAATAATCATGTCGTCTGTGAATAGGGACAGCTTAACCTTTTCCTTTCCTATCTGCCTTTTTTTTTTTTTACCTTCCTTATTGCATTGACTAGACTATCCATTATGAGATTGATTAGGGATGAAAATGAACATTCTTGCCTTACTTTCATTCAGTCTTTCACCATTAAATATGAGGTTAGATATAGGTTTTTTATGGATTCCCTGTTTCTCTTTTTTTTTTTTCAACTTTTATTTTAGATTCAGGGGGTACATGTACAGGTTTGTTACCTGGGTCTATTTCACGATGCTGAGGTTTGGGGTACAAATGATCCCATCACCCAGGCACTGAGCATACCAATAGTTTTTCACCTTTTACTGTCTTCCTTTCCTCCCCTTCTAGTAGTCCCCAGTTTCTATTATTGCCATCTTTATGTCTATGAGTACCTGATGTTTAGTTCCCACTTGTAAGTGAGAACATGTGGTATTTGGTTTTCTGTTCCTGCATTAATTTACTTAGGATAATAGCATCCAGCTTCATCCTCCTTGCTGCAAAGAACATGATTTCATTCTTTATATGGCTGAATGGTATTCCGTGGCGTATATGTACCACATTTTCTTTATCCAGTCCACCGTTGATGGGCAACTAGGTTGATTCCATGTCCTTGCTATCGAGAATAGTGCTGTGATGAACATAAGAGTGCATGGTGTCTTTTTGGTACAGTGATTTGTTTTCTTTTGGATAGATATGCAGTAACGGGATTGCAGGGTTGAATGTTAGCTCTGTTTTAAATTCTTCGAGAAATCTCCAAAACTGCTTTCCACAGTGACTGAACTAATTTACATTCCCATCAACAGTGTATAAGTGTTCCCTTTTCTCCCTAGCCTTGCCAGCATGTTGTTTTTTGACTTTTTAATAATATCCATTCTGATTGGTGTAAGATGATATCTTATTTTGGTTTTGATTTGCATTTCTCTGCCGATTAGTGATTTGGAGTGGTTTTTCATGTTTGTTGGCAGCTTATATGTCTTTTTGAGAAGGGTCTGTTTATGTCTTTTGCCCATTTTTTAATGTGGTTGTCTTTTACTTGTTCCGTTTTTTAAGTTCCTTATAGATTGTGGATACTAAACCTTTGTCAGATGTGTAGTTTGTGAATAATTTCTCCTATTCTGTAGGTTGTCTGTTTATTCTCTTGATAGTTTACTGTGTAGAGGCTGTTTAGTTTTATTAGGTCCTACTTGTCGGTTTTTGTTTTTGTTGCAATTGCTTTTGAGGACTTAGTCATAAATTCTTTCCCAAGGCTGATGTCCAGAGTGGTTTCCTAGGTTTTCTTCTAGGATTCTTATAGTTTGAGGTCTTACATTTAAATCTTTAATCCACCTTGAGTTAGTTTTTGTATTTGGTAAAAGGTAGGGGTCCAGTTTCATTCCCCTGGATATGGTTAGCCAACTATCCCAGCACCATTTATTGACTAGGGAGTCCTCCATGGTCACTTTGTTGAAGATCAGATGGCTGTCAGTATATGGCTTTATTTCTGGGTTCTCTGTTCTGTTCCATTGGTATATGTGTCTGTTTTTCTACCAGGACCACACTGTTTTGGTTACTATAGTCTTATAGTGTAGTTTGAAATCAGGTAATGTGTTGCCTCTGGCTTTGTCCTTTTTGCTTAGGATTGCTTTGGCTATTTGGTCTGTTTTCTGGTTCCATATGAATTTTAGAATAGTTTTTTTTAGTTCTGTAAAAAATGATGTTGGTAGTTTGATATAACATTGAATCTGTAGATTGCTTTGGGCAGTATGGCCATTTTAATGATATAAGGAAGTTCCATTCTGTTCCTAGTGTGCTGAGAGTGTTTATCTTGAATGGTTGTTGAATTTCATCAGGTGCTTTTTTCAGTCTGTTAATGGAGTGAATTGCAGTGATTGATTTTCAAATGTTGAACTAGACTTGCATATACCCACCTCCTAGTTATTATATATAATTCTTTTTATATGCTGCTGGATTCAATTTACTAATATTTTATTAAGGATTTTTGTGTTTCTGTTCATGAAGAATACTGGCCTGTGGTTTTCCTTTCTAACAACATCTATGTATGGTTTTATCAGGGTAATGCTGGCCTCTTAGATTTGGGAAGTGTTCCCTTCTCTTTTATATCCTAGAAGAGAATATATAAAATCAATAATATTTCTTCCATAAATATTTGTTAGAATTTATTAGTGAATTTGCAATCTTGGCCTGGCATTTTCTATGATGGAAGGTTATTAACTATGAATTCAGTTTTTTAAATAGATAGATATAGGACTGTTCAAGTTACCTGTTTCTTCTTGAGTATGCTTTGGAAGTTGTGTCTTTCAAGTAATTGATTTATTTCCTCGTACTTTTTAAAGTTTCTTTAGGTGAAGCTCATTGATTTGAGGTTTCTCTTCTCTTCTCTTGTCTTCTCTTCTCTTTGCTTTTCTTTCTTTTCTTCTTTCTTTGAGGCAGGGTCTCACTTTGTCGCCCAGGCTGGGTACAGTGGCACAGTCTCAGCTCACTGCAACCTCCACCTCCCAGGTTCAAGTGATTCCAATGCCTCAGCCTCCCAAGTAGCTGAAACTACAGGCATGTGCCACCAGGCCTAGCTAATTTTTGTATTTTTAGTAGAGACGGGGTTTCACCATGTTGGCCAGGCTGGTCTCAAGCTCCTGGCCTCAAGTAATCCTCCCACCTCGGCCTCCCAAAGTGCTGAGATTACAGGCATGTAATTCTTTTCTTTTCTTTTTTTTTTTTTTTTGCGCGACAGAGTCTTGCTCTGTTGCCCAGACTGGAGTGCAGTGGCATGATCTCGGCACACTGCAACCTCCATCTTCCGGGTTCAAGCAATTCTCCTGTCTGAGCCTCCCAAGTAGCTGGGATTACAGGCGCCCACCACCGCGTCCTGCTAATTTTTGTATTTTTAGTGGAGACAGGGTTTCACCATATTGGTCAGGCTGGTCTTGAACTCCTGACCTCAGGTGATCCACCTGCCTCGGCCTCCCAGAGTACTGGGATTACAGGCGTGAGCCACCACACCTGGCCTATTCTTTTCTAAGAATTTAGGCTAGGCATGGTGGCTCACGCCTGTAATCCCAGTACTTTGGGAAGCTAAGGCAGCTGGATAACTTCAGACCAGGAGTTTGAGATTAACCTGAGCTACATATGAAGACCCTGTATTTACAAAAAAATTTGAAAAATTAGGTGGGCGCAGTGACTACAGAAAAATTAGGTGGGCGCAGTGACACACACACCAGGAGGCTGAGGCTGCAGTGAGCCATGCCATGATTATGCCGCTGCACTCTAGGCTGGGTGAAAGAACAAGACCCTCCCTGAAAAAAGAAAAAAGAATTTAATGCTATAAATTTCTTTCTAAGCACTGCTTTATTTGCATCTCAAAATTTTAGTGTGCTATATTTTTATCTTTATTTAGTTCAAAATATTTTCTAATTTTTCATGCAACTTCCTCTTTTACCCGTGTGTTACTTAGAATTGTGTGATTTAATTTGCAAATTTTTGAGTGGTGGTTTTTAAAATTTGGTTGGTTGCTTGGTTTTGCCCCCGATTCTTTCTGTTACTGATTTCTAGTTTAACTTTATTATGGTAAGAAAATATACTTAGTATGATTTGAAAACTTACAGATTTGTAAATGCTTTTTTAATGGTCCAGAATATGGTTTATCTTGTGGAACGTTCCATGCACACTTGAAAAGAATGTACATTCTCTTGTTCTGTAAATTTCAAGTCAAGTTGTTTGGTCTTCTATATCTTTGCTGATTTTCTGCTTCTATTACTAAGACAGGAGTATTGAAGTCTTCAAATATGATTGTGGATTTATCTGTTTCTCTTCATTTCTATTAGCTTTTGCTTTATGTATGTTGAAGCTCTTTGGTTAGGTACCTACATGTTTAGGAGTGCTATGCCATGGTGAATTGACCTTTTTAATCATTGTGCAATATCCCTCTTTATTCCTGGTAATATTTCTTGTTCACAAGTCTACTTCATCTAATTTTAATATAACCATTCAGTTTTCTCTTGATCAGTGTTTCCATGGTTATATCTTTCCCTTCTATCCTTTTATTTTTAGCCAGTGCCATTCATTTAAAGTGGACTTCTTACAGATGGCATATAGTTGTATCATTTTTTTTAAACTCTAGTTTGACAACCTCTGTCTTCTAATTGATGTGTTTAGACGAGAGATTAGCAAACTTTTTCTGTAAAGCATCAGATAGTAAATATTTTAGACTTTGTGAGCCACGTGATCTTAATTTGTACTTCTTACCTCGGCCATTGTAGCCAGATTCCCTGATTCTTTCCTCTGTCCTTTCCAGTCTACTATTTTCTTTTTTTTTTGAGACAGGGTCTTGCTCTTTTGCCCAGGCTGGAGTGCAGTGGTGTGATCTGGGTTTGCTGCAACCTCTGCCTCCCGGGTTCAAGCGATTCTCCTGCTTCAGCCTCACAAGTAGCTGAGATTACAGGGGTGTGCCACCACGCCTGGCTTATTTTTGCATTTTTAGTAGAGACAGGATTTCACCATGTTGCCCAGGCTGGTCTGGAACTCCTGACCTCAGGTGATCCACCTGCCTTGGCCTCCAAAAGTGCTGGGATTATAGGCGTGAGCCACTGTGCCCAGCCATTTCCAGTCTATTATTGATCTCATCCAGTGAATTTACTACTTTAGATATTATATTTTTCAGTTCTAAAATTTCCAGTTCGTTTCTTTTTATAAGTGTCTGTTTCTCTGCTGAGGATGTTCATTTATTTGAGGAATTTTTACCTTTCGGCCAGGCGCAGTGGCTCACGCCTGTAATCCCAGCACTTTGGGAAGCTCAGGTGGGGGAGGATCACTTGAGTATAGGAGTTCCAGACCAGCCTGGGCAACATAGCAAGACCCTGTCTCTATTTTTTAAAAATTATTTTTCCAAAAGTATGTTATTTTTAGCTTAGAGAACATAGTTAGAGTAGCTGCTTTAAGTAAGTCTTTGAATGTTCCAGTATCTGAGTGATCTGTGGGTTGGGTTGATTGTCTTTTCCCTCGGTAATTGGTCAAAATTTCCTGTTTCTTTGTATGTCAAATAACTTTTGGTTGTATGCTGGACATTTTGAATATGATAACTTGAGAATCTGAGTCCCGTCAAAATCTCTGGAGAATGTTTATTTCTTTTGTTTTAGCAGGAAGTTAACCTATTTAGATTCAGCCTAAAAGTTCTGTTTTGTTTTTGTTTTTTGTTTTTTGGATGATGGTTCTCATTTTAGCTGAGTTTTCAAAGCCTTTACAATGCTGCTTTGGCTATGTCCTGTGTATACTGAGTTCAGGGGTGAGCCTGGGACTTGTGCCGTTTATACATAGGATTAAAGAACCCCTCTCTCAGCTCTTTCCTCTCCAGTGTTCCTTCCACATTGTTTTGCAAACAGACCCCATTTTCCTGGTCCTCTGTCAAGAAAGACAAGGTTTCTCTATAGAGCTGTGGCTGCATGCAACACTACATGTGTTGCCACCACATAGTTCCATGTGACTTGGGCTTCTATCAAAAGAAAGTAACAGCAGAAAAGGCAGAACAGCATAACCAGGTTTCCCCCATACACTTCAGACCACTGGGATCCCTTGCTAGCTCCGCCTCCCGGGTTCATGCCATTCTCCTGCCTCAGCCTCCCGAGTAGCTGGGACTACAGGTGCCTGCCACCACACCCGGCTAATTTTTTGTATTTTTAGTAGAGACGGGGTTTCACCATGTTAGCCAGGATGGTCTTGATCTTCTGACCTCATGATCCACCTGCCTCGGCCTCCCAAAGTGCTGGGATTACAAGCGTGAGCCACCGCGCCCGGCCTGGGATCCCTTTTTCTATTTGCTCTGGCCAGAAAGATGGGGTTTTAACTGCCTTTGTTGCCACCATGCAGTTCTGCAACTGGGGCTGCCTTAAAGGCAGGACCAGGAAAGAAAAAAGAGGAGGTAGAGAAAAAAAGGGGAGACTTTCCTGTACTTCACTACCTCTTAGCAACCTCTTTTCCTGGTCCTTTGGCCGGAAAGACAGGGTTTTTCTAGAAGTTTTTGCTGCCTTGCCTTCACTTGCTGTTGTTTACTTTTTGTAGTCCTGAAGTAGTTGTTTTTTGGTGTGTTTTGTCCAGTTTTTGTTGTAATCAGTGGGTGATTGACGTCAAAATGCTCTTACTGTAACATGGCCAGCATCAGATGTCTCCAACATTCCTTTTAAAATGTAAAATGTTAATACCTCTGTTAAAGAAGTTTTTTTGTTTGTTTTTTTTTTTTTGAGACGGAGTCTCACTCTGTCGCCCAGGCTGGAGTGCAGTGGCACCATCTCAGCTCATTGCACCCTCCACCTCCCGGGTTCAAGCAGTTCTCTGCCTCAGCCTCCCAAGTAACTGGGATTATAGGTGCCTGCCATCATGCCCAGCTAATTTTTGTATTTTTAATAGAGATGGGTTTCACCATCTTGGCCAGGCTGGTCTTGAACTCCTGACCTCGTGATCCACCTGCCTCAACCTCCCAAAGTGCTGGGAAGAGTAACTCAAAAAAATCTGTGAAGTAACTTAACCATGATATTACCTTTCAGCTAAGCTGTCTCCAGATTTTTTACATCTTTCTTCATACTGATGAGTTTAGACATATCATTGTAATTTTGTTTTTGCTGCTTTACTCTCTCTTTTCTTACCCTCTTCCCTTACCCTTTTTTTTTTTTTTGAGACAGAGTTTTGCTCTTGTCACCCAGGCTGGAGTGCAGTGACACCATCTCGGCTCACTGCAACCACCGCCTCCTGGGTTGAAGTGATTCTCCTGCCTCAGCCTCCCTAGTAGTTGGGATTACAGGCACCTGCCACTAGGCATAGCTAATTTTTGTATTTTAGCAGAGACGGGGTTTCACCATGTTGGCCAGGCTGGTCTTGAACAACTGACCTTAGGTGATCCACCTGCCTTGGCCGCCCAAAGTGCTGGGATTACAGGCATGAGCCACCGCGCCTGACCCCCCTCTTTCTTTATTGTAGACCAAAACAACTTTTCTTCGTACTTCAAGAAAGACGTTTGTATACATGTTACTACAGCCTATGGTTTCGTTCTTCTGTGGACCTTATAATTATAATACATTGTTTTCAGAACTCAGTATATCATGTTAACTAAGTGCTCTGATGCTTTAATAAGCATTATTAAATACTAATTAATGTAAAAAGGAACCTCTTACTCTTCTGTAATTATAGCTCTAAAATCACTGGAATTAGATGATTATCAGCTTTCACGTAAAAAAAAACTGTCTATAGAAACAAGTTTTAAGAACTTCAAAGATTGTTGGGTAATGCAGCACTTTACTGTGCAGCCAAAATTTGAAAACATCTCAAAATTCTTTGGACTGTTAGAATTGGTATGTTTAGGAAGGTAGACTATTGGGTCAAAGATGAAAATATAAATGTGATGTATTGTCAAAACTGCTATTGTCAGCCATGGCTCAATGTAGATTATCCCACTCATTTTTATCAGTTCTGTAAGAATGCCATGTATCAGATTCTTTATAGAGGTATGATTAACTGTGGCTTTTTCTGTCACTTTACTCTACATTAAATAAAATATAGGGGGCCCTAGCCAGAACAGTCAGGCAGACAAAAAAGATAGAAGGCATTCACATTGGAAAGGAAGAAGTAAAGTTGTCTCTGTTTTCAGGTGAGATGATCTTATGCATAGAAATACCTAAGGATTCCACACACAAAAAAATTAGAACTAATAAACAAATGCAGTTAAGTTGCAGGATACAAAATCAGCATACAAATATCAGTTGCATTTTTATACACTAACAATGAACTATTTGAAAAAGAAACTATGAAAACAATTTCATTCATAATAGCATCAGAGGGGGAGGGAAAGCATTAGGAGATATACCTAATGTAAATGAGGAGTTAATGGGTGCAGCACACCAACATGGCACATGTATACATATGTAACAAACCTACACGTTGCGCACATGTACCCTAGAACTTAAAGTATAATTTTTAAAAAAATAATAATAGCATCAGAAAATAAAATAAAATAAAATACTTGGGCATAAATTTAACCAAGGAGGTAAAAGATCTATATGCTGAAAACTATAAAACATTGATTTAAAAAATTGGAGAAAATATAAGTAAGGTATTCTGTGTTCATGAATTGGAAGAATTAATATTGTTAAAATATCCGTAGTACCCAAAGTGATCTACAGATTTAATGCAACCCCTATCATAATTCCAGTGGCATTTGCTATGGTTTGGATATTTGTCCCCTCCACATCTAGTGTTGAAACTTGATCCCAGTGTTGGAGGCGGGGCCTGGTGGGAGGTGTTTGGGTCATGAGGGTGGATCCGTCATGCACATATTGGTGCTATCCCCTTGCTGATGAGTGAGTTCTCCCTCTATAATTTAACAAGAGAACTGGTTGTTTAAAAGAGCATGGCACCCCTCCCCTCTCTCGTCTTGTGAAATACTGACTCCTCTTCCCCTTCTGCAATGATTGGAAGCTTCCTGAGATCCTCAGATTCGTGCTTCTTGGACAGCCTGCAGAACTGTAAGCCAAATAAACCTTAATAGAACGATCCTAAAATTCATATGTAACCACAAAAGGCCCTGAAGCCGGGGTAATTTATAAAGGTCAATTAAAGAGGTTTAGTTGACTCACAGTTCAGCATGGCTGGGGAGGCCTCAGGAAACTTACAATCGTGGCGGAAAGCAAAGGGGAAGCAAGGCACCTTCTTCACAAGGCCGCGGGAAGGAGAAGTGCTAAATGAAGAGGGGAAGGGCCCCTTAAAAACCATCAGATCTTGCAAGAACTCACCATGTAGTACACCTGTAAACCCAGCTACTCGGGAGGCTGAAGCATGAGAACCACTTGAACCCTGGAGGCACAGGGTTGCAGTGAGCCGATATCATGCCACTGCACTCCAACCTGGGTACAGAGTGAGACTCTGTCTCAAAAACATAAGAATAGTGTCAGGCACGGTGGCTCAAGCCTGTAACCCCAGCACTTTGGGAGGTCAAGGTGGGCGGATCACTTGAGCTCAGGAGTTTGAGACCAGCCTGGGCAACATGGCAAAACTACATCTCCACAAAAACAATATAAAAATTAGCAGGACTTGGTAGCTCACATCTGTAGTCCAGATTCTTGGGGGACTGAGGTAGGAGGATGACTTCAGTCCAGGAAATGGAGGTTACTGTAAGCTGAGATTGCACCACTGTAGTCTAGTCTGGGTGAAAGGGCCATACCTGTCTCAAAAAGAAAGAAAGAGAGAGAGACAGAGAAAGAAACAGAAGAGTACATTGTAACTGTTGTAAGGTTGGATATTATTTTGTGAAACTGTTTTGTTTTGTTTTGTTTTTTTGAGACAGAGTCTCCCTCTGTTGCCAGGCTGGAAGGCAGTGGCGTGATCTCGGCTCACTGCAACCTCCGACTCCCTGGTTCAAGCGATTCTCCTGCCTCAGCCTCCTGAGTAGCTGGGATTACAGGCACGCGCCACCGTGCCCAGCTAGTTTTTGTATTTTTAGTAGAGACGGGGATTCACCATGTTGGCCTTGATCTCCTGGCCTCGTGATCTGCCCCCCTTGGCCTCCCAAAGTACTACGATTACAGGCATGAGCCATTGCACCTGGCCTGTTTTGTTTTGTTTTTAAGAGACAGGATCTCTAGGCTGGACACAGTGGCTCATACTTGTAATCCACCACTTTGGGAGGTCAAGGTGGGAGGATCACCTGAGCCCCAGATTTCAAGACCAGCCTAGGCAACATAGGGAGACCACATTTCTACAAAAAAATTTTCAAATTAGCTGGTTATGGTGGTACTTGCCTGTGGTTTCCCAGTTACTTGGGAGGCTGAGGTAGGAGGATTGCTTGAGCCCGGGAGGTCGAGGGTGCAGTGAGCCATAATTGCACCACTGCTGTACTCCAGCCTGGGTGAAAGATGAGACCTTGTCTCAATTTTTAAAGAAGGCTTAAACTGCTTAATCTGATTATAAATGATAAATGTCTAGTATGTTATTCTCTATTCATGAAATATAGCAAAGATAAGCTTTTTGGCCTTTTGAAGCATTTATGTTTTAAATGACAAATATGTTACTGTAAACTGGGATTATCAGCTGGCCAGGTATCATTTACTGCAGTTCAGAGTCTCCCAACCTCCATATTTCTAGAACTGAATTTAGACTGAAGGATGTGCCTCTTAAACTGCTCTGCCCTTTTGGTTTCTTGCTGGCAATTGTCTGCTGATATTTTATAAAGCTAAAAATTTTCTACTCAATTTGTTCCTTATTTTACATTTTTATCTCAGCCTAGGTATAAACTAGATGAATTTGATTGCAATTATTTTCATTGTTACTGCTCTTCATTTGCCTATTTTCATCAGAAAAAAACAGTGTATTTTCTGGTGAGATTGGCATGAATTTCTCAGATAAAGGAATATTTGGGGATGGTGTCCCTTTGGGAATATGATTGCTTTCTTGCATGGTGATTTGCTTCCACTTCCCAGGTGTTGAGAATAATAGGCAGTCAGAAGGTCTGCATGCCAAAGGCAGAAGACATTTGGGAATTTTTTCATCATGAACTTTAAGTTGAAGGAGTTAATGATTGGCTGGATTACAATATAAAAAGTGGATGTCTTTACAGTAAAGTAAGTAGAGCTTGAAATACAAAGAATGGAAACTCCTACATGAAAATGTTTTTAGGGGAAAAACATATTTTCTCTTTATGGTTTATTCTGCTCTAGGAAAACACCACCAAGCAAGTGAAACACATAATGTGATTGCATCAGACAAAGCAGCAGAAAAATCAGTTGTCCATGAACATGAGCACAGCCACGACCACACACAGCTGCATGCCTATATTGGTGTTTCCCTCGTTCTGGGCTTCGTTTTCATGTTGCTGGTGGACCAGATTGGTAACTCCCATGTGCATTCTACTGACGGTGAGTGGCTCCAAGGCTTTCTGGGCAGTGCAATACATTTGCAGTTGAGAAAGTTACAAACGATCAAATATTTCAGTCTGTATCAGTGGCCATATTTAGTGCTAAAACTCTTGTCTTCCTTGGGTTCTAGTGAACATTTAACTAAGTGGGGAGAGCTAGTGAGTTGTGGCATGTGGCGCAAAGAAGTGTTTATTGGTTTATTACTTTGCTTGTCTTAAAGTTGTCACATTTGGTTGAGAGTCTAGGGCAGAAGTTCTTAACTTAGTTTTTTGCTGTGGAGCCCTTAGGCAGTCTAAAGACTGTGGACCTTTTATTGGAATATTGTTTTTAAATGTATAAAACATAGTACATAAGATCAAAGAGAAAACCACCTTTGTTGAAATACAGTTACTAAAACATCAGAACAAATTTGTGATATAGTAATGTATGTCTTTATCAGTGCATTAAATAATGAGATAATACATTTAAATCCTAAACAAGTTAGAGTTGAATTTTATTTTCTAGGACATTAGTATGCTAGCTATTACATAATAATATGCTTGGCTTAAGAACATTAAATTATGAGGTAGTCTGTAACAAGGCAACATGTATGTCAAGTTAAACATCTAGTTGATTTTGGGTTTTTGTTTTGATGGTTATTGGTGTAGAAAATCTTGATTTACAAAGGTATTTTCTTACAAATGTACCTAAACACATTTGTAGCTTGCTTTTTAAGGAATCATAAGCTTCTCTAAAGGACAACTAGAATTCCCCAAGACTTTTCAAATTTGACTCCAGTCATAGTAACTGTTTTGTTTTAAGATCAATGAATTTATCTTTGGCTAGGTCAACATTTTTCATACGATTTATATTAATAAAAAAGGATTCTGATACATGATACACTTCGATCCTGTGGTGATAGAAATAAATTTGAGAGTTATAAAACTTCTCCAGGGATTGATGTGTAGACATATTTTTTCAGATATGTCAGCAGGGAATTTTGCAGATAGGAAATATTGGAAAGCAGCATAAGTATCTTGGTCCCCAATGGGAGAGCCTTGTGACTATCACTGTTTGGTGGCTGAGTGACTGTTAGATGCAGAGCTACTTGATAGTTGCCCAGCTCCATCACATGAGCATCTGCAGACAGGAAAGCTGTAATCATGCAGTATGGCAGCAGTTCTATAAGTCCTTAATTTAAAGTAGTGATGAGTGAAAGCGATAATTTAAAGATAATCTACAACTGTAAAATAACCTGATTAGTCTGATTTCTACTGGCAGTAAAGATAGTGCTGATATTACTTGTGGTTTATTGTCTGCATTCATAATTAAAGGAAATGAGGGGGCAGTCACCATGACTCACCTGTAATCCTAGCACTTTGGGAGGCCAAGATGGGCGGATCCTTTTGAGTTCAGGAGTTTGAGACCAGCCTGGGCAACATGGCAAAACTCCATCTCTACAAAAAATACAATAATTAGCTGAGCATAGTGGTACGCACCTGGAGTCCCTGCTACTGGGGGACTGAGGCGGGAGGAACGCTTGAGCCCAGGAGGTTGAGGCTGCAGTGAGCTGAGATCACGCCACTGCACTCCAGCCTGGGTGACAAAGTGAGACCCTGTCTCAAAAATAATAATGATAATAAAAATAAAGGAAATGTGGCCAAGCGTGGTGGCTCATGCCTGTAATCCCAGCACTTTGAGAGGCTGAGGGGGAAGGTTCACTTGAGACCAGGAGTTCAAGATCAGCCTGGGAGACATGGTGAGACCCCATCTCTACGAAAAAAAAATAAATTACCCAAGCATGATGAGGCATGCCTGTAGTCGCAGCTACTCAGGAGGCTTAGGTGGTAAGATCACTTGAGCCCAGAAGGTTGAGACTACATTGAGCCACGATCACACCACTGCACTCCAGTTCAGCCTGAGCAAGAGAACAAGATCCCATCTCAAAAAAAATAAAGACAAAGGAAATGCTAAATTTCAGAGGTTAGTAAAAATAAAAACGCATTTTTTTCAAGTTAAAGTCACAGACATCCCCTGAATTCTACCTGTACTCACCTCTATAGACCCCAGGCTAAGAATCTTTGGTCGACAGAAAAATCTGCAGAAAAGCAGACAAAAGACATGAACAGATAATCGCAATAAGATATTAAAATGGCCCTTAAACTTATGAAAAGATGTTCAATTTCACTTGAATACAAGTCAAAGCTATGCTGAGATACCGTTTCTTACCTGTCAGGCAAAAATTCAGAAGCTTAACAATACACCCGATTGGCAAAGCTGTGATAGAATAGGCACTCATATATTGGGGTGGCAATGCAAAATGGTACAATGCCCATGGAGAGGAATTTGGCAGTATCTTACAAAACTACATATATGTTTACCCTTTGAAATCCCACTTCTAGGGATTTACTCAAATACAGCTCCAATATGAAAATACATATGCACAAGATTATTCAATGCAGCATTATTTATCATTGGAAAATACTTAAATGTTCAGTCATGGAGATTGGCTGAATGAACTATGGTATGTACACATAATGGAGTACTATGTAGCTGTAGAAAAGAATAAAGATTCAGGCAGAGCGCAGTGGCTCACCCCTTTAATCCCAGCATTTTGAGAGGCTGAGGTAGGATGATTACTTGAAACTGGAGTTCAAGGCTGCAGTGAGCTATGATCGCATAACTGCACTCCAGCCTGGGAGACAATGCGAAACCCTGTCGCTCTAAAAAAAATAATAATAAAAGAATAAAGATTCAGGTATCTGTGAACTGATAGGGAGAGATTTCCAGGAGGTATTGTTAAATGGAAAAAAAAAAGCAAAAAATGTAATGATCATCTAGCATATACTATGTTTTATGTAAGAAAGAAGGGGAAATAAGAAAAACATACAGTTGACCTTTGAACAATATGAGTTTGAACTGTGTGAGTCCATTTATACATGGATTTTCTTTCAATAAAAGTTACACTGAGTGTGGCTGCCTCTCCTGCCCCCCTTCCACCTCCTTCACCTCTTCTACCTCTGCCACCCCTGAGACAGCAAGACCAACCCCTCCTCTTCCTCCTCATCCTCCTCAGCCTACTCAATGTGAAGATGATGAGGATGAAAACCTTTATGATGATCCACTTCCACTTAATAGTAAATATATTTTCTCTTTCTTATGATTTTTAAATAACATTTTCTTTTACCTAGCTTACTTTTTTGTAAAAATACAGTATTAATACATATAACAAATAAAATACGTGTTAATCGACTTTGTTATCATTAAGACTTCTGATCAACAGTAGGCTATTAGTGGTTAAGTTTTTGGGGAGTGAAAAGTTGTATGTGGATTTTTGACTGTGTAGGGGGTCAACACTCCAACATCCACATTGTTCAGTGCAGTGGTCAAGTGTATCTACTTACCTTTACAAAAAAGAAACAGAAGAAGAACTGGCTAGAAAACAAAAGACATTTATTAACTGCATGGGGTGAGGTGGAGGAGTTGAGAGGGCAAAAGGGTTTTGGGAGCACATGATATTCCCCTGAGCATGCCTTTTTGGTATAATTCTGACTTTTGGAAACATGTTAATGTTCTACATATTCAAAAAATAGAATGAAACCAATATGGATGGGAGCGCTAACTGAAACAGATGAATTGTATTTCAAGTGAATAATACAATCACACTGAAGGGATTTAACAAAAACTAATTCAAGTAAATTATGAATGTAGTATTTGACTACATATGTTTAGTCTTGGGTAGAGTTGGGAGAAAACCATAAACAAATACTGAACTCGTTGTTGTTGTTGTTGTTGTTGTTGTTTGTAATGGAATGGGCAAAACAGTTCTGAAGCTGCTTTAGATGTTTTATAGGATTGAGTCAATGGGTCATGTTGATGTTGGTGGAGTCAGGGTTCTAAGTGTGGAAGAAGGAACACACAAGTATGGAGTGGAGGAAGGCAAGAAAGAACCCCTATAGGGACTTATTGGAATTGGAAGTATTGGACTCGGGATTTCTAAATGTATTTGGTTTTGTATATATATTTATATATACATATATATATATATATGTCCTAGCTCTGTCTGAAGATGGGGCCTAGAAATAAAGACATCCCACTAGCATGAGCAAGCCAGGGCCTTTCAGAGAAGACTCAGGGCTGATTCCAGGACAGGGGCAGGGTAAGTACAAGTGAGCTTGGAACATCTAGAACTGAAAAAAACAGAAGGAAGGAAGAAGATGGGAGCATGTCATAGGATATAGGAACCCTCTTAAAAGGGTTCCCACTGGCCACATGTGGGATAAGTTGAGCACCAACATAATTAAGAACAGTAATAAAGCATAAACCATTCAAAAAATGGGAATCTGGCTGGGCGCGGTGGCTCACACCTGTAATCCCAGCACTTTGGGAGGCCTAGGCGGGTGCATCACCTGAGGTCAGGAGTTCAAGACCAGCCTGGCCAACATGGTGAAACCCCATCTCTACTAAAAATACAAAAATTAGCCAGGTATGGTGGCACACGCCTGTAATCCCAGCTACTGGGGAAGCTGAGACAGGAGAATTGCTTGAACCCAGGAGGCAGAGGTTGCAGTGAGCCAAGATTGTGCCATTGCACTCCAGCCTGGGAGACAAGAACTAAACTCTGTCTCAAAAAAAAAAAAAAAAGAAAAAGAAAAAAAAATGGGAATCCATGAGCCCATCTGTGATATATATATATATATATAGAGAGAGAGAGAGAGAGAGCGAGAGAGAGAGAGAGAGCACTTGCTTATAGTAGAATGCTCCAATTATTAAATGTAGAAAGAGTGCTGGAGTTGGAAAAATACTCATTTTTGCAACCCTCCTTAAAGGTTGGCTCAGGCACGCATCATCAATGAATGTTAAATGTAGGGGGCAAATTTTTATTTCCTTATTGGCTTCAAGGGGAAAGAAGTAACTAAATGAAGAAATCAGATGATACCTTGATCGGATAGTCAAAATTAAGGTCACAAGCATTCTGCTTTTGATATGACCAAGTAAGCTCTCAGATCAGCCTCCTTACAGGTAACTAAAAATGCTGGACAGAATTCAAAAAACCAGTGGAGAGCAACCCAAAGCAAGCAAATTCTGGAAGGGAGTCAACACTTAGAACAGGGTGCATTTCCTATTTTTACTGCTTTCAGTAGTCAGCCCCCTGTGGGACAGCTAAAACTCTGATAGAAAACTCAGTCTTTCTGGACTGAAGAACCAGAGGACAGAGTTCAGGAGTTTCAGTGGTTACAGCACTGAAAATAAGGGAGAATCCTAGAACGAAGAGAAACTCAGCCCCAAATTCTGTATATGAACTGCCTCGGTCTCCAGCTGACCCTGAACCATGCTTGGCAGACTCCAGGTAGCTCAGCTGAAGATAATTATGAACTAAACTGGGCTGGATGCAGTGGCTCATGCCTGTAATCCCAGGACTTTGGGAGGCCAAGGTGGGTGGATGGCTTGAGCCCAGAAGTTTGAGACCAGCCTGGGCAACATGTCAAAACCTTTTTTCTACAAAAAAATACAAAAATTAGCTGGTCGTGGTGACCTGCGCTTGTACTCCCAGCTACTTAGGAGACTGAGGTGGGAGGGTAGCTTGAGACCAGGACAGGGAGGTTACAGTGAGCCAATATTGTGCCACTGTATTCTAGCCTGGGCAACAGAGGGAGGCCCTGTCTCCAAAAAAAAAAAAAAAAAGTGATGGGGCACAGTCACTCAGGCTTGTAATCCCAGCACTTTGGGAGGCCGAGGCAGGTGGATCACAAGGCCAGGAGATCGAGACCATCCTGGCTAACACGGTGAAACCTCGTCTCTACTAAAAATACAAAAAAATTAGCCAGGCGTGTTGGCGGGCGTCTGTAGTCCCAGCTACTCGGGAGGCTGAGGCAGGAGAATGGCGTGAACATGGGAGGCGGAGCTTGCAGTGAGCCGAGGTCACGCCACTGCACTCCAGCCTGGGCAACAAAGTGAGACTCTGTCTCAAAAAAAAAAAAAAAAAAAGCACAAAAAAAAATTAAACTGAAAATTGAGCAGCAACCCAAAAGACATTTTGCAGTTTTAATCCAACCAAGCTACTTAAAGCAAAACAAACAAAAAAGTCACTCTTTGGAGGAATATAACAAAATCTGACTATCCATGAGATAATGTTGGCAATGTCCAGGATATAATTCAGAATTAACACCACCAGTGAGCAGCAGATGTACATCCTGCACCTCTAGATGTGATACCCGGAGAAGCATCATCACCATTATAACATTTCATCCAAGAACCCGTAGTCTTAAGGACATACACACAAAAGTTTTTATTACTAAAAAAACAAGAAAGGAGGAGAATATATTATCCAAAAATGGCAATGTCATAAAAGTCAAAGCGAGAGGAAATGTTCCAGATTAAAGGAGACTAAAGAGTTACAAGTAAGTGAAATGTGTGATTCTAGACTGGATCCTTCCTGGAAAGGAAACATGCCCTGAAGTAAGTACTTTATTGAGCAGTTGACAAAATTACAATATGCAAGAAAATTAGAAAAAGTGTCAGTGTTGATAACTGTACTGTGATGATGTAAGAAAATATCTTTTCTCTTAGAAAATACACATTGAAGCATCTGGGGATAAAGGGTTATTGATGTGTGCAACTTACTTTTAAATGTTAGAGAAAAAGAATGTGTGTGTGTACAGAGAGCGTGAGTATAAATGATGAAGCAAATGAGGCAAAATGTTAATCAATATATTGGTCCATCTGAGAAAAGGATGTATGAATTTTTTTTTACTATTCTTGCAACTTTACTGAAGGTTTAAAATTATTTCCAAATTAGAGTTTAAAAAAATTATGGGAGTAAGCTTAAAACAAAACAAAATAATTTTGGTCTAGAACGGTTTTTAATCTCCTTGTATTTACTATGTGTTAAATTTTTTTCCATAGAGTTATATTTTTTAATAAAATCTTATCTTGGAAAGTTGATGTAAGAATAAATGGTTTTATTGTGCCTTACTCCAAACAGCAAATGAGAAGCACTGTTGGGTGGTATTGGACTCTGGCTGTATCACACAGTTGGCCACACTGGGCTCCAAGACATTTTTCTTGTGATTCTTGTCAGTTTCAATTTAACGTAGGCTGAGCATGGTGACTCACGCCTGTAATCCCAAGCGATTTGGGAGGCCAAGACGGGAAGATTGCTTCAGCCCAGGAGTTTGAGACCAGCCTAGGCAACAAAGCGAGACGCCGTCTCTACAAAAATCTTAAAAATTAGCTGGGCATGGTGGCATGTGCCTGTAATCCCAGTTACTTGGGAGGCTGAGATGGGAGGATTGCTTGAGCCCAGGAATTCGAGACTGCAGTAAGCTATGATTGTGCTACTGTACTTCAGCCTGAGTGACAGAGGAAGACCCTGTGTCTTAAAAAAAGAGAGAGAAAAAGAAACAAGGATGGTCGAATTTCACACTTGTGAACCTATAGTTCAGGGAGTTGTAAATTTCTCCTACCTGACCTTATTCATGGTCAGGACAGTGTTGTGAGTTCAAGAACAGAGAGTAGCTGCAGAAAGTAATGACCTTTTCTGTGTTCTCTGATCCTGGGAAGGGGCAAGTGGCTCTAGTTTCCCTCTGACATCCTGCTCTGTGTGTGTGTGTGTGTGTATACACATGTGTGAGTGTTTGCTTATGCAAGAAAGGAAGGGGGCTGGGCACGGTGGCTCACACCTGTAATCCCAGCACTTTGGGAGGCCGAGGCGGGTGAATCATGAGGTCAGGGGTTCGAGACCAGCCTGGCCAACATAGTGAAACCCCGTCTCTACTAAAAATACAAAAAAATTAGCTGGGCGCAGTGGCGGGCACCTGTAATCTCAGCTACTTGGTAGGCTGAGGCAACAAGAATCGCTTGAACCTGGGAGACAGAGGTTTCAGTGAGCCAAGATCACGCCACTGCGCTCCAGCCCGGGTGACCATGCAAGATTCCATCTCAAAATAAAAAAAAAAGGAAGAAAGGAAGGAAGAGGACCGAGCTGGGGCAAAGCTAGCCTTCTCCCAGGGTATCTTTCTTCCATACCATTCTACTTTCTCAGAATCCTTGATCTGCCAAAGAGAAATTTGGAAAATGATGAAATGGCCACTTCACTTCTATGTGTTTTGAAACATGTATGTAAATGTAAACATGTTAAATATGTGAAATAAAATTTTTCCTCCTCAGTAAGTTGAAAGAAATTTCCATTTAACGAATGATTTTTTAAAAAAAACCTGATTCTAAAGATATATATGGTGATTGTCAGGCCAGTCACAATGGTGCACGCCTGTAATCCCAGCACTTTGGGAGGCCAAAGTGGGAAGATGGCTTGAGGTCAGGAGTTTGAGACCAGCCTGGACAACACAGCAAGACCCATCTCTACAAAAAAGTACTTTAAAAATTAGCCAGGCATAGTGGCACTTGCCTGTAATCACAGCTACTCAGGTGGCTGAGATGCGAGGGAGAATCATTTCAGTTCGAGGCTGCAGTGAGCTGTGATCGCACCACTTCACTCCAGCCTGGGCAACAAGCAAGACTCTGTCTCTAAAAAAATAAAAATAAAATGTGTGGGCGCAGTAGTAGCCAGTAATCCTATACAGAGAGTTAAATGTAGCTTGTGTTCCATTATTCTTCTTCCTGTTTTATCTCTGAAGTCATTATTTTTGCTGGCTTTCGTGTCTGATGACCTGGTTTTACCTATTTTCTGCAGAGTTTTATGTATTATAAAATGTCAATAAAATGTATTTATTAAATTTATGCTAAACTGCAGTCTTTATAGGTTTATAAAAACTTTCTAATTTTAAAGCCTCTAATTGTTTAAGATCCTAAGTATAACTGGATGATAAGCCTTTGTATAAAAAAAGGCCAGAGCCAGCTTGCACACAGTGTAATTTGACTGTTCCTTCCAGTTCAGGGTAGCATTGAGCTATTTGCTGGCGCAGAGTGATTAGGGTCTTTAGCTTCCCTTCTTTGCAGTGTTTTAATAGGAAAATATCATTTATTAATAAGAGGTAATATCTTACTTTACTTGTATACTTTTTCCATTGTAAACCCCTTCCTTTTGTATGCTGGACTCCTAAGAAGATTAAATCCCCTGTAACTTACTTGACTGATGTTCATCTGTCATTTTACCTGGCATTTTGATGTCCCCATCTTTTAACTTTATTTACTTGTATGTTTCCTACAAGAGCAGTAACATCTTTATTTAATACACATAAATGCTTTTTTCACTCTTCAGCAAGGATTTATTAAGTAACTATTGGGTGCCTAGTGCTGTGCTACATTCTGTCAGACATGTTAAAGGAAAAGAGAGGTAGAAAATTTAATGCTTTAGCATTTACAGTCCATCTGGGGATAGAAAACATTCAAGTGAAAATGGCTTTGTATATCTGAGGTGGTGTATAGAGGAACCTTTGAAGACTGCCTGCATAGATCACTAGGTCTAGGCAAGGGGAGAGTTGCTTTGAGCTGGAATCAATTTTTTAAATTTATTTTTAATTTTTCTTGAGACAAGGTCTTGCTCTGTCACCCGGGCTGGAGTCCAGTGGCATGAGCATAGCTTGTTGCAGCCTTAAACTCCTAGGCACAAGTGATCCTTCCACCTTAACCTCCTAGATACCTGGGACTACAGGCATGCACCACCACACTTGGCTAAATTTTAAAAATTTTGTAGAGATAGGGTCTTGTGATGTTGCCCAGGCTGGTCTCAAACTCCTGGCCTCAAGTGATCCTCCCCCATCGACCTCCCAGACTGCTGAGATTACAGGCATGAGCCACCATGCTTAGTCTTCAATTTTTTATTCTTTCTTGAGGGAAGTGGTTCTGTAGTTAGACTTTGATTGATGTCCAAGTTTTGGCTTAACAAGCTGAGAAGTTCAGTATGTGCCAAGAATTACAGGTGAGGAGACTTGGGGAAAGGAGAATAAGAAGGTTTTGTTCGATGGTGTTAAGCAAACTGGTTTAACTAGACTGGACATTGAGAAATAAGTTGGAACTAGTTGATAAAGGGCTTAAGAACCTATCTAATATAGCAGTTTGCCCTGAATTTGAAAAGCAGCAGATTCTTAAATGGTAACTGACACATCATAAGGGTGGTGGGTTTTTTGTTTGTTTGTTTTTGAGACGGAGTTTCACTCTTGTTGCCCAGGCTGGAGGGCAATGGCACAATCTCGGCTCATTGCAACTTCTGCCTCCTGGGTTCAAGCAGTTCTCCTGCCTCAGCTCCCAAGTAGCCGAGATTACAGGCGCCCGCCACCATACTCAGCTAATTTTTATATTTTTTAGTAGAAACGTGGTTTCACCATGTTGGTCAGGCTGGTCTCAAACTCCTGACCTCAGGTGATCCACCTGCCTCGGCCTCCCAAAGTGCTGGGATTACAGGTGTGAGCTACTGTGCCCGGCCAAGGGTGGTGTTTTCAAACGATGAATCTGACACGGATGTGTAAGATTAATTATATTAGGGAAAAATGAGAGTAGGGAACCTGATGCTAATTTAGGTTTGAGTGATGAAAATTTAGGTTAGGGTGATGGCAATAAAAATGTGACAGATGTTAGAATGAAGATAAAGTTGCAGGATGCTAAGGAAGAGATAGACAATGACAATTAGATTGGTCTGGAAAGAAATGATCAGAGGCCATAGATCACTTTCCTTGGAATAGTAGAGGAAGAGGATTAAGGAATAGGAGGAAGTTGGGGCCATTGGGGGTTACACATTTCAGTGATTTTTCTGTTAAGGTAGGGCTGAGTCAAATGAAGAGTTCCCTCTTAGCCACCTCTTCAGGACAGGGAAATCTTCTAAGGGTTTGAAGCAGAAAGAAAAAAGATAGTGGCCGGGTGCGGTGGCTCACGCCTATCATCTCAACACTTTGGGAGGGTGAGGCGGGCGGATCATTGGAGGTCAGGAGTTTGAGACCAGCCTGGCCAACATTAGTGAAATTCTTTCACCTCCAGACCAATGTTTGAACAGTTTCTGTCTCACATAGCTTAACGCTGTCTTTCTCATTTTCACTTTAGATCCAGAAGCAGCAAGGTCTAGCAATTCCAAAATCACCACCACGCTGGGTCTGGTTGTCCATGCTGCAGGTAGGGTTGGATTGCAGTGGAACTTCTTTGTTTTCTATCGCACAGGGGAGACCTTAGTGTTTATATTTCAGGGACCGTCCTCATTGAATGCTCTTGGACTGGCCTTTGAGGAAAAGGTTTCTTAATGAAGTCCTCCAACACAAGCACAAGCTTGGTGTGCTCAGTGTCAGGGGTTTGCAAGCTAAGAATGGTTTCTATACTTTTTAATGGTTTAAAAAAAAAAAGAGAGAGAGGAACATACTGTAGCACATGAGAATTATATAATTCAAATTAAGGAAGTTTTATTGGAACACAGCCTTGCCCATGTATTTATGTATTGTTTGTGACAGTGAATTTGATTAGGGAAAAATGAGAGTAGGGAACCTATTGCTGATTTAGGTTTGTTTGAGTGATGAAAATTTAGGTTAGGGTGATGGCAATAAAAAATGGAGAAAGGCAAATGTGACTGATGTTAGAATGAAGATAAAGTTGCAGGAGGCTGAGGAAGAGATAGACAATGACAATGATCCATCTCTTTTGTTTTTGTGCAACAGTGGCAGAATTGAACAGTTGCAAGAGACCAAATAACTGCAAAGCCTCAAATATTTACTGTCTAGCTCTTAAGAAGAAGTTTGCTCTTTTCATTCTTGGCTCTAGAATGTCATCTGGAAAAGAGCCTTGGCGCTTCTGTCCTGAACAGCTCTGTTACCAGTTTATATGCAAAACACCAGTTTAAGCAGAAGTGGTATGCAGTGGAATGCAGAGATCTTAGCATTGCTGACAGGGTACACTTTAGAATCATAACCCAAACCTAGTCCTAGTAATAGAATTCTGTCAGTGGCAAAGAAAGGCATGTGAAAGGTGGTACACTGTTACCTGGCCCTTTCTAAGTATAATATGCTTTTCTAACAAATTTCATTCATTCAACCAGTGTTTACTTATTAAGTAGTAATCATCTATATAGAGTTCTAGTATCTTTATTTTATTTATTTCTTTTTTTGAGACGGAGTCTCACTCTGTTGCCGAGGCTGGAGTGCACTGGCACGATTCGGCTCATTGCAAGCTCCACCTCCCGGGTTTAAGCAATCCTCCTGCCTCAGCCTCCCAAGTAGCTGGGACTATTTTGTTTCTTAACCTATAAGATTAAGAGATGCTTCCTTTGAAATTCTTCTTTGGTATTTCCCTTGTTAGAATTTGATTAACTAATCAATGGATTTTTGATTAGTTGGAAAATTGAATGTTAGTTTTCCAATAACAACAACAGCAACCAAAATAACTAACATTGAATACTCTGGGCCAGATGCTATGCTCTTTACATAAGTTATCTCATTTAATCCTCATGAAAACCCTAAGAAATACATACTTCATTGAACACATTTTAAAGATAAGGCTGGCATGTAGAAAGGTTAAGTAACATTACTAGATCCAGCTGGACCTGACTGTAAAGCTCATACACTCAACCACTACACTGTTATTGTTGTTGTTGTTTATAGTATTTTATGTTTCCTTGTTTCCAAATATAGCTGATGGTGTTGCTTTGGGAGCAGCAGCATCTACTTCACAGACCAGTGTCCAGTTAATTGTGTTTGTGGCAATCATGCTACATAAGGTAAGCAACATTTTGGTGTAAGGTTTGGTATTGAGTGTATTCATAATTAAAATTTCTCATGGTCCTTAATGTTTTTCCTGGAATGGGAACATTTTCTTCATTTCATAATTGCTATTCATTTTGGAAAATTGAATAAATCTGTTCATAGCTTCTTGTTCCCATTTTCTTAAGCTTTTCCTTGAGGGGTTTCAATTTTTTTGTGTAGACATATACACAAATTGTCAAATTCTCCTCAGATTTTTATATTTCATAGTAATAATTTCTGTTCAAAAGTATTTTTCTTTTCTTGACTGTTTCTCTTTTTTACTATCCAAGAAACACACAAATAGGATCTTTTCTTGGCTTAGAACATTAATTCCTAAGAGGCATAGCTCAGCGTTTGTACTCTGCCTGGTTTTGTTTTTTGGTTTTTTTTGTGTGTGTGTGGGTTTTTTGTTTTTTGTTTTTGAGATGGAGTTTGCTCTTGTCACCCAGGCTGGAGTGCAATGGTGTGATCTCGGCTCACTGCAACCTCCGCCTCCTGGGTTCAAGCGATTCTCCTGTCTCAGCCTCCCAAGTAGCTGGGATTACAGGTGCCCACCACCACACATTTTTGTATTTTTAGTAGAGACGGGGTTTCACCATGTTGGCCAGGCTGGTCTCGAACTCCTGACCTTAGGTGATCCACCCACCTCGACCTCCCAAAGTGCTAGGATTACAGGCATTAGCCACTGTGCCTGGCCTTTTGTGAGTTTTTCTTTGTATGAGAAATCATAGTCAAATGGCATATACTTCTTGATGTAGAAGCAACCCATACTTCTAGAATGATAATAAGAGATGATTTTTTATTTCCAGGCACCAGCTGCTTTTGGACTGGTTTCCTTCTTGATGCATGCTGGCTTAGAGCGGAATCGAATCAGAAAGCACTTGCTGGTCTTTGCATTGGCAGCACCAGTTATGTCCATGGTGACATACTTAGGACTGAGTAAGGTAAGCTAATCTATTCCCAGCTATCTAAACCAGTGTCTTGTGATCTCTTAGAATTTATGATCTCTTAGATTGAATTTTTCCAATACATTACTCTCTCAAACTAAAGATAAAATTAGGAGTAAAAACTATACAGGGTAAATATCTTAATTCCAATGCGTCCTCTTCATATTAGCATTTTCTTATTCATTTAATTTGAAAACTTCTTCCCTATCAATCAGTTCCAAGAATATTTGCATAAATATGATAGCGCTTCAATATTTAAAATAGTATAACGTAACCAGCCATGCTAGCTTCATTTGACAGATATCTAATAAGTCAAATCTGTCCATATTTAATGTGAGGTAGACACCTGAAGCGTGAGTAACAAGCCACATAGCCGCTTTGAGAAGAGCAGCAGCTGGGCAGAGATTGCTGTCAAGAGTTTAAAAAACTGACATTGATTACTGAAGTGATAGAGTAATCTTTTAAAGGGAACAACATACTGCTCACTGAAAGAAGAGAAGGCTTTTCAGGTAAATGGAAAGGGTTTTTATAACACACTGTTAGCAACTAAGATCAACAAACCCTTCCTTAACGGGAACTTAGCCATTCTTGGTCTCATTTTTCACGTTCCTCCTCTTCTCCCAGCTCTCACGTCCCCAGATAGTAACTGTACAGTTCTTTCTATTGAATACTTTGTACTGAACATAGCTTCAGACCTGAGGTAACATGTGCTCTTCTGACTCCAAGCTGGACCTTCCCATGCCTTATAATCCTGTCTGTAGCTCTGAGCAACAACCCTCCGCATTTTACCCAGATGTCAACTGGCAGGCAACTGGAGGAAAATCTTAGAAGCAAACTGACTCAGGGCTAGTTGATGGGAACTGCTTTCCCCAACACCCTCTCTAAAGGTCATTGATTCTTCTGAGCATCAGTCAATTCAGTATTTGGCAGTAAAACCCATATTAATAGGAACATGTGAAAAATGAGATAAAGAATGGCTAAGTTCCTGTTAAGCAAGGGTTTGTTGATCTTAGATGCTAAGAGTGTGTTATAAAAACCCTTTCCATTTACCTGAAGAGCCTTCTCTTCTTTCAGTGAGCAGTATGTTGTTCCCTTTAACAGATTACTCTATCACTTCAGTAATCAGTGTCAGTTTTTTAACCTTTTGACAGGAAGGTGCTGATAATTCTGGAGACATGGAGTTACTTGCTGCATCTATGGGATGTCCTTTTCTTAAAATTTTAATTAGTTGTCTTAGTCCATAGGTCTACTTTTTTAACAGAAAAGGTTGAAATTAGTTTTATAAAGATTAGCTTATGAGATATACATATATATACACACACACACACACACACACATTTTTTTTTTCCTTTGAGATGGAATCTTGCCTGTCACCCAGGCTGGAGTACAATGGCGCAATCTTGGCTCACTGCAACCTCTGCCTCCCAGGTTCAGACGATTCTCCTGCCCCAGCTTCCGGAGTAGCTGGGATTACAGGCGCCCGCCACCATGCCCGGCTAATTTTTGTATTTTTAGTAGAGACAGGGTTTCACCATGTTGGCCAGGCTGGTCTCGAACTCCTGACCTCGTGATCCGCCCACCTTGGCCTCCCAAAGTGCTGGGATTACAGGCATGAGCCACCACGCCCGGCTGCTTAAGAGATATTTCTAGGCTCTATGAGGTCAACTACTGCATCTTGATTACCACTGTATCTCAAGCACCTGGCCCAGAGCCTGGTGCATAGATGATGCTTGTTAAATATTAGTAGAATAAATAAATTTATGTCTGAAATTTAATATCTGCAATAATATATTGTTGATTCTATCTCAAGAATAATACAAGCCAAACCTGTTGAACCAGCACTTAAAGTTCGTTTTAAAAAGCAATTGTGAACCAGGAGCAGTGGCGCATACCTGTAGTCCCAGCTACTTGGGAAGCTGAGACAGGAGGATTGCTTGAGCCCAGGAGTTCCAGGCTGTAGTGTGTTATGATTGTGCCTGTGAATAGCCACTCAACTCCAGCCTGGGCAACATAGCGAGACCTCATCTCTAAAGACAGATACAGTCAATGAATGGATGGACAGAATGATGGAACTGTGGTGAATATAGTTTAATAATAGTGTGTGGTACATATCAAAATTGCTAAGAGTAAATTTCAGATGTTCTCACCACAAAATATGATAAATATTTGAGATGACAGATGTTAGTTTTATTTAATTAGTCCACATTTTATTCATGAATCATAATGTCACTTTATACCCTATAAATATATATAATTATAAATTGTTGATTTACAATAAATTTTTTAAAAAATCAATTGCGTACATCACTGATATTCTTAAACCCTTATTTGGAAGCTTCCCATGAATAACTTAAAGTTGCTGTGTTCTCTAGATGTCCCCAGTGTCCTAGACAGCACCAGTTAAGAACAGTGAGTGTTTTTTAACTGGGACTTCTTCCTGACCCTGAATTTTACTTGACTTAGTTTTTCCTCTTTCTCTCTTCTAATTCACAGAGCAGTAAAGAAGCCCTTTCAGAGGTGAACGCCACGGGAGTGGCCATGCTTTTCTCTGCCGGGACATTTCTTTATGTTGCCACAGTACATGTCCTCCCTGAGGTGGGCGGAATAGGGCACAGCCACAAGCCCGATGCCACGGGAGGGAGAGGCCTCAGCCGCCTGGAAGTGGCAGCCCTGGTTCTGGGTTGCCTCATCCCTCTCATCCTGTCAGTAGGACACCAGCATTAAATGTTCAAGGTCCAGCCTTGGTCCAGGGCCGTTTGCCATCCAGTGAGAACAGCCGGCACGTGACAGCTACTCACTTCCTCAGTCTCTTGTCTCACCTTGCGCATCTCTACATGTATTCCTAGAGTCCAGAGGGGAGGTGAGGTTAAAACCTGAGTAATGGAAAAGCTTTTAGAGTAGAAACACATTTACGTTGCAGTTAGCTATAGACATCCCATTGTGTTATCTTTTAAAAGGCCCTTGACATTTTGCGTTTTAATATTTCTCTTAACCCTATTCTCAGGGAAGATGGAATTTAGTTTTAAGGAAAAGAGGAGAACTTCATACTCACAATGAAATAGTGATTATGAAAATACAGTGTTCTGTAATTAAGCTATGTCTCTTTCTTCTTAGTTTAGAGGCTCTGCTACTTTATCCATTGATTTTTAACATGGTTCCCACCATGTAAGACTGGTGCTTTAGCATCTATGCCACATGCGTTGATGGAAGGTCATAGCACCCACTCACTTAGATGCTAAAGGTGATTCTAGTTAATCTGGGATTAGGGTCAGGAAAATGATAGCAAGACACATTGAAAGCTCTCTTTATACTCAAAAGAGATATCCATTGAAAAGGGATGTCTAGAGGGATTTAAACAGCTCCTTTGGCACGTGCCTCTCTGAATCCAGCCTGCCATTCCATCAAATGGAGCAGGAGAGGTGGGAGGAGCTTCTAAAGAGGTGACTGGTATTTTGTAGCATTCCTTGTCAAGTTCTCCTTTGCAGAATACCTGTCTCCACATTCCTAGAGAGGAGCCAAGTTCTAGTAGTTTCAGTTCTAGGCTTTCCTTCAAGAACAGTCAGATCACAAAGTGTCTTTGGAAATTAAGGGATATTAAATTTTAAGTGATTTTTGGATGGTTATTGATATCTTTGTAGTAGCTTTTTTTAAAAGACTACCAAAATGTATGGTTGTCCTTTTTTTTTGTTTTTTTTTTTTTTAATTATTTCTCTTAGCAGATCAGCAATCCCTCTAGGGACCTAAATACTAGGTCAGCTTTGGCGACACTGTGTCTTCTCACATAACCACCTGTAGCAAGATGGATCATAAATGAGAAGTGTTTGCCTATTGATTTAAAGCTTATTGGAATCATGTCTCTTGTCTCTTCGTCTTTTCTTTGCTTTTCTTCTAACTTTTCCCTCTAGCCTCTCCTCGCCACAATTTGCTGCTTACTGCTGGTGTTAATATTTGTGTGGGATGAATTCTTATCAGGACAACCACTTCTCGAACTGTAATAATGAAGATAATAATATCTTTATTCTTTATCCCCCTTCAAAGAAATTACCTTTGTGTCAAATGCCGCTTTGTTGAGCCCTTAAAATACCACCTCCTCATGTGTAAATTGACACAATCACTAATCTGGTAATTTAAACAATTGAGATAGCAAAAGTGTTTAACAGACTAGGATAATTTTTTTTTCATATTTGCCAAAATTTTTGTAAACCCTGTCTTGTCAAATAAGTGTATAATATTGTATTATTAATTTATTTTTACTTTCTATACCATTTCAAAACACATTACACTAAGGGGGAACCAAGACTAGTTTCTTCAGGGCAGTGGACGTAGTAGTTTGTAAAAACGTTTTCTATGACGCATAAGCTAGCATGCCTATGATTTATTTCCTTCATGAATTTGTCACTGGATCAGCAGCTGTGGAAATAAAGCTTGTGAGCCCTCTGCTGGCCACAGTGAGGAAAGTAGCACAAATAGGATACAGTTGTATGTAGTCATTGGCAACAATTGCATACAATTTTACTACCAAGAGAAGGTATAGTATGGAAAGTCCAAATGACTTCCTTGATTGGATGTTAACAGCTGACTGGTGTGAGACTTGAGGTTTCATCTAGTCCTTCAAAACTATATGGTTGCCTAGATTCTCTCTGGAAACTGACTTTGTCAAATAAATAGCAGATTGTAGTGTCTGGTTTGGTTTGGACAGTAGTGCTTTCTATCATATTGTTGTGTGCAATGGTAATTTGTTCTACTGGCCAAAGCCTCTTTCAGCAGTGCCTTGCCATCATGCTTAAAAGTTTGGCTAGTATATCTTGCTGGATGGAGCCTTGAACTCCGGCAAGGATTGAACCATCTGACTTCCAAATTTGCCTTCCCCTCTGGACCTCACTATTAACAAGCAAACCTTTCAGGGCCCTCTTAGCTCTCAGAAGCTATGTATGGGCTTTCCCAGATTTTAAAGCTGCTGCCTCGAGAACTACTCATTTCTCTCCTGGTCAGCAGACAGAAATAGCCATACTAATCTCATAGGGCTCAAATGCATCTTCAGGCAGCAGGGAACCAAGCAGCGTGGCACAGGCCTTCTTGACTGGAGGAAGAGCTTGCTGGCATGGTGGGCAGTATTCCAGGAGAGGCCATGTCCGTGTTCACTTCTTGGCACATTTCAGTTCCGTTTTCCTCTTGTTTAAAACTGCCTCTTTAGATGTGGATGCCTTAATGCTGTAACACATTTGAAAACATTGGCAATACTTAAGTTGCTGCCATGATTACAGATGGAATTATTGGCTACCAAAGAGACGCAATTGATGATGAGAAGCATGATTCTTGCTTCCATATAACCAAAGTTAATCTTAATTGCAATTTGACTCCGTTTCCTTGGTAGGGATAGACTTTCTTCAGATTCCAAGTGCTCTCTTAAATGGCAAATTAAGTTAAAGAATACTACTGCTCCATTCCCCTCACTTATTCTCCAGTTAATTGCTTGTCAGTTCCATTTCAAGAAAGCAGTGATGTTCCAGGTTTGATTCAGTTTTCCTGTGCACACTATTGCCAAATTTTTTTTTAGCAAAGATTCTGCACTGGAACGTAGACAGTTGGAAACAGTACTACCTACCTAGAGGTTATGTGTTTTCTCTTTCTCCCCGCTTTCACCTCTTTCTTTCCCAATTCAAAACAGCCAAGTGAGCCCTGTTCTGGTATTTTGAATCATTAGAGAAAAGAAAGGGAGTGGCTGTTTTGAGTTGTCCTTTCTTTGCAGAAAGGAGAAAATGTGATTGTGTTTTTTTTTTACCAGCCTACTTCTAAGTGTCACTGCCTGGTTTTTCTCTTTTTCAAGGATTAGAACTAAGAGGACACACCAGCATCGGAGTGTATTAAGCCCCTGAAACACATGGTAGCTAGGGACTGAACACAGGAACCGTATGACAGCAGCACAAACCCCCAAAGGATGTTCCTGCCTTGTGGGCCCCTGAGCCCCTTGGGAGACTGAGAATCATGACCAGATTCATCCAGAACTGCTGCAGTGTTAAGTGAAAATCCTCTGTAGTTGTTCTGCAGAGGAACCTTCCTTCCATTAGAAAATTTCTGCTCAATACAGAATGGTCCACATCACCCAAAGTGCACTGTTGGAGATGCTGTGAAATTAAAACCTCTTTGTACCTGAGACATCTAGATTCACCTCAGGAGGCCTGAAGGAAATGTGTAACTTGTGGGAAAGAACTAGACAACCATTTAGGAATTCTCTAGATATACTCAGCCTAACCCAGTGGCTTAACACAAGGAGATTGGCTTTGATCTTTTTTTCTTGTGGCATCTTCCAGCAAGTTAGAAGTCTCATGGGATAAGACTGCAGTTCCCCTGGTTCAATAGCTGGAACAGTGATTTTAAATGTCCCTTTTTCTGGATCCCTTGTAAACATGAAATCATTCCATGGATGGCTGCCTTATAATTTTGTCTCTTTCCACTTTAATTGTGAATGGTTAAAAAAATGCTGTTTTCTGATATTAAATTTTTATTAGTGCATACCTTAATCTGAGTGGCTCATTACTTATCCTTTTGGCAGTTTGTTTGATGACCAGAATTGACCTGTATTTGAACATCAGAAAAGAGAATGAAAAGTTGTGATGGATGGTAGAAAGATGTACCTACCACAGGCACATCCTTTAGGGAAGGGAGGGAGAAAGGAGAGAGGGGAAATTAAGGACTTGATAGACCAATCTGCCCTGAAAGACACAAATGCATTGATAATTGTTTTTGCCTTGCTGTTGTTAGCAAATATTATTTACGAAGGTAGCTCTCTCTACTCTCAGAAAAGAGAAAGAGGCAACAGATCCAAACCACAGTGGATTCATTTCATAGGGCAGAGTTGTTATATGAGTAGATAGATGCTATGAACAACTGACCCTGGAAATTAAAGAGATTTGATTAGAAACGTGACGTGTGAATTTGATAAATGTTTTTCTCCCTCTGTGGACTTATGGTTAGTCATTAGATTTCATTAAATACTACTGGCCCACTTTGTGCTGGTTTTCTATATGTATAGTTACATGTATAGCTAGTTACAAAGATTGTGCTCAGGGCAGGCATGGTGGCTCACGCTTGTAATCCCAGCACTTTGGGAGGCCGAAGTGGGTAGATCACCTGAGGTCAGGAGTTCGAGACCACCCTGGCCAACATGGTGAAACCCCGTCTCTACTCAAAATAGAAAAATTAGCCAGGTGTGGTAGGGGGGTACCTGTAAATCCCAGCTACTCGGGAGGCTTCCCTGAGATCAAAACACACACACACCTGGGCTTAGCCAAAATAGCCACCAATCCTTTTCTGTTTGGTGTCATTTTTATTTTATTTTTTCCTGCTCACATGATCTGTTTTTTGTTTGTTTGTTTTTTGAGACAGAGTCTTGCTCTGTAGCCCAGGCTGGAGTGCAGTGGTGTGATCTCAGCTCACTGCAAGCTCCACCTCCCAGGTTCACGCCATTCTTCTGCCTCAGCCTCCCGAGTAGCTGGGACTACAGGTGCCCACCACCACGCCCAGCTAATTTTTTGTATTTTTAGTAGAGACGGGGTTTCATTGTGTTAGCCAGGATGATCTTGATCTCCTGACCTCATGATCCGCCCTCCTCAGCCTCCCAAAGTGCTGGGATTACAGGCGAGAGCCACCACGCCCGGCCTGATCTGTTTTTTAATCTAGGTGCTGGTTACAGGGTTATAGCAGGTGAAAAAGCAGTACACATGATTTGTGCTTTTTACCTTATGTCATAGCTCAATAAAAAGTCTTTAAAAGTCAGTGTCACCAGGTGTGATGGTTCATGTCTGTAATCTCAGCCACTTTGAGTGGCTGAGGTGGGAGGATTGCTTGAGCCCAGGAGTTTGAGACCAGCTTGGGCAACACAGTGAGACCCCCATCTCTACAAAAAATTAAAAAAAAAAAATTAGCTGGGGCCAGGCACGGTGGCTCACGCCTGTAATCCCAGCACTTTGGGAGGCCGAGGTGGGTGGGTCGCGAGGTCAGGAGATTGAGACCATCCTGGCTAATATGGTGAAACCCCGTCTCTACTAAAAATACAAAAAATTAGCTGGGCGTGGTGGCGGGCGCCTGTAGTCCCAGCTGCTCGGGAGACTGAGGCAGGAGAATGTCGCGAACCCGGGAGGCAGAGTTTGCAGTGAACCGAGATCACGCCGCTGCACTCCAGCCTGGGTGACAGAGCGAGACTCTGTCTCAAAAAAAAAAAAAAAAAAAAAAGCTGGATATAGTGACATGCACCTGTGGTCCCAGCTACTTGGGAAGCTGAGGTGGGAGGATTGCTTGACCCCAGGAGGTCAAGGCTGCAGTGAACTGTGATCACGCCATTTCACTCCAGCCTGGGCAACAGAGCAAGACTCTGTCTCAAAAAATTCACTTAAAAAAAAGGAAGAATTCTGTTCTAAATTAAGAGAGTCTGAAGAGATGAAATAATCAATTCCAGTGATTAACCTGGATTGGAGGTTCCTTTTTGATTGAACCAGATCAGAAATTTGAAAGTTCAAAAAACATGTTGGGGATGACAGCTGCACAATTCTGTGAACCTACCAAAAGCTATTGAATTGTACACTTAAAAAATGGGAACTCAACATTAAGGGCACATTCCTCCACAAAACTGCTCTCCAGACACCAGCAGCAAGTTCAGGAATTACCAGGTCATCCTTTCTTCTGACTAGCTGGCTGCAAATTTGGAGTTTCCCACAGCCACTCTCTGGTCAGTAATTTGCTAAAACAACTCACAGAACTCCAGAAAAAACTATGTTATGATTGCAGTTCTATTATAGCAAAAAGGACAGACCAGAAACAGAAGAAGAGGTGCCTGGGGCAAAGTCTGAGAGAGTCCCAAATGTGAAGCTTCCCTCATTCTCAGGGACACATTGCCCTCCCAGCATTGAAGCATGAAAATACTCTGACCAGGGACGTTCTCCTGAGTTTTGGTATCCGGAGTTTTTATTGAGGCTTCGTTATTTAGGTATGATTGAATCATTGGCTATGTGGTTGAACTCAATCTCTAGCCCCCTTTTCCTTCCTGGAGGTTGGACTGGTATCACATGACTCAAAGCCCCAACTCTAACTACATGGTTGGCTTTTCCGGGTGGCCAGCTCCCAGCCTGAGTCATCTTGCAAACATAAACTATCCAGGGGTCTTCCGTGAGTCACTGTGTTAGCAGAAACTATCAAGTGGGATCCCAGGAGTCCACCGTGAATAATGAATACTCCTATCACTCAGGAAATTCCAGAGAATTAGAGGTTACTTCCCAGAAACCAAAGACAAAGGCCGCCTAATTCTTTACTACACAGATGGTCAGAGCTGGACACTTAAAGGTGAAACCTGGCCAGGCGTGGTGGCTCACGCCTGTAATCCCAGTACTTTGGGATCACTTGAGGCCAGGAGTTCAAGACCAGCTTGGCCAACATGGCAAAACTCTGTCTCTACTAAAAATACAAAAATTAGCCAGGCGTGGTGGTGCATACCTGTAATCCCAGCTACTCGGGTGGCTGAGGCATGAGAATTGCTTGAGCCCAGGAGGCAGAGGTTGCAGTGAGCTGAGATCGCACCACTGCACTCTAGCCTGGGCAACAGAACAAGACTCTGTCTGGAAAAAAAAAAAAAAAAAAAAGTGAAACCTGAACCAAGACTTGAAAGAAGTGAGTACCTGAGCCAAGCAGATACCTGGGAGGAGAATATCCCAGGCACAGCAAATAGCTAGAGCACAGGTCCTAACATTAGAGCTTACTTGGCTTGTTCAAGAAGAAGCAAAAAGACAAGTGCAGCTGGAATGGAGTGAGGAAAGAATAGTTGAAAAGGAAGGGCTGGGAGCAGTGGCTCACACCTGGAATCCCAGCGCTTTGGGAGGCCGAGGTGGGTGGATCACGAGGTCAGGAGATCAAGACCATCCTGGCTAACACGGTGAAACCCCGTCTCTACTAAAAATACAAAAAATTAGCCGGGCGTGGTGGCGGGCGCCTGTAGTCCCAGCTACTTGGGAGGCTGAGGCAGGAGAATGCTGTGAACCCGGGAGGCGGAGCTTGCAGTGAGCCAAGATCACGCTACTGCACTCCAGCCTGGGCGACAGAGCGAGACTCTGTCTCAAAAAAAAAAAAAAAAAAAAAAAAAAAAATAAGGAAGACACATGGAGGGCCTAATTAAACTGACAAAGTCTCAATGCAAGCACTGACACAGAGATAGTGGAATGAAAGAGCCCAGCAGTAAGAAGCAGAATATTTAAGAATCTAAAATATGGCTAAAGATGACTTAAGGAAAAAAGAAAAAGCCACAGCATAGAAAAACACAATGGTAATTGTTGGGAAATTTTAAGAAAAGCAATCAGATTAAATGCTAGGTTTATACCATATATGCAGTAAATGGTAGCTGGACAAAATAGTGAAATGTTAAAAGAAAAAAATGGATAAAATGGAAGCCAGTGTAAAGTGATACTACATTTCTAAAGAGCATACCAAGAGTTTGAATATATTTATGCTTTTTATCCCAGGCCTTCCACCTTTGGAATTTATTATAAGCAATTACAAAAATATATATTCGCCTAGAAATGTTTATGGGAAATGTATTTTTAATAGCATAAAATTGGAATTAGCCTAAATATACAATAATATATCTCATTGAGATTATGCCAGCAGAGGAAAAAATGGGATGATGTAATCTTATGTGACTGAAAGCTGGAACAAAATTTTGTTTATAGTTAGAAATATTTACCTGTGTTAATATAGTCTAGTAAAAATACATAAATTGAGTGACAAGGACTTTCAGTTATGAGTAACTTATTTCTTGTTACTAAATGGCACATATTTGTGATTATGCCGCTTTGTAATTTTTTTCTTTTTTTTTTTTAGAGACAGGGTCGCCCAGGCTGGGGTGCAGTGGTAGGATCACAGCTCACTGTAACCTCCAACTCCTGGGCTCAAGCAACCCTCCCCCACCTCAGCCTCAGCCTGTAGTTAGGACTACAGGCACACACCACCACACTCAGCTAATTTTTTTAATTTTATTTTTCGTATGCAGAGATGAGGTCTTGCTATGTTGCCTGGGCTAGTCTCGAACCCCTTGGCTCAAGAAATTCTGCTCTGGCCTCCAAAAGTGTTGGGATTACAGGCATGAGCCATGCTGCCATGTCCCATATTGTTTATTAATAAAATTTTTTCATATCTCAGAGAAGGAAATCTTTCTACTTTAGCCCTCATTAAACTGAGTTCATCTCACTCTACTGAAACTTAAGATTCCTGTTTCCAACTCAAAAGGTCTTTTCTAGGTTGTCATTCTCCTCTAACTTTCTGGCCCCTGGACATTGTTAATTACCCTCTTTGAGAGCAAGGCAGTCACTCCTCAGGGAAAGCAGAATGTCCCATGCAAAGCCTCCTCCTAACATGATTCTATCCCCCAGCACCAAAATATCACTTCACTTCCTATCATCCAGGGCTGTTTCTTATATACCAACATATTACTCATAAATGAGAGAAATACAAACTCCTCCAGGAGGAAATAAGAGACTTGGTTTAAGGGTTCAGACCCTGTCCCTTAGTCATTAAGAGCAATCACTGAATAGCCAGAAATGTAGGTGGGATAGTCAATCTGGTGAAAGGGGAAGATAAGGCCCCGTGTGGTGGCTCATGCCTGTAATCCCAGCATTTTGGGAGGCTGAGGCAAGAAGACCACTTGAGGCTAGGAGGTGGAGACCTGCCTGGGCAAATAGCGAGACCCTGTCTCTATGAATAAATAAATAAAGCCAGGCATGGTGGCACGTGCCTGTAGTCCCAGCTACTCAGGAGGCTGAGTTGGGAAGATGGCTTCAGCCCAGGAGGCAGAGTTTGCACTGAGCTGAGATTGTGCCACTGCACTCCAGCCTGGGTGATAGAGCCAGACTCTGTCTCAAAAAAAAAGGTGGGGATTTGGGGGAGATGGAGTTTCAGGTGAGGGTCAGTAGAGCTGCTTATTATCAACCCTCAAATCTCAACTATTTGTGAACAGGAGGCACCTCAGAAGCTCCTTGGAATTTCACCACTAATAAATCATTTCTGAACAGGAGTTACATCTTCAACCATGGTGGAACGATGTCTATCCAGTGAGCCAAATTCCTGTAGTTCTCCAATACCTCATCTTGATACACAGCCTTCTGTGCTGGTTTCGATCAACCCCACTCCTTCGAGAAATAAAGGCCACATTCTTGAATGTCAGTAGGCCAAGAAATAAACACAGTTATTCATGAAGAGGTCAGGCATTCACATGTTTTGGGAGGACTTGTGGAGTTAGTTAAGACAAGGGAGATAGTTCATGGATAGGACCATGTTTTTATCCAGTGTTCAGAGCCGTGAGTTAAACAATAACAGATTAGTTAAATTATGGAAAAGCAATACAATGGAATACTATGAGATCAAAAATGTAATTACAAATATGTTCATGATTAATTTCAGGTATGAAAAGCAGTTTACCAGACTGCATGTGGCAGATACTCCTTTCGAAAATTGTAATATAAGGATAGTGAAAAAGAAGGGCAGAGATAAATGAATACAACTAGTTCAGAAAATTATACCCTCAAATTTCAACTGTAATTATCTCTGGATTGTGGAATTGTGAGTAATGTTTGATTTATTCTTTTTATTATAAGTGCTTTCACATTTGTCGACAATCACCATATATTTCCTTCCTTCCTTTCTTTCTTTCTTTCTTTCCTTCCTTCTTTCTTTCTTTCTTTTCTTTCTGGGTCTTGCTTTGTCACCCATGCTGGAGGGGCAGTGGTGCAATCATAAGCCCATAGCTCACTGCAGCCTCAAACTCCTGAGCTCCAGCGATCCTCCCACCTCATCCTCCTGAGCAGCCAGGACTACAGGTGCATGCCACCATGCCTGGCTAAGTTTTTAATTTTTTGTAGAGATGGAGTCTCACTATGTTGACCAGGTTGGTCTCAAACTCCTGATCTCAAGCCATCCTCCTGCCATGGCTTCCCAAAGTGCTGGGATTACAGGCATGAGCCATTGTGCCCCACCCGACAATCACCATTTATTTCTATAGAATTAGGGGTTTTTAAAAAAGTCATTTGTTAAATGGAATTTTTCAACTTAGGAAGAGAAATTTTATTTTACATTCAAAATGTGCATATTTGCATTCAAAACACATAGAAGTGAAATGGCCATTTCATCATTTTCCGGATTTCTCTTTGGCAGATCAAGGATTCTGAGGAAGTAGAGATGGTATGGAAGAAAGATACCCTGAGAGAAGCTGGCTTTGCACCAGCTCGGTCCTCTTCCTTCCTTTCTTGCATAAGCAAACACTCACACATGTACACAGAGAGAGAGAGAGAGAGGAGGATGTTAGAGGGAAACTAGAGCCACTCACCCCTTCCCAGGATCAGAGAACACAGAAAAGATCATTATTTTTGGCAGCTACTCTCTGTTCTTGAACTCACAACACTGTCCTGACTATGAATAAGGTCAGGTTGGATACATTTACAACTGTCTCCTTGAACTATAGGCTCACAAGCTTAAAATTCAACCATTCTTTCTTAAGTTGTTTCTCTTTTTTTTTTTTAAGAGACAGGGTCTCTCTCGCTCTATCGCCCAGGCTGGAGTGAAGTGGCAAGATCATAGCTCACTGCAGCCTAGAACTCTTGGGCTCCAGTGATCCTCCTGCCTGAGACTTCTGAGTAGCTGGGACCACAGGTGCACGCCAGCATGCCTGGATAATTTTTTAATTTTTTTGTGTAGATGGGGGTCTCACTCTGTTGCCTAGGCAACATAGAATTATTGGCCTCAAGCAATTCTCCCGCCTCACCCTCCCAAAGCACGGAGACGACTGGTGTGAACCACTACTCCCAGACTTAAGTTGTCTCTTTTTAGTTTTTTTTTTGAGACGGAGTCTCACTCTGTTGCACAGGCTGGAGCGCAGTGGCATGATCTCGGCTCACTGCAACCTCCGCCTCCCAGGTTCAGGCATCCTTCTGCCTCAGCCTCCACTAGTAGCTGGGATTACAGGCACCCACCTCCATGCCTGGCTAATTTTTGTATTTTTAGTAGAGACGGGGTTTCATCTTGTTGGCCAGGCTGATCTCGAACTCCTGACCTCAGGTGATCCACCCACCTAGGCCTCCCAAAGTGCTGGGATTACAGGCGTGAGCCACCGTGCCCTGCCAAGTTGTCTCTTAATATCAGTAATCAGTAACTAAGGTCTGAGGTTTGCTTTAATTACAGTTTTTCATTTGATCCTCAGCACCAGGCTGCAAGCCCAGCACTAACATTCTTTTTTTTATGAACAAAGAAAACTAAGACAGGCTTTAAGAAACTAGTAAATGGCCGGGCACAGTGGCTCATGCCTGTAATCTCAGCACTTTGGGGGGCCAAGGTGGGCAGATCACTTGAGGTCAGGAGTTCAAGACCAACCTGGGCAACATGGTGAAACCCCATCTCTACTAAAACTACAAAAATTAGCCAGGCGTAGTGGTGCACACTTGCAGTCCCAGCTACTCGGGATACTGAGGCATGAGAATTGCTTGAACCCGGGAGGCAGAGGTTGTGGTGAGCTGAGATTGTGCCACTGCACTCCAGCCTGGGTGACAGAGATCAAAAAAAAAAAAAAAACTAGTAAATGGCTGAGTTGGTATTTGAATCCACGTCTGTCTGACTCTAAAGTGTGTGCAATTCCACCACATCACTGTGTCTACAAGGGAAATGCTGCCTCTGCCCTCTCCTGAAGAATGTATAAAGAAAGAGGCAATGTGGTGTATTTCCTGGAAAAAGCACCTTGGAAGAAAGAAAGCATTAACTTCTTGCCCATGATCATCCTTATCAGAAGCAGCAGTAGTGGCATTATTTTACATTTAGTCCTCCCCAGTAACTCAGTGAGCTATGTGCTACAATTCTCTTTCTTCTTTCTTGTCTTTCTTTTTTTTTTCTTTGAGACAGAGTCTCGCTCTGTCGCCCAGGCTGGAGTGCAGTGGCATGATCTTGGCTCACTGCAAGCTCCGCGATCTCGGCTCACTGCAAGCTCCGCCTCCCAGGTTCACGCCATTCTCCTGCCTCAGCCTCCAGAGTAGCTGGGACTACAGGTGCCCACCACCATGCCCGGCTAATTTTTTGTATTTTTAGTAGAGGCGGGGTTTCACCGTTTTAGCCAGGATGGTCTCGATCTCCTGACCTTGTGATCTGCCTGCCTCGGCCTCCCAAAGGCCTGGGATTACAGGCGTGAGCCACCGTGCCTGGCCTTTTTTTTTTTTTTTTTTTTTTTTTTTTTTTTTTGAGACAGGGTCTTGCTCTGTTCCCCAGGCTGGGAGTGCAGTGGTACGATCATGGCTCACTGCACCCTCTACTCCGGGCTCAAGCAATCTTCCCATCTCAGCCTCCTGAGTAGCTGGGACCACAGGCACACACCACCACTCCCGACTGATTTTTAAATTTTTATTTTTGTAGAGATGGGGTCTCCCTATGTCGCCTAGGCTGATCTCAAACTCCTGGGCTCAAGGGATCCTCCCGTCTTGACCTCCCAAAGAGCTGGGATTACAGACATGAGCCACCACGCCTGGCTCATCCCCACTTTCAAATGTGGAAACCAAGGCACATCTCTGAAGCTGGAGCTCAGGCATTCTGGCTCCTGAGTCCACACTCTTAACTACACTGTAGAGGTCACAAGGTCTGAGAGAAACTGGATCAAACCAAGAGAGAGTAGCTCTGGAGTCTAGACCTGGTTCAAGGACAAACTGTACTACCTTGAATAGGGATGGTTTTCTCATTCAGGACTGGGCATCGCAGGGGCTGGCCAGCATCCAGGACCTCGGAGTCCCAGTCATTCAGAATCATGCTGCCTCAGGATGTCTCAAGTCCAGGGCTCCCCACACTTTCCCATGCCAAAGGTGCCTAACAGCAGAAGAGAATGAACCACCACCCATGGTAGTCTAGTATTTGGCCGAGAGATGTCAACCTATACACAGGAAGCTCCTTGACATCTCACTTTTGCTGACTTTGTCTTCTCCTTCATAATCCACATTTATTTTTACCATAGATATAATGTTTAAAATTAATTACCAGATAAACTCTTAGGCTTCCAGAGCTTAAGGTTCCTTCCAAACCTTCTGGTGAAACGGCTGCTTCACGGAAATGGTGAGAAAATGTTTCACACGTTTTTACACAGTCACACACAAGTGTGTATCTACTTCTCAATGGTCCCAGCCACACACTCAACGACCCGTGCTGAGTCAGAACCAAACACCACACACCGTCACAACAATCACCACACACAGCGATGGTCACATGCCCACTCGGTCACTCACCCACAACCAGAGAGAGAATCACACACAGGCGGCACACCCAACACCACAGCCCTTCAAGCAGCAACCCAGGGAATCAAACACTCACCTGCCTACACATGTATGTATGTCTGTTTTTAATTCTTCTAAGCTAGAGCTGCATCCTCCCGTATACTGTTTATAATGTAAGAAGTAAGCAACCTTGAGTCTTTGTCCTTGTGTCTGGAATGCTCTTCCCCCTCCTTCAACTCTGGATGCAATGTCTCCTTCCATTAGGCTTACCGGGACCGCGTGAGTTAAAACTGTAACCTGTCCCCACCCCCATGTTCTGTATGCTGCTCTATTTCTTTTTCGGTAACGTTAATCACCGTGTCATGTGCTTTATAAAGCAGCCATGCAACACAGAGCAATGTTTCGGTCAATGATGGACCACATTTATAACCATGGTCCTCTAAGATTATAATACTGTATTTTTACTCCACCTTTTTCTGTGGTTAGACACACAAATACTTACCATTGCATTGCAACTGGCTACAGTGTTCAGTACAGTAATGTGCTGCACAGGTTTGTAGCCTAGGAGCAATAGGCTGTACCATACAGCCTAGGTGTGTGGTAGGCTATGCCATCTAGGTTTGTGTAAGTGCACTCTATGGCAGGGGTCCCCAACCCCGGGCCACAGACCAGTACTGGTCCTTGGCCTATTAGGAACCGGGCCACACAGCAGGAGGTGAGCGGCAGGTGAAGAAGCATTACCACCTGAGTTCTGCCTCCAGTCAGATCAGCGGCAGCATTCGATTCTCATAGGAGCATGAACCCTACTGTGAACTGCACACACAGGGATCTAGGTTGCATGCTCCTTATGAGAATCTAATGCCTGATGATCCATCACCGTCTCCCATCATCCCCAGATGGGACCGTTTAGTTGCAGGAAAACAAGTTCAGGGCTCCCACTGATTCTACATTATGGTGAGTTGTATAATTATTTCATTATATATTACAATGTAATAATAGAAATAAAGTGCACCATAAATGTATTGCACTTAAATCATCCTGAAACCATCTCCCCCCAAACTCCAGCGCATGAAAAAATTGTCTTGCATGAAACTGGTTCCTGGTGCCAAAAAAGTTGGGGACCACTGCTCTACAGTGTCCAAACAAGGACAAAATTGCCTAAGGACATGTTTCTCAGAATGTGTCCCTACCCCACCCTCCCACCAACCCTCCCTCTCCCCGCCCCAGCTGCAGCCCTGATCCCTGGCAGGACCAGCTGCTGACCCTGCGTGTGTGTAGCTCCACCTCTGCCTCACTTGGTGAGGGCTGCTTGGGAGTTAGCAGTATCAGAAAGGGCATGGAACTGAGTGTACAGGTGGGAAATTAACTGGGTTCAGGTTACTAACTCAGTGCTGACCAGCCACAGCAAGGTGCTGTATGACTAATTTAGGAATCAGAAAACCCGGATCCTATTACTGGCTCAGCCACTGATTTTTGTTACCATGTTAGCCACTGCCCAATTTTGTAATTTTTGGACAGGAATGTGAGTAAAAGTTTGTGTCCCACTCTGGTTGCACAAGAATTGAGGAATCCCGACAAATTCAGGAGCCATCAGAGGAGGGAGCCCAGTGGAGAAGGGGATCGAGGGGGAGATTGGGGTCTTCGAGGAAGCTAGAAGGACCTGGATTGCTTGCTTATGTCTGGAATGCTCTTGAGGGCAGAATTTGATAACCATCTTCAGATACTTCAACTACTGTCTCACCAAAGCTTCCACTCCTGAACTCTTGTTTCCTTCCAGCCCTCCAGCCCCCATCTGAATTGGGTGTTTGCTGGGCTAGGGGCAGAGGGTGGGAATGGCAGTAGAACCTATATTGTATTTTCATCTGTCCCTGCCTTCGCCCTGCTCAGTACTTGACAAACTGAGAGGAGCGGGGACTCCTCTTAGGAGCCTGCCAGGCACCCTCCCCACCCACTCATCAAGGAAATAAAGGAAAATCTGAGTTCCTTCAAGGGAAATTCCAGGCACCTAGCTAGCCCTGAGAAGTGGGCGAGCAATTTCATAAGCAAGAAGGCAAAAGCAGCCTAAAACAATAACCAAGGAAGTTAGAGTCTCAGAAAGTTTGGTTCCCTTTAGAAACTAAAGATAATATCTTACCATATTTTCCTGAGTTGCTTTCCAGAAACCCAGACCCCCACCAAATGATCTGCTGGCACATAGACCTCAGATAGGGGGAAATGAGGGCTGAACTCTGACCACCGGTTCGCGACCATGGGCCAGAGCTAACATTCTTTTCTGCTAACTCCGAATTTTTAGACAAAGTTTTGCCTCCTTTACCAAATGCAAATCAGAAAATCTTTGTGAATTCACCTGTGACCTGTGCCCCACCCGCCTTGAGATGTCCACCTTTTTAGGTCAAACCAACGTATAGCCTCCATTGTATTAATTTATGGCTTATGACTTTGCTTGTAACCTCTGCCTTTAGAAAGTCTTGCCTGTAAGCTGTTTGGGAGTTCTGGTCTGAAGTATAAACTGCCAGATTCTCCTTCCTTGGCACCCTGCAATAAATGCCTCACTTTCTCTGACTGCAATCCCCATGGCCGTGTTTGGCTTTGCTCCACCGGGTGTGCGGATGCAAATTCAGTTTAGTAACAAAGCCAGAAAAGAACATGCTATTGAACCTGGAAAAAAAATTCCAAGAAAGTATGATGCAGAGAGTTAGATGTCCTGGTCACCCCCTTCTTTTTTTAAAAAGAGATTGGAGATCTCGTTCTGTCATCCAGGCTGGAGTGTGGTGGTGTAATCACAGCTCAATGTGACCTCGAGTTCCTGGGCTCAGTTGATCCTCCCACCTCAGCCTCCCAACGCTCTGGGATTATAGGTATGAGCCACTGTTCCTGGTTAGCTCCCTTTTGATATATGAAGACAAGAGTGTTTTAAAGTAACTTGACCAAAGTCTTCTCATTGAGTAAAGATGGAGCTAACGCTGGTGACCAGCCTTTGGCTCCTAGTCCAGTGAACTGCTAATTCTGTTCTAGATGAGGGGCCAGCATCTTGGCTTTCCCTTAGATGTTCTGGGAGAGTGTGTGAGATCATAGCAATAAATGGCTATGGGCTTATTGGCCAGACTCAACATATCTGCCTCTTACCATTCCCAAAATATACTTGCTCTTAGAAGCCAAATTAATGTATATTCTAATTCATGCATCACCCACAAGAGGGAGCACTGAATACCTTCAGGGTGTCTGCTGAGTGTGCTGCCCACAGCGATGCCGGTGGGTACCAAGAGCTAATGTTAGTGCGGTAGAGTAGCTGGCAGGCTGACAGGGTGGCATGGTTTTCCAGCCACTCCCAAAAACGCTTCTGCATTGGCAACATTGGGTGTGAGTGATTACTGGGCAGTGAGAGGGTGGGGTGGGGTAGAAGCCTAGCAAGAGGCTGGCCCTGCTGATGAGAACACAGCCCATCTAGTCTAGTGCCAGGGAGCTCAAGTGGAGAGAGACTTTGAAGCGGGGGCCTGCTTATGTGGCTTCAGGCTGTGCTTCCCCGCAAGTGAGGCTTCCCACAGGGGCCCCGGGGGACCCTACTCCCCAGCGCACCCAGAGATGGGTCAACTAGTCTTCTGTGCCCACACACCCTTGTGGCTCTCCCTCCCCCATAGTCCTTTGGCCTACTGGCTTTGCACCTTCATGTGGTACCTTGTGCCCCACCTCAACTCTCTCCTGGGTTGCCCTGGGGGAAACCCAGTCCTGCGCAGGTAGAGGAGCCCAAGGCCCATCGTGGCCTTAGGAAATACAATCAAAATAGGAATATAATTCAACCAAGGGGAGGAGGAAGTGGCATCAGAAAAGGCATCACTGCCGGGTGGAATGGCTCACGCCTATAATCCCAGCGTTTTGGGGAGCCGAGGCAGGTGGATCACTTGAGGTCAGGAGTTCGAGACCAGCCTGGCCAACATGGCAAAATCCTGTCTCTACTAAAAATACAAAAATTAGCTGCATGTGGTGGTGTGTGCCTGTAATCCCAACTATTCCAGAGGCTGAGGCATGAGAATCCCCTGAACCCAGGAGGTGGAAGTTGCAGTGAGCCGAGATCGAGGCACTGCATTCCAGCCTGGGTGACAGAGTGAGACTCTGTCTCAAAAAAAAAAAAAAAAAAAAATGGCATCACTGCTGGGTGCAATGGATCATGCCTGTAATCCCAGCAACAGGAGGATCTTTCGAGCCCAGTAGTTCAACGCTAGCATGGCCAACATAGCAAGATCCCTAGGCCCTATTTCAAAAAAAAAAAAAAGTTTATTAGTTAGACGTTTTGGCATGTACCTGTAATCCCAGCTACTTGGGAGGCCGAGGAGAGAGGATTGCTTGAGCTCAGGAGTTCCAGGCTCAGTGAACTATGATGGCATCACTGCACTCTAGCCTGAGCAACCCTATCTCTTAAAATAATAATAATAATGTTTTAAAAGAAAACTAAAAGACATCACTAAAGAAGTCTTTGGGCTGAATGTTGAAGAGGGATTTTGGGAATAAGAGAAGCATTGTAGACTGAGGAGACAGCAAGTGAGAAGATGTGAAGAGCATGGGACCTTCCCAGGCTAGCAGAACCAGCGTGGCTGGAGCAGAGGGCCAGGGGAATGACTGTGAGTGAGCGCGGACAGGGGCCAGGGACTAGACTGTGAAGGGTATTTGTATTAGTCTGTTTTCACGCTGCTGATAAAGCCATACCTGAGACTGGGCAATTTACAAAAGAAAGAGGTTTATTGGACTTACAGTTCCATGCGGCTGGGGAAGCCTCACAATCATGGCGGAAGGTGAAAGGCATGTCTCATATGGCAGCAGACAAGAGAAGAGGGCTTGGGCGGGGAAACTCCCCTTTATTTTATTTATTTATTTATTTATTTATTTATTTAGAGACAATGTCTCCCTCTGGTGTCACCCAGGCTGGAGTGCAGTGGCACAGTCTCAGCTCACTGCAACCTCTGCCTCCCAGGTTCAAGCAATTCTCCCGCCTCAGCCTCCTAAGTAGCTAGGATTACAGGCATGTGCCACCACAGCCTGGCTAATTTTTGGATTTTTAGTAGAGATGGGGTTTCACCACATTGGTCAGGCTGGCCCTTTTTAAATCATCAGATCTGATGAGACTTATTCACTATCACGAGAACAGCACAGGAAAGACCCACCCCCATGATTCAACTACCTCCCACTGGCTTGCTCCTGCAACACATGGGAATTCAAGATGAGATTTGGGTGGAGACACAGCCAAACCATATCATTCTGCCCCTGGCCCCTCCCAAATCTCATGTACTCACATTTCAAAACCAAACATGCCTTCCCAACAGTCCCCCAGGTCTTAACTCATTTCCGCATTAACTCAGAAGTCCACAGTCCAAAATCTCATCTGAGACAAGGCAAGTCCCTTCCACTTATGAGCCTGTAAAATCAAAAGCAGGTTAGTTATTTCCTAGATACTATGGGGGTACAAGCATTGGGTAAATACAGCCATTCCAAATGGGAGAAATTGGCCAAAACAAAGTGGCTACAGGCCCCAGGCAAATCTGAAATCCAGCAGGGCAGTCAAATCTTAGAGCTCCAAAACGATCTCCTTTGACTCCATGTCTCGCATCCAGGTCACACTGATGCAAGAGGTAGGTTCCCATAGTCTTAGGCAGCTCCGCCCCTGTGGCTCTGCAGGGTACAGCCCCCCTCCTGGCTGCCTTCACTGGCTGGTGTTGAGTATCTGAAGCTTTTCCTGGTGCATGGTGCAAGCTGTCAGTGGATCTACCATTCTGGGGTCTGACCCTCTTCTCACAGCTCCACTAGGCAATGTCCCAGTAGGGACTCTATGTGGGGGTTCCTGCCCCACATTTCCCTTCTGCACTGCCCTAGCAGAAATTCTCCATGAGAACCCTGCCCCTGCAGCAAACTTCTGCCTGGGCATCCAGGTGTTTCCATACATCTGAAATGTAGGCAGAGGCTCCCAAACCTCAATTCTTGACTTCTCTGCACTTGCAGGCTCAACACCATGTGGAAGTTGCCAAGGCCTGAGGCTTGTGCCCTCTGAAGCCATGGCCCAAGCTCTACGTTGTCCCCTTTCAGCCCTGGCTGGAGTGGCTGGGATGCAGGGCACCAAGTCCCTAGGCTGCACACAGGAGACCCTGGGACCGGCCCATGAAACCACTTTTTCCTCCTAGGCCTCTGGGCTTGTGATGGGAGGGGCTGCTGTGAAGACCTCTGACATGCCCTGGAGACATTTTCCCCATTGTCTTGGGGATTAACATTTGGCTCCTCATTACTTATGCAAATCTCCATAGCTGGCTTGGATTTTCTTTTCTATCACATTATCAGGCTGCAAATTTTCTGAACTTTCATGTTCTGCTTCCTTTACAGAACTGAATGTCTTTAACAGCACCCAAGTCACCTCTTGAATGCTTTGCTACTTAGAGATTTCTTCCACCAGATACCCTAAATCTTCTCTCTCAAGTTCAAAGTTCCACAAATCTCTAGGGCAGGGGCAAAATGCTACCAGTTTCTTTATTAAAATATAACAAGAGTCACCTTTGCTCCAGTTCCCAACAAGTTCCTCATCTCCATCTGAGACCACCTCAGCCTGGACCTTATTGTTCATATCACTATCAGCATTTTTGCCAAAGCCATTCAACAAATTTCTAGGAACTTCCAAACTTTCCCACATTTTCCTGTCTTCTTCTGAGCCCTCCAAACCGTTCCAACCTCTGTCTGTTACCCAGTTCCAAAGTCACTTCCACATTTTTGGGTAACTTTTCAGCAGCACCCTACTCTACTGGTACAAACTTTTGAGTGCGGACAGGGCCAGGGACTAGACTGTGAAGGGTGTTTGTATTAGCCTGGTTTTACGTCGCTGATAAAGACATACCTGAGACTGGGCAATTTACAAAAGAAAGAGGTTTATTGGACTTACAGTTCCATGTGGCTGGGGAGACCTCACAATCATGGTAGAAGGTGAAAGGCATGTCTCACGTGGTGACAGATGAGAGAAGAGAGCTCGTGCAGGGAAACTCCCCTTTTTAAAACCATCAGATCTGGTGAGACTTATTCACTATCATGAGAACAGCACTGGAAAGACCTTCCTCCATGATTCAACTACCTCCCACTAGTACTCTCCCACAACACATGGGAATTCAATATAATATTTGGGTGGGGACACAGCCAAACCGTATCAGTGTTAGAGCCAAAGTCAGGAGGTAGGAGCTGGGGTCAAGGGAATGGGACCCAGCAGAGGGCTTTACACAAGAGACTTACAGGATCAGCTTGGGGCCTTGAAAAGAGCACGCATGATGGTGGGGAGCTGGATTATTTAGGGAGTCAGCTGTTGGTGGGAAGAGTCACCAGAAAATGGTATTGCACAGTCCTAGTGAGAAAGGTGAATATGAGCCAGGCATGGTGGTGTGGACCTGTGGTCCCAGCTACTCCGGAGGCCAGAGCAGGAGGATCGCTTGAGCCTAGGAGTTAGAGGCCAGCCTGGGCAACATAGGAAGACCCCATCTCTAAAAAAATAATAATAATAACAAAAAAAGTTGGACATGAAGCAAGTTGAGAGTGGAAGGAGGAGTTCCTTCAGAACACGAAAGCCCAGAGAAGCCCAGTGATTGTCTTTAGTTCATACAGCTGGTGGCAGAGCCTGGACTTAAACTTATGTTAACACTAGAAGCAGGTGACCAATCTGCCATCTAGAGATTGCTTTCACATACGTTCCCAACCCCCCCGCCACACACACAGACTATTTTATAGAGGAGGGGAAGTTGAGGACCTGATAGGTCAGTCTCCATTTGTTTGGCAAATTGAAACAGGAAATGGCAGCACCTGAACAGAGGCTAAGCGAGGACAAACCGATTCAGTAAGCATTTGCTGAGCACCCACCACATGCCCTGGACTATGTCTTCAAGGACCTCCAAGTTTGAAAGGGAAGAAAACACATACAGAAAAACTCCAAACAAGGCAGACAGACGTGTGTTAGAATGGGCGATGGACAAAGATCCACGGGAAGACAGAGGAGGGTATGGTTTCAGCTGAAATCGGTGCCACAGCCTTGTGCAATCTAGGGCAGGAGCCTGAATGGTGGAAGGAGGCTTGGAGGAGGGAAAGGGGTTCCATGGATGACACTTGGTGCTGCAGCAGGGCCTGGCCTGGAGCTCAGGTCTTTCTGCCTCTTCTGCTTCTTGGCCCCTCAGGGATACTTGGGCTGGGCCCAGCTGACAGACAGATGCCGGTGCTGAAGCCAGAGTCGCAGCATTCCTGGGTCCTTCACTTGGCACAAGCCTGGAAACAAGTAGACACGACGTGGCCTGCCTGAGGGTGGGGTCAGGGACAGAGGGGCAGGGAGCTGAGGAGTTGGCACTATGGGAAGAGCCACTTTTGTCCAGGTTGCTGGGAGCTTCTGTGGCTCATGGTAGTCCAATAACGATGACTCCAGGTGACCTCTGTCACCATTTTCTATTAGGCAATGTTTCCTGCCCATTCCTGGTTTTAGTGGGCTAAATAATACCCTTGTGTATAAGATTTTTTTTTTTCTTTTTTGAGACAGAGTCTTGCTCTTGTCTCCCAGGCTGGAGTGCAATGGCACAATCTTGGCTTACTGCAACCTCTGCCTCCCAGGCTCAAGCAAGTCACCTGCCTCAGCCTCCTGAATAGCTGGGATTACAGGCATGCGCCACTATGCCTGGCTAATTTCTGTATTTTCAGCAGAGATGGAGTTTCGCCATGTTGGCCAGGCTGGTCTCAAACTCCTGACCTGAAGTGATCCACCCATCTCGGCCTCCCAAAATGTTGGAATTACAGGCATGGGCCACCACGCGCAGCCTGAAATATAAGATTGAAGAGATGGATTCCCTACGGTATTCACACATTTCCTTACCATGGGCTAGTCACTTAAAATGGCCATGCTAATATTTGTTTTATGGAAAAGTGGGGACTATCACATCTGCCTGCAGACTACGGATAAAACAATATTATAAAAATGTATGTTCAAGCCTGGGCAAGATAGTGAGACCTCATCTCTTAAAATAAATAAATAAATAAAAAATAGCAGGATGTGGTGGCGTGCATCTGTAGTCCCAGCTACTCAGGAGGCTGAGATGGGAGGATCACCTGAGCTCAGGAGGTCGAGGCTGCAGTGAGCTATGATCACGCCACTGTACTCCAGCCTGGGTCAGAGTGATACCCTGTCTCTAACAACAACAACAAAAAAATATGTTCATTAGGAGTCTATCCCTGAGCACAGCTAAAATTCTGTAGCACTCGTAGAATTGCTTTGTCAGTTCTACAGGAAATTGAGCCCTAGGTGAGTTGGCAATTGAGAAAAATTCCTGAAAAGAGAGGAAAGACTGAAAGTGGTCTAGTATTTCCTAGACTGCACTTCACTTCACATGACAGTGTGCTGCAAGGTGAAGGGGAAGGGCTAAGGACTCAGGCCAAACTTCAGCTTGTCACTTTCCCTCATTCAACACATATTTAGGACCTATATCATGTTCTGGGAAATTACTAGCTATGTGACTTACGTAGACAACGCTTTTGAACTTTATTTTTCTCATCTGGAAAACTAAAAATAATATGTATGTACCTCATAGGTCTATAGTAAAAATTAAATGAAATGTGTCTGTTGTAAATAATGTATTAGAACATCAGCTCTGTGTCTGAGCAGTGTAGGGCACTTAGGGATCCTGAGTTTTCACCCCTGACTGGTCTCACTTACTTCCTGGCAAGATTGGGCGGCCCTGACCCACTTGGTCTAGCGCACAGGATTGGCACCTGGCTTGTTCTGTCTTCTGTAGAACTCAGCCAGGATTTCAGCACGCCTACCAGCTGAGGTAGAGAACACAATGGAAGCAGAAACAGCTTCTCCCAAGGCTGACCTGGTGCAGTCTGGGCTGGTTAGTCAAGGGGAACAGAAACCACTCAAGTATCTAGTGGTTGATCAAACTCCAGCTGTTTGCCTCAGAGCCTTCCTTTCACCCAGCCTTAACTGCTATTATCTGAGGTCTATTCATACGTCCTGTATGCAGAGGGAATAGGTAAAGATTGGTTGCTCTTTGTCATTGAAGAAACCTGTGCTTCACTTCTCTTATTGAAGGAATCAGCCTTCCCCAGGATTATCTGGGCTCACTGGGCCCTACCGTGCAGGACTTCTTTTGAATGATTGCAGGTATCCTGCCTTTCTCTGGCCCACATGGCTCACAAACTCACCACTAGTCCTCATCACCAGCAGCCATAAGCTGCAACTGACCTGACTCAGCAGAAAAGAAATGAATGTACTAAAAGGATATTGGGAGAGCCAGGGAGCCAGGCCTGAGGCAAAGCTTCCAGGAACCATATCTAAGAAGTGCTGCAGAAGCTGTTGGATGAGAATGCTGCAGCTGCCCCTGAGTTCTTGCTGCTGCTGTTTGTGCACTACTAGGAGCCCACCTCCCCATGACTGCTGTGGTACCCACCACACATGCTGCTGCCACCCCAGGAGCACACAGCTGTCACCCAAGGCACGTCAGATGCATGTGCCACCATGTTCCCTTGAAAAGTGCAAGCCTGTGTATGCTTTTTCCTCACATTTGTTACCTGCAACTCAAAGTCAGGGGCCCTTGACTGGTGAACTCCAGACCACAGGCTCCTAACACAAGTTTTCTAGCTTTCATCTTAGAAAAGCAGGACACCTGTAATCCCAGCATTTTGGGAGGCTGAGGTGGGAAGATCACTTGTGGCCAGGAATTCAAGACCAGCCTGGGCAACATAATGAGACCCCCATCTCTCTAAAAAAAAAAAAAGAAAGAAAGAAAAAAAGAAAGAAAGAAAAAAGAAAGAAAAGAAAAGCAGGGCTCCTAAAGTGGGAAGATTTCCAAGCATTAGACCATGTGTCAGAAATAGACAAAAAATATACAGAAAATGTCCACTTTGTACTCTGGCCCCGGGCTCTCATCATCTTCCCAGTCCCACCTCCTCCCACCTGATGGAGCCAAGCCCCGGGCCCTGTGTTAAGGCTTGGCCTGAGATGTTCTGCATGGGGGCCTGAGCCATGAGAGAAGTGCAAGGAATTCAGATGGGCACTTCTTGACAGTGAGCAACAAGGGGATGCTGTCTGAGCTTGGGAACCCCAGAGGGGGTTAAGGGAAGAGTACCAGGGTGATGATTAGCTAGAGTCATAAAATGGGGAGATCTAGCATGGCCTTGGGGAACATCTAGTGGGCGTCACACATCCAAATGCCTGCAGAGGGGCCAGGCAGGTCAGACAATAGGGGATGATGGGGCCTGTGGGGATGCGCCTTTAGGCATTACATTCAAAGACTTAAGTCTACTGTGCAGAGGTGGTAAGAATGATACAAGTGGTTGTTGTTGGGGGGCTGATTGACTATAAAGGGGCATGAAGAAACTTTCTGCAGGTGATGGAAATGTTCTGTCTGTTGCTTTGGGTGGGGTTACATCTTATATACCTTCATCAAAGAAATAACTTAGATGTGTGCATTTTACCATGAAGTATACCTCAATTTAAAAACTTGGGGCAAATTCATAAAGCAATGTGGATCTGGCTCTCGGGCTAACCATTTGTAAACTTCTGTTGCAATCCGACTTCCAGAGGCGTCCTTGGCTCCTCATCTTGGAAAAGCGCGACTGCGGCGTGGTCTGGCGGGCGGCCGCTCACTGCGCGGTCTCCACGCCTGGCAGGTGGCGCGGGGCAGGCAGCTGTGCCAGCCTAGCATTTCCACCTGCCGGGAGGAGGCGGTCCCCTGGGGCCCGGCCGGCATCTCCCTGGCCTGAAAATGAGCCGGTCACCCCAAACGCCAACTCCGAAAGGAGCGGAAGCGGATGGAACAGCTGGTCCCAGGGAGCGCGGGCCAGGCGCGCAGATAAATCACGGACACACACTGCACGGATAGCTCCAGACTGGCGTTGAGTGCCAAATGCCGACACAGACACGGTCAGGTTCCAGGAAGAGAAATCCGATCCGATGCGCGCTAGGCGGCGGCGGCGGAGCACAGTGAAACCCACCTGAGGGGGAAGGGTTGGGGGGAACCCAATCTTGATGGAGCCCCTCCCCATGCGGGCACTTTGGGCACTTCCTGAAGTCCTACCTGGCCACCCGCCTGCCCGGGGCATCAGGCATCGCCACTTCACTGGGGAGAAAAGCCAGACCGCCGCAGTTCACGGAGCGGTAGGAATTGCGGTGGAATTCCAGGCCGGAGTGTGTGACCCTACGCCCTAGCTCCGTCCTCTCCTCCACCCCGAGGCGAGCAGGTGTCTGCAGGAGTGCCTCCAACCCCATTGCAAAGCGGACGTGGCCCTCGTCTCGATGTCGGCGCTGCTCGCCGAGAGGGACCCCGGGGTGGTGTTGGGCGCGCGGGGCGGGGACGGGGACGCGCTGCGGCCAAGTCCCCGGGCCCTGCGACCCGCAGGGACCTTCTGGACGCACGGAGCCCGGCCCTCCAGCCGGCGCCCGCCCTGATTGGCGCCCGAGGCCGGCCTCCCGCCGGCTCACCTGCCACTCCCAGCCAATCGGGGCCACCAGAATTGGGGCTGTCGCCGGGGGGGTGGGTGGCTAGGGCGGGAGGGGAGGAGATGCTGCCGGCCCGAGGCTGAGCCACCCTCCCCGCGGAGTTCCCGCCCGGCCCTCTGCAATCCGGAGCCCAAGCCGCCGGCTACGCGCCCTGCGCCCCCTTGGTGCCGCGTCCAGTGCCCAGCGCGCTTTGATGCTGCAGCTCCGGGCCGGGCCGCTCTGCTTCTCTGCTCGCTGGGACGCTCTCCGACGGCTCCGCCCTCGCCTCTCGCCCCGAGTCCCTGCTGACCCCGGGGAGGTGGGGTCCGGGCCGGGCACAGCCCCGCTGAGGCAGGATGTTCACGTCCAAGTCCAACTCGGTGTCGCCCTCGCCGTCCCTGGAGCAGGCTGACTCGGACGCCCTGGATATCAGCACCAAAGTGCAGCTCTACGGCGTGCTGTGGAAGAGGCCTTTCGGCAGGCCGTCGGCCAAGTGGTCCCGGCGGTGAGTGCGCCCCCGCGCCCCAAGGAGACCGCCGGGGAGAGAGCCTGGGCGTCGTTACCCCTCCCACCCCCTCCAGTCGCCGTCGTGCCTCTGCTTTCCTGTGTGACCTTGGCGTCACCCCTTTTCACTCTACACTGGCTCCCGCAGGAAAATGTGGACCATAGTCTGGGCCGGGAGAATGGAGATGGGGCCCCTGCCCTGGGGCGGTGGCAAATTCTCTATGGAATGAACCTGACCCTCGAGTGGGAATGTTGGGTGTGGGCAGAAGAGACCGTGGTCGGGGTGGGATCCCAGCTAGGTCAGATCAGGCCAGACTGAGGGGAGGCAGAAACTCCATCTCTAGCCAAAGATGCCCCCAACCCCGGGACCCCCACTGTCAATTCCATCGTCTTCACAACCCCTGACCCAGGCCGCGAGGACCGGGCCTGAGTGTCTCCCTCCCGCCAACCACCCACCCTTAAGACGGAGAGGGACCTGGCCCTTCTGAAAGGCTCAGGCTAAGGAGGGAGGAAGGGCCAGGAAGGGTGCTTGTCCATGGGGAAGTGACCTTGGCAACCCCTCCAACTGTCCCTTGAAATAATTTTTTTAAAAGTGAGCACAGGGAAGAGAGATTCTAGTGCTTCAGACGGAGGAGCTGGAAAGGAGGGAGGCAGCTGGAGTGAAGGAGGGGATAGATTGGTTCTGCCAAGGATTGATCCTCTGAAAGGGGTGGTGGAGAGAGACAGGGTAGTCCCAACCATCCTTCAGCCCCAGCTGCCTGGTCCCCAACTCAGACGCGACTCCGCGGACATCGGTAGCCACTCTCCACTTACAAATTAGCCTGGGAGGTATTGAGGGAAGAGGGAGTTCACAGCCCTGGACTTGCAGGAAGCTCCCAACTGGCTGCAGGTGCTGTGGGCCATTTTCTGGACAGTTTCCACTCTCCAGTCAATTTCAGTTCTGAGATTCACTACTGGTATGGCCTGGAGAATGCAGACCCTGTCCAGCCCTTCCGCGGAGGTGTGACCCTTCCAGGAAACCAGGGGTATCCAGATGCCCCTTCCCCATCCCACACTCTATGAGTCTGCCCCTGAGCAGAGGGGGCCTCCAATGTTCCCAGGACCACAGATCATGTGGATGTGGTAGTGGTGGGTGCTGATGTTCTGTTCTGATGAATAATTTAATGTTTCTATAAGACCGCAGAACAAATGGAGCTGTGGACAGTAGCTCACATTTTATATCTCTGGTTTCATGTTGTTTTGTTGCTTCTGACAGGTTTCTCTCTGGGATTTAATGGGATACAGGCTTCTTGAGTTCCTCCAAAGTTCAGCTTATCTCTGACCCCCTAAATGAAGGCTTGGAGCAACATGGAGTGTATTTGGGGAGCTTCCAGTATTGTGCTATGTGAGCTACAGCCCCCAGGGCCAGGAGAGCTGGGGTGGAAAGGCTGTGTGTAGATTCAAGCACAATTAGCAGAATATCTCCCCCCACCACCCATCTTTCTTCTGCCTCAGCAGCTCCAGATAGTTAATCTTTCTTTTCTATTGGGTCTGGCTGCTGTTCTGGGTCCTGTCAACCAAGACTTCTCTTGCCAGACATTTTCACCTGACAGCATCCCTAGAAAATGCTAGGTGCTTGTGACCCCCAGGGTATGTCCCCTGGTCCTCCCCTTCACCACTGCAGGTACATTGGGAAACTGGTCTCTGCACCTACAGTTGATTCCAGGGCTAGGAAGTGTCAGGAGTACAGGGCATAGGCCCCCAGCTAAAAGCACAATGGTAGTGCCAAGGAGGCTTGGAGAGGTTTAGTGTCCCCCACCCAGAGACTCCATCTTCTCCTCCATCCACTACCGTGGCCCCCAAAGCCACCCGAAACGATGCAATCAGAGTCTGAGCAGTATGTATGCTCTGCTAATACAGCTAAAAGTCAAGTCCTTTAGCCTCCTTCCAAGGAGATTGTTACCTGGGTTCCCTTCCTTTGTAGGAATTTCAGAGCTGCCACTGTGCAAAGACTACCTGGGGCTCAAGAAAGAACTAACATCCCACCTGCCCATTCTAGGCCTCTGTGTTCTCAGTTCTGGGAATACACAACACACACACACACACACACACACACACACACACACACACACGCTATTTAGTCTTGGGTCAGTGACAGAGCCAGCCAGAGAGGGCCTGGGTGTGGGGGAGAAAGATGCTCAGCTCAGCCCCCTCTCACTTCCCATCAGGGCCCCCTGGGCCCCAGCTTCCCATTTGTAAAGTAGAGTCTGTGGGCTCAGCTAATTAGCAGCCACAGGAAGACTTGGGGACAGAGCAGCTGAGGGCCGCCACCGCAGAGCCTTGCCATTAGGGCGATCAATGCCCTGGCTGGAGCAGTTAAGGGGAGGGGGCCTGAAAAGTCTCAGCACTGCATTAGTAAAGAATAAGCTGGAGAGAACTGGCTGTGGCCAGCTGGGTTCTATAAAACCTTTTCCACTCAGGGTCTGTCTTAGGACCTGTGCCTCCAGCTTCCACCGCCCAAGCAGCCCTGCCTGCCTGGGGTGGGAAGGTGCCCTTGAGCTGAAGGGTCAACTTATTTCCTGGGGGCAACAAAAGGGGAAGGGAATCAAAAGCATTAATTAGCAGAGATCAGATAATCTGGGAGAGATGTCTAGAAGGGAAGGCTGTTGACTGTGTCCTCATCTTGGTCTGTGAGTGGAGATGGAAGTGCAAAGACCTGGGCAGTGCCAGGACAAAGAGGAAGGGGGTGGGAAATCTCAGCCTCAGCCAGTGTCATGCTGTGAGGGCTTGGCCTAGACTAATTCTTTCCTGAGATTGAATGCTTTTTCCAGCATTCTATTCCACCTCCCAAATCCCTGCTGAACACTTCCCAAGGCCGGAACCCCTAAGGAGGAGGACCCACCCACTTCCTTCCTGCAACAGGAGCATCTATAATCCTCCTCACCCCTTCTCCTCCCCAGGGGCAGGGTAGCCAGTAGGGCCTGAACCGAGCTCCGCAGTTTACTCTTGCAGAGCATCGGTGGGTCCCTGACTTAGGGAGCTAAGATTCATTGTGTCCACCTGGTGCCAGTGGAGCCATGGAGACAGTGGCCATGTGTCCTAAATCTCAGGCCACAACCTGTACAGTGTGTAAAGATTATCTGTGCAGATGAGGGTCACCATGCCAAAAAGACTAGAGGAGACTTTCTTCCCACAGGGATTTGGAGCCCAGGGTTTTGACTTTGGTGCTCAGCACTGCTTCCCAGAGGTGACACCAATGCCGAGCTTTCCCAGAGCAGAGAGAAGAGCCTATCATGTCAGCTTCACGGCACTAGGCTCAGCCTCACCCTGGTGACCCTGGGGTTTGGTCTCACTTTCTGGCACCCCTGGCATTTCCCTCAGCTGGCTGTGTGAGGTATCCCACAAGCAGAATTGTAACATTTCCTCTGTGGAGGGTGCCTGAAGGACCCCCTTTAAAAAATAAACTTCTATTCTTCAAACTTCTACCAGAGTGGCAACATAGGGTGTGGGGAACAGTGACCAGGTGGCAGTTGAGGGGCAGGGATCTTCTGCTAATGTGTGTGGGAAGTTGGGGAGGGGACAGAGCAGAGGAGCTCTTTCAGCATTGATAAAGAAGAAGGACTTGGGGAACAGTGTCTCTGCCTCCAGAAAAAAAAGTGACCAAATTACTTTATTCTGAAGATTTCATAGTGTTTTTCACTCTCTGGCTCCTTGTTCCAGAGCTGTTCTCCCAAGCTCACGATAGGAAACTGAGGCACAGAGGCAGGGGGAAGGTGCCTTTTCTGAGTCTCCTCAGATTCCTCTACCCATCACCCTCTTCCCTTTCTGTGCTGGTAGCATCCAGGTTACAGTGAATCCTTGGGTTAGGGAGATGGGCACACTCTCTGGATCACCCAGCCATAAATGAAATGATACACATCAGGTCACTGGGGTCGTATGATTATTTACCCAGACCAGGTCTGCCAAAGTTAAGTGAGTTAATTGTGCAAACAGGTGGCATTTCTTTCTCACCCACTCCCTGAGGAGCTGCCCTCCATGGCTGTTGATGTCCTATTTGAAAATGAGTCTCACCTGTGTATGGGTCAGACCTCCAGCTTGCAGAGAGTTCAGCTTCCTTGTACCCAAGACTTAAAAATAACAAAGTAATTGCTTCTGAGAGCAGCTGTGGGTATGGTAGAAAGTGAATCTAAGGCCGGGTGTGGTGGCTGGTAATTCCAGCACTTTGGGAGTCCAAGGTGGGTGGATCACTTGAGGTCAGGAGTTGGAGACCAGCCTGGCCAACATGGCAAAACCCTGTCTCTACTAAAAATACAAAGATTAGCCAGGCATGGTGGTGGGTGCCTGTAATCCCAGCTACTCAGGAGGTTGAGGCAGGAGAATCGCTCGAACCTAGGAGGTGGAGGTTGCAATGAGCAGAGATTGAGCCACTGCACTCCAGCCTGAGGGACAGAGTGATACTCCATCTCAAAAAAAAAAAAAAAAAAAAAAAGGAAAAAAAAAGAAAGTGAATCTAAGCTTAGAGGCAGGTGCTCCAAGTTCCAGCCCCAGCTCTGCCAGTAACCAGCTGCATGATCCAGGCTGTGGCATTTCACCCCACTGGCCAGCAGTGTCTCATCTATAGAGTGGGAATGGGATGGGTCAAACTGTGTGCCACAAATGACCCCAGAGGTGCCTTGAGTCTACCACAAGGGAATGGGGAACAGGGGTACAGCTCCAAGACTCCCCACCCACTTCAAGCAATACCTCTGCACTGTTATATATATTTTTTGTTTGTTTGTTTGTTTGTTTGTTTGAGAGAGAGTCTCCTTCTGTCACCAAGGCTGGAGTACAGTGTCGTGATCTTGGCTCACTGCAACCTCTGCCTCCCAGGTTCAAGGAATTCTCATACCTCAGCCTCCCGATTAGCTGGGATCACAGGCATGTACCACCATGCCCGGCTAATTTTTGTATTTTTGAGTAGAGATGGGGTTTCGCCATGTTGGCTAGGCTGTTCTCAAACTCCTGACCTCAGGTGATCTGCCCGCCTCGGCCTCCCAAAGTGCTGGGTTTACAGGCATGAGCCCCCTGTTATATGTTTTACACCAGCAGTCCCCAACGTTTTTGGCACCAGGTGCCATGACTGGTTTCATGGAAGACAATTTTTCCAAGGACAGGGGTGGGTGTGGGGGTGGTTTCATCAGGCATTAGATTCTCATAATGACTGTGCAACCTAGATCCCTTGCCATGCACAATTTACAAAAGGGTTGGTGCTCCTATGAGAATCTAATGCCGCCGCTGATCTGACAGGAGGCGGAGCTCAGGCGGTAATGCCAGCCACGGGGAGAAGCTGTAAAAACAGATGAAGCTTCACCTGCTCATCTCCTGCTGTGTGGCCCAGTTCCTAACAGGCCATGGACTGGTACTGGTCCAGGGCCCAGGGGTTGAAGACTCCTGTTTTACACATTACGGTTGTCTTACTGTTGTTGGAATACTTGTTCCAGGGGGACTAAGTTTTTTGAGCCCCCTTGGACTTGATAATCTCTCTGAACTCTAATGTGTCATGACTCATGCATTTCACAGATAGAATTCCTGCTGTTCTGCCATCTTAGACTGGATGCCAGATGAGAAGCACAGGCCAGGATGAGCATTTCCTGAGCACACCAGGCCATCCAGAATGGACACAAGGGACACACACTGGGGCTGTGTCATTTCTACCTTCCTTCTGCCAGTTCTGAAAAGGACACTTCTGAGGGCAGTCCTTCTCCAGTTCCACCCCCTACATAGCCATTCTCAGTATCCAGGAGGCTCGGAGAGGAGGGAGACTGGCTGCTGGGCCTATTCTGGAAGTTTGTGCCCGGGGAAGAGGGAGAAGCCAGGCTGGATGTTCGCCTTCCTGGAAAATGTAACTCATGTGTAACTCACACATCCACTAGGCTCTTGCTGCTCTCTTGAGAGTGAGATAAATTTGGTCCCAAGACCAAATCCCATATCTAAAGGAAGTCTAAAATCTGTACCAAGGTTTCTGTTAATCTCTAAGAGGCTGTAAACTAGTTTCTTGGTTGATGGATTAATTTGCTGACCAATGTACACGGTCCTTGTTGCACAACCAGAGGTGGAACTCAGCTTTTATTCCTCAGTTTTCCAGCCTTCCACACTGCTGCATAAACACAGCAGGTATTTATGAGTCTAGCAGCCTATCCTGAAGGGAAGCTGTGGCAAAGAGGAGGGCAGAGGAGGTATTTAAATTACAGAATTGCAAACATCTTCAAATTGAGCGTTAGGTCTCTGGTAGGCACCCCACCTCGCTGTCACCAGAGATGGTGACATCACTCTCTCTCTGGACTCTTGGATCCTCCCAGGATCCTCTCTCCTCTGCACTCTGCCATCACTCCTCCTCCCTATTGTCCTACAGGATTTTCCCCAAATTCAAATTTCTTTCACTCTGTTAAGCAAAGCCCTTTCTAGCTCCTACTCCTAAACTCAGTGGCATTCGCATCTCCAAACATTAGGGAGCTCACCTGAGTGGACAGAGACTGGATAGGCCTTTGTTTAACAGGACCTGCCCAACATAGAAGATACCTGTGGTTCTAGATAACATTTTCCTTGGCTCCAGATGGGCTTATCATGAGGCAGTGGTGACCATCAAGCTCTGGTTGAGCCCTTGTTGCATTCAGAGCACTGGGGAGGGGGGCAGAAGATGGGGACAAAGCTAAAGCTTGAGAAAACCCTTCTTGGATTCCCTAATTCATATTGGATGGCACCTGTGCCACTCTGTGACCCAAGCTAGAGTCCTGGTCATCGTGTCATCCCAGTTCCTGCTCACTCTGCCCTTGTTTAACATTTCGATGAGCCTTGCTGATTTGTACCTCCCAATAAATTTAATTTTCCCTTTGCCTGGTTGTGGACTTCCCTATGGCTAAAACTACAATATGACCTTATAAGTGCCCTGTTTGAAACTTGCTGGCAGCTCCCCTTGTCTGCAGGAAGAAGTCCAGCGTCTTCACAAGGACTACTCACTCTGCCCCGCTCTGTCCCTGCTCTCTGACCTTAACTCACTCCTTACCGCACCTCCCCTGCACCACTGCCCACCCTTTGCACTTTCTGCCAATAATACCAGAGATATTTTTATAACTTTGAACACACTATTCTTTGCCTATGCTGTTCCCTCTGTCTGGAATGGATCTCTCCCACTTCCATTTCCTTCCAAATTCCCAAGATACTCCTATTCATTCTTCAAAGCCCTGCTTAGTTGTCACATCTTGGGGAGCTCCCTTGGCTGGACCCCTAAACCATTGATTCCTCCCGGTCTTCACTCTTCCTATACCTAATATAAACTTACAATGTTGCAATATATTGTGGCACATTACAATGTTGCAGTCTACTCTCCTGGTGTGTTGTAAAGTTACAGTGTACTGTGGTATGCTACGATGTTGCAGAGTACTTCCCTGGTATGTTACAAAGTTAAAGCCTACCCTGGAGCTTTACAATGTTGCGGTGTATCCTCTTGATGCTTTACAACTATCCTAGCTCCCCCATTCCCAGCTATGTGATCTGGGGCATTATTTAATTTTTCTATGCCCCAGTTTCCTCACCTACCTCATGTGAGGAGTTGAATGAGTTAGCACAATGCTGTTACTAGAACAGTGTTTAGCACCTAGCACAAAGGAGGAGCTTGATAAACATTAGGTGTTTTGTTTTTGTTTTTTAGGGTCTTTTGAGACAGGGTCTGGCTTTGTGGCCCAGGCTGGAGGGTAGTGGCATGATCACAGCTCACTGTAGCGTCGACCTCCTGGTCTCAAGCAATACTTCTACCTCAGCCTCCCAAGTAGCTAGGACCACAGGCACGAGCTACCATACCCAGCTAATTTTTTAATTTTCTGTTGAGACAGTCTCCCTGTGTTGCCCAGGCTGGTATGGACTCCGGGGTTGAAATGATCCTTCTGCCTTGGTCCCACAAAGTACTGGGATTACAGGCGTGAGCCACCACACCCGGCCAATATTAGCTATTTTTAAAAGTATGTTGGTTTCTACACTCTTTCTCCTGCTTTTGATTATCAGCTCCCTGAGGTCAGCAAATCATCAAGCTCCAGGGCCCAGCATAGTAGCTTGGTGTACCAGGGGAATCAGTCATGCTCTCTGACCTGAGCTGACCAGCAGCTTGCAGTCACTCTGCAGAGATAGCAGAGATAAGCTCTAGGAAGAGAAACAATTCCAGTCACATGTAATGAGGAGGACCAGGCATCACAGAGCACAGCAGGTGAGAACTTGGGCTTTGTCAGCAGAAATAACCGTGTTCTGAGTTTGCCACTTACTAGTCGCTTAATCTCTATGCCTCAGTTTCCTCTCTAGTGAAATAGTTTCCTATTTCACTAGAGAAACCTCTGTGCCTCAGTTTCCTCACTAGTGAAATAGAAAAAACAAGCACGTTCACAACTATCCTAGCTCCGCCATTCTGAGTTGTGTGATCTGGGACATATTATTTAACTTCTCTTAGAGTTGTTATGAGAAATTTAAATAAGATAAAGTCAATAAAACACTTAGCATCAGGGCCTTTGCACCTGCAGCTCCTCTGCCAGAAACACCTTACCTCTCCTCAAAGATTACCTTCTTAACTCGGCTCTCCCTGGCCACTCTCTTAGCAAGGTGAGTGTCCTGGCACCCTGCGAATGCTCTTTAATCTGGAAATGAAAATACTATTCTTTATGATGGGAGAGAGAGACAGCCAGCGTTGACACAAGCCCCATACCTCACCCAATGCTCCGGGCTTCACCCCAACACATGGGGACAGAAAAGGGCCAGAGCTGATGGGCAAAGCTTCTCCCAGGATTGATGTTGGGTCTGGAAGGAGGGATGGGCTTCACACGGGGGGCAGGGGGAAGCAGCATATGCAGGGATAAGCCATGTGTTGGGAGGTCAGGGAGCTGGCCAGCTGGGCTGGAGCCAAGAGCTCCCTCCAGTAGCAGCCTTGTGAGCACAAATGGAAAAGGAGGTCAGGGGAGAGTGCAGCTTATTATTACTGAGTCTGAACCCAATCATAATAAATAATAATTTTAATCATAAAAGTAATCATTTATTAAATATTTACCACCATGTTCTAAGTCTTTAGGGGAACATTATCCTGACAGCTCTATGAGATATAGTTATTATTATTATATAGGTATTATTATTATTATCCTCAAGTTGCACGGTGGGGACCTACCTACCTTAGGTAACTTGCCCCAGTCACATTGCCAGTCAGTGGCAGAGCTCTAACATTGGCTACCCCAACCCTGAAACTTACAGCCTCTGGCCCATCTGTTTCCTGGTCAGGAGCTGGATGGAGCAGCTCCTTAGGCAGTGGCTGTGGGAAGTAGGTGTAGGGACTATTGACCATGGGTTCCAATCCCAGTTCCACCTCTGCCCTAGGAGTATGGCTTTGCATACACTGTTTTGCCTCTAAGCCTCAGTTTCCTCATCTGTGAAATGAGAATAAAATGCCCAACCGTCCACAATTGTGACGTGGATCAAATACATGTGGAACCCTTAGCACAGAAGCCAATGCATGAGAACAGCTGCAGAAAGGGCAGCCATCTCTCGCCCTTGGGCCGTCTCTAGCCAGACCAACTGCGCAGGGCCTGGGAAGACGTGGCCCCTGGCTTGCAGTCAGAATGAGAGTGTCAGGGAACAAGGGGACTTTGGAATAGGGTGGGAAGAGGAAGTGTACCTCTGTGCAGGGCACTGGTGTTCTGAGCCCCTGCCTGTTGAGAAGATGCTGAGAAGGGGCAGCTAAAATAGCAGGGCTGTCACTGAGACAGGTTTATAAGCAAGGCCAGATCTTTGGGTCCTAGAAATTTGCTTGCCAGGTGAGCCCTCCGTTGGGCCGAACTCATTCCTGCCTGCCAGGCCATCGTCCTCCTCCTCCAGGTCCATGCTAGCTCCCCTCCCTTGACCCCCATCTCCACCCAAGCCATTCTGGGGACAGCTGCAGCCAGGCCGGGTGTGGCATGTGTGATGTGTGGGCCCTTCACAATCCCTACTGAACTCTGGCCCTCACAGAGCAAAGACTACCCTGAACATCCACCTTCCTTCCCCTGCCCCTCTTTATGCTGTCCTTCAGAAGCACGAGGAGAAGAAGGGATATGACATTAGGGAACACTTTCTGTGTGCCAGGCAAGTGCTGAGGACTTTACATGCCTCCATCCACTGGATCCTCTCTTGCCCCCTAACGATATGTGGCAACATCCCCTAATGAATCTCCCTGCCTTTACCCTGACAATCTGCCCTCAACACAGCAGGGTCGAGACTTTTGCAATGTAAGCCAGGTCACTCCTGCTCAAAGCCTTCCAGTGGCTGTCTCTCTTACTCAGAGAAAAAGCCAGCCTCTACCAACTAGTGCTGTGACCTTCAGCAAGTCATGCCTCCTCTCTGCTTCATTTCTGACCATGTAAAATGCAGGGAGCATTTCTCTCATAGCATCATTGTGAGTGGTGTTAAGTGCATTAATAGCAGTAACTGCTTGGAATGAGGTGTGGTATGTGGAAAGTACTCTATAAATGTTAGCTTGATCATTATTGTCATTACCATGGCCATAGAGCCCTATGCAATCTGGCCCAACTGCCGCAGCCTTGCAGTTCCCTCGAGAGCTAGGCACACTTCCTGCCTCAGGGCCTTTGCACCTGCAGCTTCTCTGCTGGAAACACCTTACCTCTCCTCAAAGATTACCTTCTTAACTAGGCTGTCCCTGCCCACCCTCTTTGACATGGACCCATGCCCACTCCCAATTCCCCCTAACCTGCTTTATTTTCCTCCATAGCATATGTCAGCATCTGGCACATGACATCTCTATGTCTCATTTATTCGTCATCCGACACCCACTACATGCAAGTAGTGTAAGCTCTAAGGAGACAGGGATTTTTGTCTGTCTTGTTCACAACTGTATCTCCAACACCTAGAGCAGTGCTTGGCACACAGTGGCAACTCAGTAATTGCTGAATCAATGGAGGAATCTTTATAACAGCCCTAAGAGACAGTTATTTGTACCCGCATTTTATAGAGGAAGAAAGGGAGGCTTAGTAAGGCTGGGAGTTTGCCTGAGGCTGCAGCTTGAAGGATGGGGGTTGGTGGACCCCAGAGCCCTGTGCTCTCCTTGCCATGTGTCTAATGATCTTCTGCCCACCCACTTCCCAGCCCTGGCACAGTGCTTTTCCTTAAGTGGGTGGGGCTCCAGAAGTGACAGGAAGGCATAAAGGTATTTATTTGTTTCAGTCAGCTTGGGCTACTATAACAAAATGCCATAGACTGGGTGGCTTAAACCCTGGAAGTGTATTTGGTCACAGTTCTGCAGGCTGAGAGTCTGAGATCAAGTTGCCCACATGGTCAGGTTCTGATGAGGGCACCTGTTCCTGGCTTGCAGATGGCCACCTTCTCAATATGTCCCCACACGGTGGAGGAAGAGGAAAAAGAGGGTGAAAGAGGTTTGATTTATTTATTTTTGCAACAGGGTCTTGATCTGTCACCCAGGCTGGAGGCCACCCTGGAGTGCAGTGGTGGTGTGATCACGGCTCACTGCAGCTTTGAACTCCTGGACTCAAGTGATCCTCTCACTCAGCCTCCTGGCTAGAACTACAGGCATGTACCACCATGCCCAGCTAATTTTTTTTTTTTTTTTTTTTTTAATGTAGAGACAAGGCCTTGCTATGTTGCCCAGGCTGGTCTTGAACTCCTGGGCTCAAGTAATCCCCCTGCTTCAGCCTTCCAAACTGTCATGATTACAGATATGAGCCACTGTACCCAGCCAGGAAAGAGAGCTCTTCTTATAAGGCCACAGTCCTATTGGATTAGGGCCCTACCCTTAAGACCTTCCTTAACATTAATTACCTCCTAAAGACCTTATCTCCAAATACAGTCACATGTGGGGTTAGGGCTTGAACATATGAACGTTGAGGAGACATATTGAGTCCATAGTAGCATTTCCAAAGCCATTGAGAGGAGATGGTGGCCCTGGAGACAGTCGTGTGCTGCTTACTGCAGTGACTGTATTCAGACCATGGAATGCATCACTCAGCGCTGTCCTGAGTCCTCCGCAGATTGGTGGGGTGATGAGCGCAATCTCATTTGACCCTCAAAATAACCGCATAAGGTAGTTGTTATTATCCCCATTCTATCGATAGAGAAACTAAGGCTCAGAAAGGAAAGCTGACTTGCCGAAGGACCCCCAACCCCAGCCGGAAAATGTCAGGTCTCTCTGATGCCAAAGCCTATATGCTCTTAACTACTCTATGAAATTCCCTTGGAACAGCCAGGGGACACCTACCTGGGCCCATGGGACTGAAGTGGGATGGACTTGCCCTCCAGGAGCCTGATGCCCCATTGGGGCAAGATGCATACATGGGATGTGGCAGTGGGCCTAAGTGCCAAGTGCAGGCTCTGCTAGCAAGTGCAGAAGGAGCCCAGAAATCAGTGTGGCCTGGGTGGGTCACCAAGGGTGGGAAGGGTCCCGCTGGCTGAAGAGAAAGAGGGAGGGCATTCCAGGCCAAGCCACACAAACTCCATGTGCAGGACCACGCAAGTGTAGCAGGCAGGGGACAGTGAGCTCGGCAGTTGACTGGAGGACAGAGAGGCTGAAGGGCAGACATGGCAGGAAAGCTGAGAGGTGGGAAGAGGTCAGGTGCTGGCAGGCCTGGAATGTCACTGAGGTTCTGCAGCAGGTGGTATTCATGTGCTGTTTCCGCAGTGGGGGCAGAAAGGCCTAGGACGAGCATTGGCTTTAGTAGGGTATCAACCCTGAGCAGGGGCCACAGGGCTGTGTTTGTTATGTGGCCGGTCAGAGAGGGTAGGTTCAGGTAAAGAAAATGGGGCTGAGTACAGTGGCTCAGCCTGTAATCCCAGCACTTTGAGAGGCCGAGGCAGGAGGGTCACTTGAGGCCAAGAGTTCGAGGCCAGCCTGGGCAACATAGCAAGACCCTGTTTCTATTTTATTTTGTTTTATTTTATTTTATTTTATTTTATTTATTTTATTTTATTTTATTTTATTTTATTTTATTTTATTTTATTTTAGAGAGTCTTGCTCTGTCACTCAGGTTGGAGTGCAATGATGTTATCTCTGCTCACTGCAACCTCCTGGGTTCAAGCGATTCTCCTGCCACAGCCTCCTGAGTAACTGGGATTACAGGCCTGAGCCACCACACCTGGCTGATTTTTGTATTTTTAGTAGAGACAGAGTTTTACCATTTTCACCAGGCTTGTCTCAAACTCCTGACTTCAAGTGATCTACCTGCCTCAGCCTCCCAAAGTGCTGGGATTACAGGTGTGAGCCATCGCACCCAGCCTTCTATTTTTGAAAAAGAAAAGAAAATGGGTTGACATGAGGCTCACACCACAGCACAGAGCTGAGCTTCACTTTCCTCAGATGGCAGCTGCCAGTAGTCCCAGGCCTGCCTCCGCATAGCAGCTGTGGCCTTAGGAAAGATCATGTGGCTGGTAGGACCTTCAGAGATTCACTGACTTCGTCATGCTCACCAGCAAGGTTTCTTTTTGTTTTCTCTTCTCTTCTCTTCTCTTCTCTTCTCTTCTCTTCTCTTCTCTTCTCTTCTCTTCTCTTCTCTTCTCTTCTTTGAGATGGAGTCTCACTCGTGTTGCCCAGGCTGGAGTGCAGTGGCGTGATCTTGGCTCACTGCAACCTCTGCATCCTGGGTTCAAGTGATTCTCATGCCTCAGCCTCCTGAGTAGCTGGGATTACAGGTGTGCGCCACCACACCCAGCTAATTTCTGTATTTTTAGTAGAGATGGGGTTTCACCATATTGGCCAGGCTGGTCTCGATCTCCCGACCTCAAGTGATCCGCCCGCCTCAGCCTCCCAAAATGCTGGGATTGATTACAGGTGTGAGCCACAGAACCCAGCCTCACTGGCAAGTTTTCAAGCCCCTCACAAGAGGGCCCATTCGACCAGTGGCGTGCTGGCAAATGCTTACACTAGGCTCTTGGGGGAGGGAGCTGAGGCAATTCTGTAGGATTGGACTTGCATGGTGCAAATACTCCCATCACAGCCACTATTGAGCTACCAACACCATGTGACCAAATGCAGAGCAGGGAAGAGATTGACATTGTGGGCTCTTATGAGCCCATCTGAGCTGGCTCCAACTCTCCCTGCATGTAAACTTTAAACTCTCATACGTGCACACACACACACACACACACACACACACACACACACACACTCACACCAGCTTTCAGAATCGCCACCACATTCTGCTCACACCCCGTCACTACAACAGCACTTATTAGCAGGGGCCCTGGAGGAAGGAGCCAGCCACTCTGGGTGTCCCTGAATCTCTGGGCTTTGAGCGCCAATCGGACCTTCCCCTAGAGGGTGCTTGGTGGCTCATCATAGCTCCAAACATGAGTCCTGGGAGAGCCCCTGGGGCAGGTCCAAATGCTCCACATGTTGACCTCAAGGACGTGGCCTCCCCAGCAGTCAAAAAGCACCAAAGTCACAGAGCCCTCAGTTAGACCTGAGTCCCAGAAGGAGACTGGGGAGTAGCCCGAGACAAAGGGAAGAAGGAGACTGGGGAGCAGCCTGAGACAAACGGAATGCCAATGTCACACTGGGGTGCTCGGGGCTGCAGATTGCCAGCTTTCATGTTACTTGCCAAAGACCCATCTTAGCATCTTGCATCTTCTTGCGTTCCTTTTCCTAGAGGAGACCCTAAGTGGCTGGAGGTGAGAGCTCAAGGGGCTGAAGGTGTCCAAGGGGAAGAACCACAGCTCTCCTGCTGTGCTGAGCCAGGGTGGTGGTTCAGCGGGACAGAGGCAGCCAGACCTGGAAGCCAGTAGTGGGGCTCCCGCTCCAGCTGGCCACCTGTGCAGGGGCCCAGCTGCCTGTGGGGACGTCACTGGCCAGCTGAGGCCTTTGTGAGGGTGTGGAGCTTGAGTTGGTAAGGATGGCTGAGCTGGTGTCCCTGTGGGCTCCCATGTGAGTCCAGGGCCCCCAAGGGTGCTCTTGTTGTCCCAAGAAACCTCACCCCTTCTCTCCTGGTTGCTTTTCCTTCCCCACCGCCCACTATAGGTTTTTCATCATCAAAGAGAGCTTTCTGCTTTACTACTCTGAGAGCGAAAAAAAGAGCTTTGAAACCAATAAATACTTCAATATACATCCTAAGGTGAGGCGGCCCCTCCCAGGGCCACAGCAGGGGAGGGCCCAGTGCGGGCATCAGAGCTTGCATCTTGTGAGGGGAGGGGACTGCGCTCTTGCTCTGGCCTAGCAGAGAGTCTGGAGAGCAAATCCTCTTGGGGCAAAAGACCCCCTGCCCCTGTCCTGGGCTGGACCCTCACTCTCCTGTGCCCCAGACCCTGCCCCAACCCTTCCTCTTCTCTCTGAACATCAGTTCTGGCCTCTGTCCCATGGCCCCAGGGTCTAGCTTCCATCCTGGGGCACTTGGCAGGAACTGGCTTTGTCCAGGGGCCCCCAGAACCCCTGAGTGACCCCAGTTGGGTGGGGTGGGGGCTGCCTGTTCTGGTTCTTCCTCAGGGCGTCATCCCTCTGGGGGGCTGCCTGGTGGAGCCCAAGGAAGAGCCTAGCATGCCCTATGCCATGAAGATCTCCCACCAGGACTTCCATGTGAGTAAAGCTCTTCCCTCAGCCTGGGCTCCGCAGGAGCAGACCAGCCTCTCAGGCCTCTTCAGGACACACATCCCATGTCCTGGCCTGGGAGAGGGGCATCAGCACCCAGGGATGTGGGGTGGGTGACAGGGCAGAGCTGGGCCTCCATCACCCTCAGCGTGGCTGCCTCTCAGGCATGCGCATGGCTCCTCTTCCTGGCAGGGGAACATCTTGCTTGCTGCTGAGTCGGAGTTTGAGCAGACCCAGTGGCTGGAGATGCTGCAGGAGTCTGGGAAGGTGTAAGTGCTCACAGCCAGGAGGGCAGCCTGCAGATCCAGGATGGGGTGGGCGGGGCTGCCCCTGAACTCCCTGCCTCTCTGCTGGGATCCTGGTGGGCACAGGGCCAGGGCTGTGGGAGATGGCTAGGGTAGGGGAGAGCAGACAGGCCAGGTTTTAGAGCATCTGTGAGGGGTCCCCTGAGTGAGCTTGAAAAGTGTCTAGGTCACAGGTGGCAGGTGTGGGTACCATTTGTCTCCAACTCTTGGGAGTTGTATTTGATGCCTCCTGACACCCATCTCACCTCCCCAGGCCCATAATTAATTCTAGCAAGGACTAGAGCTAGTGCTTTGTAAATTAGGGTCAAGATCACAGAAATCTCCTGCCAACCCAGTCCATTTTTATGTAAACCACTGTCCTGACACCTGCCTAGTCAGGCTAGGTCATGCTTTTAGTTCCAAAAACACCGACCGTGTGCTCTGTGGCAGGCCTTGCACTGGGTAGCGGACATTCAGTAATGTAAAAAAGCCACCCAGGAAGCAATCTCCTCCCTGCTCTAAAAGTGCTGTTGGCCCAGCCCCCAGTGGCCCACTTTGCAGCCTGGGCCAGCCTCCAGCTACTGTAACTGATCCGTGCTGGTGACATGCCCAGAGCCATGGGTGCCAGAGTGAATGCAAGTTGAGATTCTGGAGGAGAAAGGGTGGGCGAGTACAAAACGTATGCCTTCTCTTTCCCCTCTACCCTTCTGTTTTAATGATTTTCTGTTTCTTCCTCTTCTCTCCTCTGTCCCATCTGCCCTCCCTCCCCAGGACCTGGAAGAATGCCCAGCTGGGAGAAGCCATGATCAAAAGCCTGGAGGCCCAGGGGCTGCAGTTGGCTAAGGAAAAGCAGGAGTATTTAGGTTGGCTGGAGGGGTGGTTCCCTAATGGTAGCAGCACTTGGGGACCAGGGGCTATAGCCAGGGGCTTGGTAAAGGATGCAGCAGGGATGAGGGTCTCTCAGGTGGGGCTATGAGGGAACAGAGACCAGTTTGGCACCTGGAGGGCTTCCTGGTACACTACGCATCCTTTTGGCCAACATGACTGAAGGCAGGAGCGTCTGATGGTTAAGAGCCTGGGCTCTGGATCCAGCTTCATCATTTGTCACCCATCTCAGCTGTGTATATCTTTAGGCAGCTCAGCCTCTCTAAGCCTCAATTTCCTCATCCTTAAAATCGAGTTAAAAATAGTCTCTAGCTTTTAGAGGATTGGGTTAAATGAGACAATGTCTGTAAGTGCTTGAGCCAGACATGCAGTAAGGGCTCCATAAGTGGAGTTGATGTTGTTATCCTATCCTGGGTCCCCAGGGTCTGGCTTGTCCCCAGTACCCTTGCCCCAGGCCATTTTAAACCTTGCCACAGCATTCCAGACCTTGTGCCCCTGACAGGTTGGTAAACATGCACTGTTTGGGAGAGAAGATGAGACTGAGGGTTTGCCTTCAGCCTGGGACCCTCTCCCCTCTGCCTGCTTAGACACTTGGGGCCCCAGCACTTGCTCCCCTATGCCTGCTTCAGAACTTCCTAGGTTCTGCCCTCCTTACTAGCCAGACATTAGTGCAGGTGGAAGGTGGGTGTGGGACTAGCCCAGGTGCAGCAGGCCTGGGGGATGCAGAGACTGCTTTGAACTTCCAAGGATGAGGCCCCTCATAACCCTAGGAAAAGAAAAAGCAGGATGATGATGGGGGAAGGAGGGTGGCAGCTTCCATCACCAGGAGCTGGCCCACCCTCTGGCTGGCAGGGCTGCAGGCCCCTTCCTTGGGAGATGCTGGGGGTGACAGCGACCACCTCAGGCACCAGCTCCCTCAGGACCTCAGAGCACTTTCCTGATTGTGTGTGCATGTGTGTGTGTGTGCTTGTTTTGGCAGACAAACTGATGGAAGAGACCGAAGAACTCTGCCTTCAGAGGGAGCAGAGAGAGGTAGGTGCACACCAAGGGGCTCTCAGCAGCCGTGGTGTAATGGCTCACGTTTCTAGCACTAGGGAATGATGCAGGGGAGCTGGGTGCACAGAGGACTTGCTAGAAGATCAGATGGGGCAGGGCGGGGAGGCCAAATGGGATCACAGTGCTTGCTTGGGACTTGCTGTAACTTGTTGGTAAGAAGTGTCTTTCTCCTTACCAACCCCTGGGAGTAAAGTGAAAAGGGTGGGTGATGACCTTCTAGAGAAAGAGCCATCCAAAGTGTCATCAGCTGCATCAGTTGGTAATGAGCTGCTTGTCAATGATGTTCACGGGAGCTATAATGCCCTCTGTTATCCATAGAGGGCTATCTGGCACCTGAGGGTGATTGGGCTTGATGATCTCAGAAGTTCCTTCATTCTCTGAATGTCAAAAGTCCACAGCAGGCTAAGCACTGGCTTGAGGCAGACTGGAGGGTAAAGGAGACTCTTGCCTTGTGTGAAGGAGGGGAGCCACCGAAGCCCTCTTCTTCATTTAGAATCTCAGTGCAGGCTGGGCGCAGTGGCTCACGCCTGTAATCCCAGCACTGTGGGAGGCCAAGGCGGGTGGATCACCTGAGGTCGGGAATTCAAGACCAGCCTGGCCAACATGGTGAAACCCCGTCTCTACTAAAAATACAAAAATAAGCCGGGCGTGGTAGCGGGCGCCTGTAGTCCCAGCTACTCGGGAGGCTGAGGCAGGAGAATGGCGTGAACCCGGGAGGCGGAGCTTGCAGTGAGCCGAGATCGCGCCACTGCACTCCAGCCTGGGCGACAGAGCGAGACTCCGTCTCAAAAAAAAAAAAAAAAAAAAAAAATAAGCCGGGCATGGAAGTGCGTGCTTATAGTCCCAGCTTTTCGGGCAGCTGAGGCAGGAGAATCGCTTGAACCCGGGAGGCCGAGGCTGCAGTGAGCTGAGATTGTGCCATTGCATTTCAGCCTGGGCGACAGAACGAGACTCCGTCTCAAAAAAAAAAAAAAAAAAAAAAAAAATCTCAGCGAAGCACTGGGCCTTGCCTGTTCTGAGGAGTCATTACCACATATTAAGGGCAGGGGGCGGTAGTGGGTAGTACCGTGGATTCTGGAGCCAGGCTGCCTGTATTTGTATTTGACCTTCAATACTTCTAGCTTTGTGACCTCAGGCAAGTTATTTAACTTCTCCAAATCTTCTTATCTGAAAAATGCAGATGATAATAGAATCCATCTTAGGGATGTTGTGATGATTTAGTGAGATGTTCCATATAAAGTGTTTGGCACATAGTACATGCTTAACGAATATCTGTGTTTGTTAGCATTATGATCGTATTATTAATATAGGCCCATGCTGCAAGTGAACTGTCTGAGGCCTGAAGCAGCAGAGTGGCTTGACCAGAGCAGCCTGCAGAGGGAGGGCCTTATTTAGTTCACTTTTCTTTGCCTAGTCACTTGTCCTTGTCCTCTCCCAGGCAAGTCACAGGGCAGGGGCTATCAGCCTTGGCTCAGAACCTCTAACTTGACTCTTAGGAAGTCCTCAGTTTTCCCACCCACCCCTCCCTGGGCTCTGAAACAGGCCATATCATCAAAAAGCATCATGTCCCCTTTGCACCCCAAATATTCCCAGGGCCTGGCACAGCTCCTGGCCCAAGACGAGTTCTTGGTAAATGTTTGTGGAATGAATTAGTAAATGAATGGGATTGATTTTTCACAACTTTACATCTTAATTTTAATCCAACAGGACAATCCACCCTCATTTTTCTTCTTCTAAAATTGTATTGGTTATTCTTGCTCATTTTATCCTTCCAGCTGGACTTCAGAATCATTTCATTGATTAAAGAGAAAATAAAAAAAGAATGGGGATTTGTATTTGGATGGCATGGATTTGAGGACTGGCATTATAATGGCAATGAGTCTTCTTCCATCACCAGAGTTGGTCCTCTGTGTCTCCAGGCTCTCCTCTAGGTCCTGTGTTAGGGTTTTGGCATTTTCTGCACACAATTCTATACATTTCAAGCAAGGCTTCTGTATTGTCAGCAAATTAAAAACAGGTGCCCAGGGATGGGATGGAGTGGCAGACACAGCCACTGGCAGGGAGAGAGACAGACTTATCCATCAGAGAGGCTAAATCTGGGGCAGCAGTTGGCTGGAGGAAAATTTAGACACTCTATCTAGGTCTTTAGCCAGGAAATTAGGACAGCGGAGACCCACTGCACACAGGCCTCCCTTAATGCCACAGCACAGGGAAGGAGGGAGGCCTGTCAGCTGTGAACTCCCTGGCTTTCTGGTATAAAATGTGAATGAGACTCAGGCCCAGCTGGTACCCACCATGAAGGCTGTTCTGGGCATGGAGAGAACTGTGCCTCAGTTCTCATTTTTTGTCAGCTGCATGCTCTAGATCTGGAATAGAGCTCAGGTTCTAGTCTTTGCCACTGAGTCATTCAGTCAAAGTTTCTTCTTCCTTAACTTTCTCATGCATAGGATGGGTCTGCCTGTCTCCTGCACTTTTCCCATCTGCACTCAGGTCAGAGATTGTCTGGGTGTGCCTTGAGCCGCTGAGGCAATTGATGTAATGGCCTAGTGATAAGATGAAGGTTCTTCTGCTGATTGCTGTGGTCTCTTTGAGACAACATGGCCTAAAGAAAGACTGAAGATATGGAACCAGGAGACCTGGATTGGAGTCTTAACTCTATCACTGACTGTGTGATGTTGGGCATGTCAGTTACCCTCTCTGAGCTTCAATTTCCCCCCATCTGGGATGTCTGATTAGAGTTATGCTGGCTGCTGCGTACTTCTAGGGTTGCTGCGAGGCCCAATGAAGTAGAACGCGGGGAAGGGATTTGTGAACTGGAAAGGCCCTTGTGCACTGTGTGATGTACAGTCCTGACATCCTCCATGCAGCAGAAAAGTCCTGGGACTCTGGAGGAATGAGCAGAGCGTGCAGGGGGAACCCTCCTGACTCATCTTCCCAGAGCCGGAAGTCCATGCCCTTCCCTGGGTTCCTGGTCTTTGGCTCCCTCTGGCCTTATCCCTCTCACCCCTGGAGGAGGGCAGCCTGCCTACCTTTCCCCTTCTGACTGAGTTGTGAGAGCTCAGCCATGCACATGAGCAGGTGCAGGAGAAAAATCAGAAATGCCCAGGGTAGGGCAGGGTTTCTGGCAAGGTTCTTGCCACCTGGAGTGCTCACAGTCAGAGTACAGACTCTTTGAGTTGGAAAAAATGTGCCACTACAACTGAAGCTCTTTGTCAACCTTTTTGGTGGACATTGTTCCTGGTTCTGTGACGAATGACTCACTACCTCCAGAGGTGTCCTTTGCATGATTTCTCAGTTATTTGAAAGCTCTTCCTTTCATTGAGCTGAAGTGTGCCTTCTAGTGACTTTTTCTCACCTTTATACTCCTGCAACTTAAGTCAGACCCAAGATTCAGCAGAACACACGATATAGTAGAGAAAGGTTTGAATTGTGGCAGGGCTTAGCAGACAACTCAGTCTATAATGGGGCTGCTACAAACACTCAAGCCATGCTGGGCTTCAGGAACAGCAAGTTCTGGCTGCTCCAGGTTTATAAGTGGTAACTTCCACTCTTATCAGCATTCTCAGGCTACACTTGGACACTGGCTTCCTTTAAGAAACATACAGGTGAAGTGAAAAGTGGAAAAGAAATGAGAAAGGAAGTGAGAATTTCTCTTTCCTTAATAAACTTTATTTTTTGGAGCAGTTTAGATTCACAGCAAAACTACGCAGCAAATACAGAGATTTTCCACATAACACTTGTTCCCCACAGGGTTCCCCACTGTCAATATCCAGCACCACAGTGATACATTTGTTACAATCAATGAGTCAACATTGACACACTGTCACCCAAAGTTCATAGCATACATTAGGGTTCACTCTTGGTGTTGTACATCCTCTGGATTTTGGCAAACGTATAACAATATGTATCTACCACTGTAGTATCATACACAATAGTTTCACTGCCCTAAAAATGCTCATTTCACTGTCCTAAAAATCCTGGCAACTGCTTTTTTTTTTTTTTTTTTTTTTTTTTTTAAAGACGGAATCTTGCCCTGTTGCCCATGCTGGAGTGCAGTGGCGCGATCTCGGCTCACTGCAACCTCTGCCTCCTGGGTTCAAGGGATTCTCCTGCCTCTGCCTCCTGAGTAGCTGGGAATACAGGCGCGTGCCACCATTTTTGTATTTTTAGAAGAGACGGGGCTTCACCGTGTTAGCCAGGATGGCCTCGAACTCCTGACCTCATGATCCCCCCTCCTCGGCCTCCCAAAGTGCTGGGATTACAGGCATGAGCCACCGTGCCCAGCCACTGCTGATCTTTTTACTGTATCCATAGTTTTGCCTTTTCCAGAATGTCATGTAGCTGGAGTCATATGGTATGTAGCTTTTTTAGATTGGCTTCTTTCACTTAGTAATGTGCATTCAGGTTTCCTCCGTGTCTTTTTGTGGCTTGATAGCTCATTTCTTTTCAGTGCTGAATGATATTACCTTATCCGCATGTCCTACAGTTTGTTTATCCCTCTCCCTACTTAAGGACATCTTGGTTGCCTCCAAGTTTTGACAATTATGAATAAAATTGCTATAAACATCCATGTGCAGGTTTTTGTGTGGACATACATTTTCAGTTTATTTGGAAAAGTAATAAGGAGTATGATTGTTGGATTGCATGGTGAAAATATGTTCAGTTTTGTAAGAAGTTGCCAAACTGTCTTCCAAAGTAGCTGTACCATTTTGTATTTGCAGTAGCAATGAATGAGAGTTCCTGTTGCTCCACATCCTTGCCAGCATTTGGTGTTGTCAGGGATTTGAATTTTGGCTATTTTATTTTTTATTTCAATTTTTAGTTTTTGAGACAGAGTCTTGCTCTGTTGCCCAGACTGGAGTGCAGTGGAGTGTGGCTCACTGCAGCCTTGAATTCCTGGGTTTAAGAGATCCTCTCACCTCAGCCTCCTGAGTAGCTGGGACTATAGGTGCACTCCAGCACACTTGGCTAATTTTTTTAAATTATTTTTATAGAGATGGGGTCTCCTTATGTTGAACTCCTGAGATCAAGTGATCTCCCCTCTTGGCCTCCTAAAGTGCTGGGATTACAGGCATAGCCACTGTATCTGGCTGATTTTGGCCACTTTCATGAGTTTAGCGGTAGCTCGTTGTTATTTTAATTTGCAATTACCTAATCATATATGATGTTGGACATCCTTTTATATGCTTATATGCCATCTTAAAATTTTTATTTATTTTTTTAGGCCGGGCGTGGTGGCTCACGCCTGTAATCCTAGAACTTTGGGAAGCTGAGGCAGGCGGATCATGAGATGAGGAGTTCGAGACCAGCCTGGCCAACATGGTGAAATGCTGTCTCTACTAAAATACAAAAATTAGCCGGGGGTGGTGATGTGTGCCTATAATCCCAGCTACTTGGGAGGCTGAGGCAGGAGAATTGCTTGAACCCAGGAGGCAGAGGTTACAGTGAGCCGAGATTGTGCCACAGCACTACAGCCTGGGTGACAGAGCAAGACTCCATCTCAAAAAAAAAAAACAAAAACAAAAAAACTATTTTTGAGTCAGGGTCCCACACTGTCATCCAGGCTGAGTGCAGTGGCGTGATCACGGTTAACTGTAGCCTCCCAGGCTAAAGTGATCCACCTGCCTCAGCCTCCCAAGTAGCTGGGACTACAGGCATGCACCACCATGCACGGCTAATTTTTTATTTTTTGTTGTTGCCTGCCACAATCCCTGGTGGACTGAACAAATGGGGGCAAACATGGGACTAAAAGACAAGAGACGAAAGAGTATATTTGGAAGAAGGGGTCTGGGGCACCTCACGGACAAGTGCCCTGAGCTTTACACAGCCCTCCATATTTATTAGGCAAAAGAGATAGTGAGAAAGTGGGGGTGATTATCGGGTAATTGTCAGTTGACTGTTTGATTCACAGCAAGCTTGTGAGACTGCATTCTTTGAACAATAGGCACTAGATTCTCAACAGGTAACTTCAAGGAGCCCAGCGCCAGGGAGTGATGGCCCTCAGTAAGCCTTTTGGTGGCAGGTGTGTAAGTTTGCTCACATTCTACATTCATGATAAACAGTTTGCTGTTTGATCATATAGCCGCCAGTAGAATGCTGAGTTGGTCACAATCCCTTTGGCCTTTTCGGCTCCCAACATTTTATGGAGATGGGGTCTTGCTCTGTTGCCCAGGCTGGTCTTGCATTCCTGAACACAAGTGATCCTCCCACTTTGGCCTCCCAAAATCCTGGGATTACAGATGTGAGCCACTGTGCCTGGCCTGCCATCTTTATATCTTCTTTGCTAAGATGTCTGGGTCTTTTGCCCATTTTTTTATTGTTGAGCTTCATGAGTTCTTTGTATATTTTGCATAACAGTCCTTTATTAGATGTGTCTGGGAATGTTTTCTCCTAGTTTGTGACTTGTTTTCTTATTCTCTTGATGTCATTCACAGGGAATAAAATTTTAATTTTAATGAAATCCATCTTATCAATTACTTCCTTCAAAGATCATGCCTTTTGTGTTATGTCTTAAAAAGTCAGTACTGTAGATTTTCATCACCTTGATAAAAATCTTTTTGTAGACATCACCTAGGTTGTCTCCTATGTTATCTTCTAGGAGTTGTATACTTTTGTGTTTTGCATTTAGCTCTATGATCCATTGTGATTTATTTTTTGTGAAAAGTGTTTAAGGTCTGTGTAGAGTCTTTTTTTTTTCTTTTGCATGTGGCTGTCCAGTTGTTCAAGTACCATATGTTGAAAAGACTATCTTAGGCCACGCACGGTGGCTCATGCCTGTAATCCCAGCACTTTGGGAGGTCGAGGCGGGTGGATCACCTGAGGTCAGGAGTTCGAAACCAGCCTAGCCAACATGGTGAAACCCTGCCTCTACTAAAAATACAAAAATTAGCCAGGCGTGGTGGCGGGCGCCTGTAATCCCAGCTACTCAGGAGACTGAGGCAGGAGAATCACTTGAACCCAGGAGGCAGAGGTTGCTGTGAGCCAAGATCACACCACTGCACCCCAGCCTGGGTTACAGAGTGAGACTCCATCTCAAAAAAAAAAAAGACTGGCTTTTCCAATACTATTGTACTGCCTTTGCTCCATTGTCAGAGTTGAATTGACTATATTTATGTTAGTATGTTTCCGAGCTCTCTATTCTGTTCTATTTATATATTTGTTTATTTTTTCATCAATACCACAATGTCTTGATTGCTGTAGCTTTATAGTAAGTCTTAAAGTTGGGTAGTCTCAGTCTTCCAATTTTCTCCTTCAATATTGAGTTGGCTATTATGGGTGTTTTGCCTCTCCATGTAAACTTTAGAATCAATTTGTCAGTTTCCACAAAACAACATGCTGGGATTTTAATTGAGATTGTATTGAATCTATAGATCAAGTTGGGAAATGATATCTTGCAAATATTGAATCATCCTATTTATGAACATGGACTATCCCTTCATTTTAGTTCTTTGATATCTTTTATTACATTCTGTAGTTTTCTACATATAGATTTTGTACATTATTTTTAGATTTATACCTAAGTATTTCATTTTGGAGGGTGCTAATGTCAATGGTAATGTGTTGTTACATTTCAAATTTCCACTGCACTCCAGCTGGGTGACAGAGCAAGACCCTATCTTCAAAAGAAAAAAAAAATCTCAAATTCCACCTTTTTATTGCCAGTATATAGGAAAATAATTGACTTTGTACATTAATCTTGTATCCTACAATCTTGCTACAATTGCTTATTAATTCCAGGAATTTTTTTGGTCAATTCTTCCAGATTTTCTATATAGACAATCATGTCATCTGTGAACAGAGACAGTATTATTTCTTTCTTTGTAATCTGTATACCTTCTATTTCCTTTTCTTGTCTGATTGTGTTAGTTAGGAATTCCAGTACAATGTTGAGAAGCACTGGTGAGAAGGGACATCCTCATCTTCTTCCTTTCTGATCTTATCAGGCAAGCTTCTAGTTTCTCACCATTTAGTATGATGTTAGCTGTAGGTGTTTGTAGATGTTCTCTATCACATTGAGGAAGTTCCTCTCTATTACTAGTTTGTTGAGAGTTTTCATCATCAATTGGTGTTGGATTTTGTCAAATGCTTTTTCCATGTGATTCTTTTTCTCTTCTTTAGCCTGTTGATGTGATGGATTATATTAATTGATTTTCAAATATTGAACCAGCCTTGTATACTTGGGAATAAATTCCACTTAGTTGTGATGTATTATTCGTTTGGATTTGGTTTTCTTTGTTTTGTTTGTTTGTTTGTTTGTTGTTTGTTTGTTTTGAAACAGAGTTTCAGTCTTGTTGTCCAGGCTAGAGTTGCAGTAGTGTGATCTTGGCTAACTGTTACCTCTGCCTCCTGGGTTCAAGCGATCCTCCTGCCTCAGCCTCCCAAGTAGCTGGGATTAAAGGTATGTGCCACCATGCCCTGCTAATTTTGTATTTTTAGTAGAGATGGAGTTTCATCACGTTGGTCAGGCTGGTTTCAACCTCCTGACCTCAGATAATCCACCTGCCTCCGCCTCCCAAAGTGCTGGGTTTACAGGCATGAGCCACCTCACACAGACCATTGTTGGATTTGATTTGTTAATATTTTGTTGAAAATTTTTGCATCTGTGTTCATGAAAGATACTGGTCTGTAGTTTTCTTTTTCTCCTTTTCTTTTTTTTCTTTTTTTGAGACAGAGTCTTGCTCTGTCACCCAGGCTGGAGTGCAGTGGCACCATCTCAGCTCACTGCAACCTCCTCCTGCCAGGTTCAAGGGATCCTCGTGCCTTAGTCTCCCAAGTAGCTGGGATTACAGGTGTGCGCCACCATACCTGGCTAAGTTTTGTATTTTTTATTAGAGACATGGTTTCACCATGTTGGTCAGGCTGGTCTCAAACTCCTGGCCTCAAGTGATCTGCCTGCCTCGGCCTCCCAAAGTGCTAGGATTATAGGTATGATCCACTGTGACTGGCCAGTCTGTAGTTTTCTTATAATGTCTCTATTAGGTTTTGGTAAGGTAATTCTAGCCTCATTGAATGGATTAGGAAATATTCCCTTGGCTTCTATCTTGAGAAAAAAAGATTGTAGATAATTGGTATAGTTTCTTAAATGTTTGATATAATTTATCACTGAGCCCCTCTGGGCCTGGTGCTTTCTGTTTTGGAAGGGCATTAATTATTGATTCAATTTATTTAATAGATATAGGCCTATTCAAATTGTCTGTTTCTTCTTGTGTAAGTTTTGACAGATTGTATCTTTCAAGGAGTTGGTCCATTTCATCTGAGTTATCAAATTTATTGGCATAGAGTTATTCATCATAGTTCTTTATTATCCTTTTAATGTCAGTGGTGTCTGTAGTTATGTTCCCTCTTTCATTTCTGATATTAATAATTTGTGTCTTCTTTCTTTTTATTTAGCCTAGTTAGAGTCTTATGAATTTTATTTATCTTTTCAAAGAACTGGCTTTTGATTTTGTTGATTTTCTGTGTTGATTTCCTGTTTTCAATTTCATTGATTTCTGCTCTGTTTTATTTCTTTTTTTCTGCTTACCTTTGATTTAATTTTCTCTTTTTTTTTCTAGTTTCCTAATGTGGAAGCTTAGATTATTGATTTTAGATATTTCTTCTTTTCTAATATATTAATTTGATGCTATGCATTTCTCTCAAAGCACTGCTTTTGTTACATTCCACAAATTTTGATGAGTTGTATTTTCATTTAGTTCAAAGTATCTTTAGATTTCTCTTGATATTTCTTCTTTGACACATGTGTTATTTAGAAATGTGTTCTTTAATCTTCAAGTATTTTGTGGATTTTCCAGTTAACTTTCTTTTGTTGATTTCTAGCACAATTCCACTTTGGTTTAGGAGCAGACATTACATGATTTCTATTATTTTATATTTGTGGTCTGGGCACAGTGATGCATGCCTGTAATCCCAGCACTTTGGGAAGCCAAGGCAGGAGGATTGCTTGAGGCCAGGAGTTTGTGGCAAGCCTGGGCAACACAGCAAGGCCCAGTCTCTAAGAAAAAAAAAAAAGAGAGAGAGAGAAAGAAAAAAGAAAAAAATTCACCAGGGATAGTGGCATATGCCTGTAGTCCTCGCCACTCAGGAGGCTGAGGCAGGAGGATTACTTGAACCCAGGAGTTACAATGAGCTATGATTGTACCACTGCACTTCAGCCTGGATGACAGCAAGACCCTGGGCATGGTGGTGCATGCCTGTAATCCTAGCTACTCAGGAGGCTGAGGCGGGAGAACCACTTGAACCCAGGAGGCGGAAGTTGCAGTGAGACAAGATGGCACCACTGTACTCCAGCCTGGGTGGCAGAGGAAGACTCCATCTCAAAAATAAAATAAAATAAAATAAAATAATAAAATAAAATAAAATAAAATAAAATAAAAAAGAGTTTAATGGAGTAAATGAAAGATTCGCGAATCAGGCAGCCCTCAGAATCACAGCAGATTGACAGAGACTCCAGGGGTGCCTGTGATCAGAACAAATTTATAGACAAAAAAGGTAAAGTGACATATAGGAATCGGAAGTGAGGTACAGAAGCAGCAAGATTGGTTACAGCTTGGTGTTTGCCTTATTTGAACGCAGTTTGGACATTCAGCAGTCTATGAGTGGCTGAAGTGTGGCCGCTGGGATTGGCTAACACTCAGCTATTGTTACAGGTGCATACTATTAAATTAGGTTTTCAATTTTGTCTGTTAAGCTAAGTTACAGTTCATCCATAAGGACTCAAATATAAAAGTATGGAGTCCTTCTCAGGCCATATTTATTTTGCTTTAACACACTTATTCACTCTCCAATGCTCTTCCTTTCCTTATGTAGATATGAGTTTCTGACCTATATCATTTTCCTTCTCCCTGAGGACTTCTTTTAACATTTCTTGCAAGACAGGTCTACTGGCAACAAATTCCCTCTATTTTTGTTTGTCTGAGAAAGTATTCCTCCTTCACTTTTGAAGGATGATTTTATAGGGTACAGAATTCTAAGCTGGTGTTTTATTCTCTCAATACTTTAAATATTTCACTCCATTCTTTTCTTGCTTTCATGGTTTCTGAGAAGCCAGATGTAATTCTTATCTTCTTTCTTCAATAGGTAATTTTTTCTTCTTCTGGCTTCTTAAGATATTTTTCCTCATCTTTGATTTTTTGAAGTTTAAATATGAAATTTCTAGATATGGTTTGTTTAGGGCATTTATTCATTTGGTGTTCTCTTAGCTTCCTAGATCTGTGGTTTGATGTCTGACATTAATATGGGAAAACTCTCAGTCATTGCTTCAAATATTGCTTCTAGTCCTTCTGATTATTCTCATTATACATTTTGCACCTTTTGCAGTTGTCGCACAGTTCTTCGATATTCTGCTCTGGGTTTTTTTTTTTTCAGCCTTTTTTCTCTTTGCTTTTCAGTTTTGGAAATTTCTATTGTCATAGCCTCAAGCTGAGAGATTTTTTTTCCTCGGCCATGTCCAGTCTCGCAATGATCCCATCATAAGCATTCTTCACTCTTACAGTGTTTGTGATCTCTTGCAATTTCTTTTTTATTCTTAGAATTTTCATCTCTCTACTTATATTATCCATCTGTTCTTGCATGTTGTCTACTTTTGCCATTAAAGCTCTTAATACATTAATCTTAGTTTGCGTTTAAATTCCTGGTCTGATAATTCCAGCATTCCTGCCATATCTAATCTGGTTCTGATGCTTGCTCTATCTCTTCAAATTGTGTTTTTTACCTTCTAGTATGCCTTGTGATTTTTTGTTGAATGCCCTTTATTTTTTCCCTGGCCACGATGTATTGGGTAAAAGGAGTTGTGGTGAATAGGCCTTTAGTGATGTGGTGGTCTTAGCCTTTTGGTGAGTTGCGCCCCTGGACTGTGAACTTCATAAATGCTTCTCAGGGCTTTCCCCCACCTTAGGTAGAATAGCATGGGTACAGTGGGCTGGAATTTGGTATTTCCCTTCCCCCAAGTAGGTTACACTCTGATAAAACAGGTTAGGCTCTGGTATAATCGTTTATGGCAGGCTTTGTAAAGAAGAACAGAATGGCCTCAGGCACAGTGTAATCCCAGCACTTTGAAAGGCCAAGGCAGTTGGATCACCTGAGGTCAGGAGTTCAAGACCAGCCTGTGTGACATGGCGAAATCCCGTCTCTACTAAAAATACAAAAATTAGCTTGGTGTGGTGGTGCATGCCTGTAGTCCCAGCTACATGGAAGGCTGAGGCAGGAGAATCACTTGAACCCGGGAGGCAGAGGTTGCAGTGAGCCAAGATCACGCCACTGCACTCCAGCCTGGGTGACAGAGCGAGACTCTGTCTCAACAAACCAACCAACCAACAAACAAAAAAACAGAATGCTGTGTTGCATTTCCAAATGGCTGCTTTCCCCTTATATTCACTGAGAACCTGGTAGAGCTCCTGGAGTTATAACTCACAGAAGTGAGGAGGCCTCCCTAAGATTGGCCCCCCCTGGAGTTTTAACTCTTCAAACTGAACCTCCAGCAATTTGTCAATTGCAGTTCAGGTTTTCCTACCCCAGTACTGGTTCCCATGGAGGTTTCTGCTGGTAGTTTCTGCCTCATTAATGTGACTCTCTGTATCTGTGTCTTAGGCCATTCTTGCATTGCTATAAAGAAATACCTGAGACTAAGTAATTTATAAAGAAAGGTTTGATTGGCTCATGGTTCTGCAGGCTTTACAGGAAGCATGGTGCTGGCATCTGCACAGCTTCTAGGGAGGCCTCAGGAAGCTTACAATCATGGCAGATGGTGAAGGTGGAGCAGACATGTCACATGACCAGAGCAGGAGCAAGAGAGAGAGCATGGGCGCGGGGAAGTGCCACACACTTTAAACAACCAGATCTCATGTGTACTCAGAGGGAGAGCTCACTTATCACCAAGGGGATGACCCAAGCTATTTATGAAGGATCTGCCCCCGTAATCTAACTACCTTCCACCAAGCCCCACCTCCAAGATTAGGGATTACATTTCAACATGAGATTCGGGCAGGAACAAATATCCAAGCTATATTAATCTGCCTGTCTTTTCAATTTTGGGAATAGAACTTTGCTTTATGACCTCACTTCTCTGATGATGTAAGAAGACTTGCTGATTTTTCAGTTTGTTTGGTTTTTAAATTTATTTTATTTAGAGACAGGGTCTCACTATGTTGCCCAGGATGGTCTCAAACTCCTGGGCTCAAGTGATCCACTTTGTGGATTACAGGAGTGAGCCACTGTGTCCTGCCTTGTTCAGCTTTTTACTTATTAGAATAAAGTGACAACTTCTAAATTCCTTACATGCTGAACTGGAAACTGAAGTTCTTCCGTTCTCTTTCTTTTTCCTCCTTAATATGTAACTTTTCCCCTATTTGTAGAAATCATGCTCTTTGTAGAAAACTTGTAAAACATGAATAAGAAAATAAAATTTATCCATAATCCCATAATTGACAGACAACTGTCACCAAACTTTTTGGTGCTTTTCATTTTAGCCTTTTTTTCTCTATATACTATTCTTATATATGGTATATTTTAAATATAATTATCAGCATATTGGATATTCAGTTTTATGGACTGCCTTTTCATTATACTTTTCATCATACCTTCATTAACATTATACATTTTTCATGTCCTTTAACATTCTTTGAAAACATCAATTTTAATGGCAATGTACTGATTCATTGTATGTGATGTTTTATTTAAATAATCTTCTATTTTTGATCCTTCTTCCTGACCAAGAAGAAGCAATGAAGGTTTTGAGCAGGGAGTAAGGAAAAAGGGTGGGTATCATGTTTTGATTTCCATTTTTGCGGGGGAGGGTGTCTCCCTCTATCACCCAGGCTGGAGTGCAATGACACGATCTCAGCTCACTGCAGCCTCGACCTCCTGGGCTCAAGTGATCCTCTCACCTCAGCCTTCCAAGTAGCTGAGACCACAGGTGCACACTACCATGTCCAGCTATTTTTTTGTATTTTTTGTAGAGATGGGGTTTCACCATATTACCCAGGCTGGCCTCGAACTCCTGAGCTCAGGCGATCCGCCTGTCTTGGCCTCCCAAAGGGCTGGGATTACAGTGATTTCTATTTTAAATAGTGAAGTTGGCTGCAATATGGAGAAAAGGATGAAGGCGGGCCAGAAAGAGTGCAAAGAGCCCAGGTGGGAGGCCACTGCATTAGTCCAGGCAAGACCTAATAGCAGTGTGAACCAGAGCAGGGCAGTGAGATGAAGAGAAGTTGCCTGGCAGGTTCTAGAGTGGGGGCTGGGGGTGGGGGGCAATACGAACTGGACTTGAGGGTGGAGTGGGAAAGAGTAGAGTGGGGAAGGATGAGGTGAAGCATGAATCCCAAGTTTCTCACCTGCATAAGCAGTGGATGGTGGTGCATTCCCTGAGACAGGGTGCACTGGAAGATCACAAGCTCTGGTGGGGAAGATCATGAATTTGTTCTTGGACATGTGTTTATGATATCTTTGGATATCTGGCTGGAGATGTGAAGCCAACAGTTGGATATAAGAGGATGGAGCTCAACCAAGAGTAGGGACGACAGGTATCAACATAGGAGTCATTTGCACATAAATGGCAAATGAAGCAGGGAGGGGTGGGGGAGTAGGAGTGGTCTAGATTGCCTTGGATCTAGCGCAGACAGAGAGAGGGCAGGCGCAGCACTCTCTGAACTGAGGCAGTACTCCATGGTAGGGCTGTTGGGAGGATTGCATACAAACTGCTTGCAACATAGGAAGTGCTTAATAAACGATAGCCACTGTCAGCCTGTCCAGCTTCCCAGAGTCATGTTCACTGTCACTCTGGGCCCAACCATGTGGGCCAATCTCGGTTCTTTCAGGGCAGCAGGTTTCCACAGGGCCTTTGTACCTACCTTTCCTTCTGCCTGGAATGCTCCTTCTTTTTCCTTCTATTGATTCATCTTCATCTGTCACCTAAAGAATCACCTGATCTCCCCTAACCTCACACCGCATACCTGCCTCACTCCCATCAGGGTAGCTCTACATAGAACCATGTCCCTGTCCTGCATATCATGTATCTTGGTTTGTAATGCTACTCTAATGTGTCTGATTATTTTGGTAATATTTGATGTTTGCATTTGATCTACAATCCTGATCTGATTTTATTTATTTATTTATTTATTTATTTATTTATTTATTTGTTTGTTTGTTTGTTTGAGACAGGGCATCACTTTGTCACCCAGGCTGGAGTGCAGTGGCATGATCTCGGCTCACTGCAACCTCTGTCCCCCAGACTCAAGGGATCCTCCTGCCTCAGCCCCTCAAGTAGCTGGAACTACTACAGGCTTGTACCACCATACCTGGCTAATTTTTTGTATTTTTATTTTTAGTAGAGATGGGGTTTGCCGTGTTGGCCAGGCTGCTCTTGAACTCCTGAGCTCAAGCAATCCTCCCACCTCGGCCTCCCATGGTGCTAGGATTACAGGCATGAGCCACCTCTCCCGGCCCTGATTTTATTAATAGTTGCACTGGACTGTGAGCTCCCTGAGAGCAAGGATACAGCTGTTTTTGCTTATCTTCATATCCTCAGTGCATAGCTTGGCAGATGCTTGAAACATATTAGACAATAAATATGTGTAGCATGAATGAATAGAATTATAAGAAAAAATCTCACTGAGGTTTTTACTGGAATTGCATTGAGCTCGTAAATTAATTTGAAAGAATCTTTACTGTATTAAGTCTTCCTAACCAGGAGTCTAGTCTAGAATTGCATTCTTTTCAAGAATACAATTAGTTTTACTGAGGATGAGAAATCATGCCCTGTGAAGTGTGGTGAACAGGAATTCTTTGGCTTGGAGGAGAGGAGACTTGAGGACAGAATTGCTCTTTTAAATACTTGAAGAGAAAAGAGGTTAGTGTTGTTTTATGGCCTCAAGGGGGATAAGCCGGACCCATTGAAGGATTATGAGGTAGGCAGCTTTTGGCTCAAGTGGAGCTGGTGGTGGAAATGGGGTGCCTCCTCCCCTAGGTGTGCTTGAGCAGCCCAGAGTGGCTGGGCTTTGGCTGCTGTCCTTGGCTTTGCCTGTGTTTTGTTTTGCTAAGAGCTGTTCCCTAGCTCTTATTTTGGTGACAGGGACATGCAGGCTTCCTAGCTGAGGAGAGGGGCTTCAGGAGAGAGTACAGCTGAGACAGAGAGAAAGGCCCAGGAAGCCAGGCAGCAGCTGAAGGGAGAAAAAATTTGGGCAAGAGACAGAGATGGTTTATGAGATTTTGGAGGGGAATTTTGCTCCATAAATGAAATAGAACGCTCTCATTGAAGCCCCACAAAACTTTCAACAAAAATCTTCATTATTCATAAATGCTTTTGTATTTATAGCTGTCAGGGAGTGGCAGGGCTGAGCATAGCAGAGGGTTGAGCCTGTAAGGAAAAGGCTTTTATCAGGGTTGTTCAGGGGTGAAATGGGCTGTCACGAGAGCCAGTCAAGCAAAGCTTGGACCATCTCTTGGCAGGAAAACCAAGCAGGAGACTGAAGCATCTGATGGAGACTTTAATTGCCTTTAAAGTTGCTTTGACCCTGGAGGGTTCTGACTCATGGGTGCCTGTTTCTCTGGCCCTTTCACAGAGCAATAAATGCTGTGCGGGCACATGTAGTACAGACTCAGGTAGAAAAGCACCTTATCACATATATAGGGGACTACTGGGGAAGGAAGGGAATTCCAGTCATTCCAAGCCAAATGATTGTCTTGCCGTATTATTTTCAGGTGGATCACATTCACTTTCTTCTTCTCAGAGGCATAGCTGGGATCTGCTGGCGTCACGAGGCACTTAAATGCCAGGGAGGGAAGGAATGGGTTTTAATCATTGACCCTCCCCCGTTTTCAACTACAAAAGGATATCCCAGCGTAATATCAAGTAACGGGAAATGTTTGTAAGTTGGAGTGTTAGAGAAAGGGACTTTCCAGGGATGGGGTGGAGCCTCCAGGTGGGTCCAGGGTGATCATTTGTGAAGCGGCAGAGGCCCCAGACCTGTAAAAGCTGGGCGCCTGGCCGCGCACGGTGGCTCACGCCTATAATCCCAGCACTTTGGGAGGCCAAGGTGGGTGGATCACCCGAGGTCAGGAGTTCGAGACCAGCCTAGCCAACATGGTAGAACCCCCGCTGAACTCTACTAAAAATGCAAAAATTAGCCAGGTGTGATGGTGCGCGCCCGTAATCCCAGCTACTCGGGAGACTGAGACAGGATAATTGCTTGAACCAGGGAGGCGGAGTTTGCAGTGAACTGAGATCGTGCCACTGCACTCCAGCCTGGGTGACAGAGCGAGACTCTGTCTCAAAAAAAAAAAAAAAAAAAAAAAAAAAAAAGAGCTGGGCACCTTTGTTATTTTCCAGTGTAAGCCCAGGGATGCTTACAGCTTGTAATTTCCCCAGGCCTCTAAACGGCTCTGCCCCAGGAGGCAGAGCCCACTGAGGAGAGGGAATATGTGAGGTTTGTCGAATCTGAGGCTATAAAGGGGTTTATCATCATAAGCAATATCCAATATCATGTGTTAGCTACTGAGAATGAATAATATAGGGAGTTTCAAACTTTTCTGAAGCTCCAAACTCTTATTTCATCAAAGAGGGATTGGGGTCTATAAGAAGAAAATTTTATTGGGAGGCCAAGGTGGGCAGATCACCTGAGGTCAGGAGTTCGAGACCAGCCTGGCCAACCTGGTGAAACCCCATCTCTACTAAAAATACAAAAATTAGCCGGGTGTGGTGGTGAGTGCCTGTAATCCCAGCTACTCGGGAGGCTGGAGCAGGAGAATTGATTGAATCTGGGAGGCAGAGGTTGCAGTGAGCCGAGATTGTGTTACTGCACTCCAGCCTGGGCAACAGTAAGACTCAGTCTCAAAAGAAAAAAAGAATACAATTTTAATTATATTTATATTATGTCTATATATGGTATCTTGTATATAGACACTGGTTGCCATGGCAGGGGGAAGGGAACGTAGCACATCATGCATTGCCTCTTAAAGGCAACTGCCTAGAAGTAACACACTTCTGCTCTCATTCCATTGGCTTTAGCTAGTCCCACGGACCCACTCACCTTTACCAGGTGCACTGTGGCCATGTGGTGTGCCCAGGAGGAGCATCAGAATGCCAGTGAGAGCTGGGCTTGGTGGCTTGAGCCTGTGGTCCCAGCTACTCAGGAGGCTGAGGCAGGAGGATGGCTTGAGCTTGGGAGTTCAAGGCGGCAATGAGCTATGATCGTGCCACTGCACGAGTGCCACTCTGCCTGAGTGACAGAGACTCCATCTATAAACATAATAATATTAATAATAATACCAGTGAGCAGTGAGCAGTCTTGGTGGTGACAACAATTGGCAAAAACTGAGGTCAGTTTGTAACCAGTGATCCATGCCCAAAGTGCCAGTAATGATTAGAAGGGAAAGATATAGCAACTCTTTGGGTAAGTAGTTTAGAAATGGAGGTCATAGGGTTTGAACGCAGGCTCCTTCCTCTGCCTCATGTTTTATTCCTTCTTTGCATCTCCTCAAAGCCCATGGCAACTTCTCCATATAGACAGCCTCCCTCCCCAGTGGGGTTTCCATTAAACTTGGGAACAAAGCCCCCAGGTGAAAATGAGAGTGGAATTTGGAGCTGGAAGATGAGAAAGGAAGTGAATGTGGAAATAATATCCTCCCACAGTGTAAAATGTGGAGGAACAAAGCAGTTGTCACAAAAATGTTTCAAGCCAAATTACGTGAAATGTGCCCCCCAATGCCACCTGCCACTGAACCCCAGGAAAAGAGGACTCCTGGAGGACACACAGTTGCTGGGAAAACACTTGGGCTTCCTGGGATTCCTGAAGGGGCAAGTCTGGTCCCCTGGGGCCTGTCCTGCACTTTCTAGTTCTCCTCCACTTTGGGGCCGGAGCAGAGGGAAGCTGAAGCCACCTGGAGTCATTGCTTCCCAGATACCTCAAGAAAAATAGAGTCCTTATTCTCTGACTTTTGGGTTGGGAATAGCTTTTCCTTGCCACTTCTAACAGACATCACTCCAGGGATCTCGAATGGAAATACACACTCACCACTCTTTCCTCCAGGTGTGAGGGACAGCCAACCCGCCTGATGGTGGCAGTGACTGGAGCTGCCCTGCAGAGTAGATATTTAGAATTATAGTTTCCTCCAGCCACAGGGAGTAATGTTGGGAGTGTTCCTAAACCCAGTCTTCAGCATGCAAAATGTGTTTTCAGTGGGCTCGATTCATCATAGATTTTGGGTTTGTCAGGACTACATATCAATGAGTGGGGCCAGCGGGCCTTAGAACTTAATTCCCGGTCTGGTGCAGCACATGACCCAGGCTGTGCTAAATCCCAGAGGGTCCCTTGGGATAGAGTGGGGGATCCTGATCTCAGGGTTCCTTTGCTGCCTGTGACTCTTCTCTTCCTCTCTGGTCTCTTCAGGAGCTTGAGCGCCTTAACCAGGTGCTGGAGGCCGAGAAGCAGCAGTTCGAGGAGGTGGTGCAGGAGCTGAGAATGGAGCAGGAGCAGATCAAGAGGTGGTGGTGGTGCCTGGGAATTGGGGGTGCCACTAAGTTAGGGCATGCAGAGCCCACCTTCCCCGTCAGATCTGAGGAGGCCTCCACCTCAGAGATGCTATCTTCCCAAGGCTCCAGGCTTGGGTCTATCCCAGTTTGAGTCTGTCCTCCAAGGCTCCAGGTTTGAGTGTTCCCAGAAGAATCTGTAGACTCCCCTGACCCAGATAAATGGGGTCATTTCTACCCACTAGAGCATAAGGCAATGGAGCATCCCTCCAAGCCACAAAGCCCCCTGCCTTCATGAAAGCCTCTCTCACCCAGGGCCAGACAGGACACGCTGGCCTAGAGGTGCTTGCTGTTGGCCAAGACCCTCAACATTTGCTGTCTTTCCTGCATAGTCCTTTTTGGGAATGTGTCATTTGAGAACTTTAGTACCATGTATTGTTTGTAAACCTAGTTGTACATTATAATCATCTACTGAATTATAATCTTTTAAAGGTAGAGCCTAGAAATCTCTCTCTATATATATACATGTATATATCTATATACATGTATATATGTATATATAAAAATGTTTGTTTGTTTGTTTGTTTTTGAGACAGAGTCTCACTCTGTCACCCAGGCTGGAGTGCAGTGGCACGATCTCGGCTCACTGCAGCCCCGCCTCCTGGGTTCAAGTGATTCTTGTGCCTCAGCCTCCTGAGGAGCTGGGATTACAGACATGTGCCACCATGCTTGGCTAATTTTTGTAATTTTAGCAGAGCCAGGGTTTTGCCATGTTGGCCAGACTGGTCGCCAACACCTGTCCTCAACGATCCTCCCACCTTGGCCTCCCAAAGTGTTGGGATTACAGGTGTGAGCCACCGCACCAGGGCTAGAAATCTATATATTTTTTAAAAACACCCCAGGTGATTCTGAGGCAGCCTCCAGGAATGTGGAGACTGCTGCTGTGGGTGGGGTAGTCATCATCGTCATCCTCATCCTCATCATTATCATCACCACACATGATCAGTGATAGCCCAGAAACTGTTTTCTTATAACAACCTTATCCAAGGGTGTCAATTAACTATGTATTTTGAGGAGGGAAAAACCCAGAGGATCTTACTAAGTAAATAGCCAAGCACCTACTCAGCTTCCAGAATGTTGCCAGGTATTAGAAGGAATAGAAGACAAGTCCACTCCCTTGAAGAGTGGACGTATGATCTGGTTGGGGAAACCAGACTCATACCCAGGAAACATTAGTGTAATAATATGTAATCAGGTGCTAGAAGGCATGGTGCAGATTTCCTGTGTTACGAGAATTGAGACACATGCATGATGCTTGTGGGCTTGAATACAGGGCTGAGTGAGATGGGCCTTGAAAGGTGAGTAGGATTTTGAAAATTGGGCAGGAGAAGGGAAAGACTTTCCAAGTAGGATGAGGGGACACTAGTGTAAAAGCCTAAGGTGACTGAAGCTTGTGAAGAAGGCAGCAAGGAGCTTGTTACTAACCCAAAGAGGGGCCTTAGCCATGTTCTATGTCAGAATGACCATGGGTTCTAGCAAGTGCTGTCCAGAGAAGACAGGGTGAGGCTGGGGCCCCTTTGTTTCTCCAGTGTTTCCCTCTGCCTGTGGGGTGGCCCTAGGTTTATTCCAGGTGACAGATGCATGTGTACCTGGAGCAAGTGACTCCAACCCCATGTGGCCAGGACTTACTTTCAACTCCAGGCCCCTACTGCTGCTGTCAGGGCCCAGCTGTGCAGAGGGGCTGGCCATTCAAGAGCCCTCCTGAGCCCCATCAGGAAGTGAAGCAAAAGCATTTCTAAGTGCAGAGGTGATTGGTGGGGGGTGGGGAGAGTGGGCACTGCCATACCCAGCCCTCTGTCTCCACAGGGAGCTGGAACTGACTGCAAGATGCCTTAAGGGTGTAGAACAAGAGAAAAAGGAACTGAGGCACCTCACGGAGTCCTTGCAGCAGACACTGGAGGTGAGGGGCTGCTGGTGGGTTAGTTGACCAGGTGGCAGGCTGGTTGGTTGGACCACATGACACTGTTTTTTCCAGCAGTGTTTCCCCAGGGGGTGATCTGTAAGAGAAATGGGCATGGAGGGGTGCTGATCTAAAGGGTCTCTTCTCTATGGATCATTGAAAACTCTGGCCGAGGCATGAGGCCCAAAGCAAGAAGTGTCTGTTCTCAGACCTAAAAGGACAAATTCAGGCTTGTCCTTGCTATTACCATGGCCTCAGGAAATCCACCTCTGGTGCTTACATTTTTATACCAGATAGAGGATTGGTTAAGGTGGGCAGTGGAGCTACCCACCGCTTCCTTCTTGTGTCTTGTTCGCTTAGCTGCTCCTGAGTGACATTGAACGTAAAGGGAAATCAACTGCCAGGTCACCATCATCTGATACCACAGAAACTGGGATGGGGTGGGGAGGTGACAAGCCTCAAGGACAAAGTACAAACTCCTTAGCATGGCAAGCAAGTGAAAACTCTGGCCCTGGTCTCCCCTTCCCTCTCGCCTCACTCTTCCCTTCACTGCTCCTCCATGCCCTGCACAGACTCCCAACCCCTGCTCCAAACCGCGGAGCTCAGGTACTCCAAGGAAGCAAGCTCTTTCATGCTCCATACCTTTTCCCACACTGTTCCTTCTACACAGTGTATCATTTCCACCTTTTCTCTGCTTGGAGAACTTCTATTCACCCTTCTAAGTCTCAGCTCAAATATCTCCTCAGTCAAGCTTCTCTGATTTTCAAGGCAGGTATCTACTCTGAGCTCTTGGCTCCCGTGGCATTTTGTACATATTTTATGGGACTTAACATGCTAGGTGTGTTTTCCAAACTATGAATTTCAGTAGACTGTGTCTTCATGGTCTCTCCAAGCCCATCCCCTGAAGTGGGCCTGGCACATATGGTGTATGGCCCATACCTGTGCTGTACGCATGAATTACCTTCAAGGCTGCAAAGGTTTCTTGTCTCCCTTGACTGACTGGAGCCTTGGAGCTTGTGGGGCCTTTATTCATTTATCTTTCCCTGTTTCACATCATGGGAGGTGGTTCCCATGGATATTTTCAACTCTGCTTCTGTGTAATGCCATTGAGTACAAGATCCCAGTCTGATAAATGGAGAGGACATCTTTTTTTTGGAGGTGGGGTGGGGGGTGGTTTGGGGACAGGTTCTAGCTGTGTTGCCAAGGCTGGGATGCAGTGGTGCAATCATAGCTCACTGCAGCCTCGCTCTGTTTGTGAGAGCATCTAAATATGCTCTTGGGCTGGTTCCTGTTGGGTGTTTTTCACGTAAGCCCACTATGTCTCCTCATTCACCCCTGGAGGAACCAGGACCCCAGAAGATCATGCGACCCCGTTCTAGTAGGTGCCGTCTCCACTGGAAGGCACTTTGGGTTCCTTTATGACTCTTGATGGAGGAGTAACCTTGCCCTGTTGTGGGAGAGATCTGGGCCTTTTAGCTCTGGAGAAGAATGAAGACATTTCAGCGGCCATAGAGGACTGAGAGAGGAGTGGGTCACTCCCCCAAACGGAAAAGCAGGTGAGGGCAGCCACGATGGAGAACCTAAATTGGGCTTTTCTTTTCCTTGCCTCCCTCCATGCCAGGAACTCTCCATAGAGAAGAAGAAAACCCTGGAAATGCTGGAGGAGAACGAGAACCACCTGCAGACACTGGCCAATCAGAGTGAGCAGCCCCCTCCCAGTGGGGGCCTCCATAGCAACCTCCGGCAGATCGAGGAGAAGATGCAGCAGCTCTTAGAGGAGAAGCTCCTGGCAGAGAAGCGGTGAGGGAGCCCCGACCCCTGAAGACACCATTGACTTTGGGGTCTGGGGACTTTCCTCGAACTGGACATCCAGACTCTTGGGTTCTACTTGGCACTGACCAAGTAGGACTCACTCACTTCCTTTTGCCTAGGACTCTGTTTTCCCACCAGGAAAGTGGGAAGAGAACTTTCACTACCCAAAGCTGGCTTGATAATTATCTTGTGCAATGGTGTGAACCATGCAGACTTATTAAGTCCTTGTCACCATGCTTTGTGACAGGCTGGGCAAGTTTTTAAGCCCCCTTTTACAAATGAGGAAATGGAGCCTCAGGGGGGTTGTATGACTTTTCTGAGGTCACAGAACAAGCAACCTCTGGACCCAGGACTCCAGTCTTCTGACTCTAAACCTAGGGCTCCCAGCACTGACCACACCATCAATCTCATCCCCTGGGTGCCTGGACCCACAAAGTTCAGGGGCTCATAAAGCCTGGGATTCAAGGTTTCTCCAGCCCAGGTCTCTAAGAGGAGCTGTCCATCCATTGGCAATCCCATTTGGCGAGTGAGCATTGAGAAAGTGCCTCTTCTGTCCCTACAGGATGAAGGAGAACGAGGAGCGCTCACGGGCCCTGGAGGAGGAGCGTGAGTTCTACTCCAGCCAGTCCCAGGCACTGCAGAACTCGCTGCAGGAGCTGACGGCAGAGAAGCAGCAGGCTGAGCGGGAGCTCAAGGTGCGACCTGGCCTGCTGGTGCCAGGGCCCTTCCCCTTCCCTGGAGACTCCCCTTCCACCCCTGCACTTTACCGGGTAGCTGCATGAATTATCTCTGTCAGTCTGACCAGACAGCCAGGCATGGGGGATGGAGCCACCACGAGGGGAAGCAGCAAGTCTGCTGCATCATTGACAGACACCTGCTGGGTGCAGGTGCCAAGTCCAGTCCATCTGGTTCAAAGGGTAAGACTCAGAAGCGGGATGTGATAACTCCCATCCACGCCCATTGAGCCAGGGGTGACCAAGGAAGGCTTCCAGGGAAGATGGCAGCTACTTCCAGGACCTGACTTCCTTCTCATTTCCCTCTCCTCAACCTCAGGCTGAGGTGAAGGTCCGCATGGACCTGGAGAGGCGTCTCCGGGAGGCAGAAGGGGCCTTGCGAAGCCTGGAACAGGGGCTGAATTCCAAGGTGCGGAATAAGGAGAAGGAGGAGAGGATGCGGGCTGATGTGAGCCATCTGAAAAGTAAGCCCTGCCTCTAGGCCCTGGCCCCCAGCTTTGGCACTCAGCCCCAGATGGGATCCCGGCCCTGTAGAGCCAGGAAACCCACACAGGGTCTGCTAGGCATGAGGTGCTCCCTGGATATTGAAGGGTTTCTTCTCCAGTTACCTGCCTGCAGGCATCTCAGCACCACTGCTTTCTTGTGGCTGTTGGATCTGTGGTGAGAGGAAAGCCAGGAGCTTCTTCCATTTATCAAAAGCTCAGAGCTCTGTTCTCAGCAGACGTGCCCTGAGATGGCTGCAGATTGTGGTTTGAAAGGCAAAGAAAGTCCCCTTCAGCAGGTGGCTCTGGAATCTCGAGGGACGGGGTCAAAATATTTCCCACTCAATCTCACCAGGATCCTTGGGAAGGGAGGGACTGGCTGGGGGTAAGGATGCAGTCGGAACCCCACCCTTCCTGGCCCTGCCGCCACAGGGTTCTTTGAGGAGTGCATCCGGAATGCCGAGCTGGAGGCCAAGATGCCTGTGATCATGAAGAACTCCGTGTACATCCATAAGGCAGCCACTCGCCGCATCAAGAGCTGCCGCTTCCACCGACGCCGGTCCAGCACCTCCTGGAATGACAGTGAGTGTGGCTGTCTGCGTGCCCTGGTGGGATGGTGACAAGGCAGGAAGAGGGCAACATGGGGAGCCAGAAGGGTTGGCCCAGCTCTGAGGCTGGAGAGTGTGGCCTTGAACCTGGCCCCACCATCCTTGGGCAAACGGGTGAATTCTCAGGGCCCTGGGTTTCTCAAAGGATATGGAAGCCCGTGTGTGTGGGAAGGGGCTGGAAGAAGCTTGGCACACATAAAGGAGTGAGGGGGTGGCATGAGGCTGGGGACAGGGCCAGGCCTTCGTGGAGGGAGCACTGTTCACAGGGCTGTTGGGCTCCTGTTTCCCCAGTGAAGCCGTCCCAGTCCTTCATGACCTCCCAGCTGGATGCCAACAACATGGAGGAGCTAAAGGAGGTGGCCAAGCGGCTCAGCAGGGACCAGCGCTTCCGGGAATCCATCTACCACATCATGGCCACCCAGCCTGGAGCCCCCTCGGCACTCTCCCGGGGTGGAAAGTGATGGGCGCTCCTCCCCTGCTTCCCAAGTCTCCCCTGGATGGGCGGGGGAGGGGAAGGGGTGGCAGAGGGAGGCCTCACTCTACCAGCTCCTGGCCTCTCTGGTCTGGAGCCTATGTCTCCTCTGGGCCGGAGCTCCACTTGGGGGCCAGCCTTGCCCTCAAAGGACATGGACGCTGCCTTCCTCATCCTCACCCCACACCCCACCTTTGGGTCCACACCAGGGCCATGCAGGCCTGAGCTGGGTGCTGGTTGTCATGGTGAGGTGAGGACAGGACCTGGTTGTATGTGGAGATTTGTGTCGGTTAGGGAGTGGGGTGGGGAGGTGCTGTCTACCACTGTGCCATCAGGCAGGGTCTGCCCCACTGAGGAAGATGGCAGCCCTCCCTGGTGCCCACTGGACCTCTCTGGGACTCTGCTGCCCTGCCCGTGGTCCTCATGTAGAAAGGCCTTGCCTCCCTACCTTGACATTCCCTTTTCCCCAGGGTTTCCTAACCCTCCCTTTGCTTCTGACACTCAGCAAAATGTCCCTCAGCTGAGACCCCTCATTTACACCACATCATGCTGTGCAGGAGGAAAGGGGCCTAGGACAGCAGCTTCTGGGCTCCTGACATACCACACACCCGCCACAGTGCCGCTTTTCCTGAGCTCAGGCCCTGGCTGTGGGGCCACCCACTGATTCCCCTCCTCCTCTGGTGAGCTCACTCACAGCCTTGGCACCCTGCAAGGGTAGAATGATGGCACCAGTCCCTCCTGCCTGTGTACCTAGGGCCCTGGCTGGGAGCTGGGGCCAGCAGTGATGCTGGGGGCTCCCCCAGAGGACACGTAACAAGCTCAGGAGTGGGCTGGGCACAGTGGCTCATGCCTGTAATCCCAGCACTTTGAGAGGCCGAGGCGGGAGGATTACTTGAAGTCAGGAGTTTGAGACCAGCCTGGCCAATACGGCAAAACCCTGTCTCTACAAAAAATAAAAAAAATAAAATAAATAGCTGGGCATGGTGGTGCATGCCTGTAGTCCCAGCTACTTGGGAGACTGAAATGAGGGGATTGATTGAGCCTGGGAGGTTGAGGCTGCAGTGAGCTGAGATTGTGCCACTGCACTCCAGCCAGGGTAACAGAGCAAGACCCTGTCTCAAACAAACACAAGGAAAACAAGCTCAGGAGTGAAGGAAAGTCACTCTGGTTCCTGCATTATGTACTTCTGGTTGCGCAGGGAGGCAGTGTTCCTGCTGGTCGAGAGATCACAGATATCTCCTTCCCAGCTGCCCCTGCTTCAGTCACCTTGCTGCCTCCTCTCCCTGCAGAGATTTCAGCCTGTGAAGCAATGTGACCATGAACTCTGGCAGCTGGGGACCCTGGGCCTGTGATGAGGCCAGTAGTCATTGGTTGGCTCAGTGTCATTGGGAGTGAAGCTGAAACGCCAATCTGCAGCTTCTGTGGAAGACCACCACCCTCCAGGGGGCTGAAGGGTGTGTCTGTCTCTCACTCATGGACAGACAGACTGCCCAGACCCTCTCCCTGCAGGCCCACCCTCCAAAGCTACCTGAGGCTATTGGCCTCCAGAAAAGGGGTCCACCTGGGATCAGGGTGCTCTTGGACACTGTTGACATTAAAGGTGCTCATTCTTTGCTGCTTGGAAAACCAAGAAGTTCTGAGAGATAAACAGATGGCTTCGGGGCAAGTCCCAGCAAAAAGTGCAAGAACCTGGGAGCCCACAACCTATTCTGTGGGAAGAGGAGCATTGTTGCCTCTAAGAACACATGCACATCTGCTGCTAGGCTGGCCGAGCCCAGGCCGGGCTGCCCTGCTCTTTGCTCAGTGCTTCCTGCCAAAACTAATCTCAGTGGTTCCTTTCAGTGATGGGTGGACTTTGGTGGCTTCATACAGTCTCTGCAGAATCTAGCTGGGGAGAGGGCTGAGTCAGTTTGGAATAAATGCATTTGACAGGGCTGAGCCTAAATGTAAAACTTTAAACGTGTATAACATGCATAAACCTGGAACTTGTTTCTCTAACACGTATGAAGGATGAACTTTGAATTGAAGGGGAATATTTATAAAACCAAGATTACTGTTTCCTTTTTTTTAAAAGAATTAATCATGGCTTGCTTTTAGAGAGATCTTTCATAATTTTCAGATGCATTTGTTTTTCTTGGGCGAGCTATTAACCAGACAGGAAAGTGCTAGTCTTCGTTTGCTTTGTACTGCTGTAACAGAATACCTGAGACTGGGTAATTTATAAGGAACAGAAATGTACTGGCTCACAGATATGGTGGCTAAGACGTCCAATATCAAGGTGCTGGCATCTGGCAAGGACCTTCTTGTTGCATCATCCCATGGTTGACAGGCAAAGAGAGGGTGAGAGAGCAAGAGGGGCCAAACTTATTCTTTTATAACAAACCCACCCCCTCGATAATGACATTAATCCTTTCATAAGGGAGAGTCTTCATGGCCAAATCACCTCTTAAATGTTCCACCTCTTGCGGATCACCTGAGGTCAGGAGTTTGAGACCAGCCTGGCCAATATGGCGAAACCCCACCTGTACTAAAAATACAAAAATTAGCTGGGCGTGGTGGTGGGTGCCTATAGTCCCAGCTACTCAGGAGGCTGAGACAGGAGAATCACTTGAACCTGGGAGGTGGAGGTTGCAGTGAGCCGAGATTGTGCTATTGTACTCCAGCCTGGGCAACATGAGTGAAACTCTGTCTCAGAAAAAAAAAAAAGGTCCCACCTCTTAATATTGTTACAATGGCAATCAAATTTCTTTTTTTAATCCTGCAAACTACTGGGATAGTAATTAAATTTCAGTGTGAGTTTGGGAGGGAACAAACATTCAAACTGTAGCAGTGCTTTTCCATGCACATTTACCAATCGATACTTCCTCCTATTCTCACCCTGTATTTTCCATGCCTCAGGCAAGTCTGAATTATCTTCAGCCAACTGAACAATCCATAAGTGTTTATTCGTTAAAAGCTCACTATGTACCTAGCACTGTAAATAGAAAAATAGCAACATCTCTATATCAAAATACGTAGGAGTGGAAATTACTTAGTGGAGATATGTTGATGTAATTTTTTTAATTTTTAAAAACAAAACTCTTATTCCTTGGCCAATTAAATGCATTTCCTGCAGTATCTATTTAAGTATGTGGTGTGGTCATTGCTAGAGAGATGTTGCTACCTGCAGGCCAAATGTAGAATTATGGAATCTGCTTGTCCTGTCTCTAATACGTACTCCTGCACATGCTTCTCTACATTTGAGGAAGTGCTCCCCACTGCTGCACCTCCTAATAATTAATTGAAAAATCTGTGTTCCAGCCCTGAGGTCCTGGCTGTCCCTGTGTAACAAGGACTATCAGCTAGATTTTCTTCTGATTTTAGCACAGACTAAAGGAACAGGACTGACTGTGCCAGTGAGAATAGCCTCAGGGAGACAAAGGATACCTAGGTTTTTTGTTTAGTGAGGTTTTCCTGTTTGTTTGGTTTTCCTGTTTGTTTTTGTTTTTAAGAGACAGAGTCTCACTCTGTTGCCCAGGCTGGGGTGCAGTGGTGTGATCATGGCTCACTATAACCTCAGACTCCTGGGCTCAAGTGATCCTCCCACCTCAGCCTCCTGAGTAGCTGGGACTACAGACACGTACCATGATGCCCAGCCAGGATACCTAGCTTTATGGCCTGCTAGTTTCAGTATCCCTGCTGGAAACTGACAGTTTTACCTGCTCTGATGTGGGGAAGTGTATGCTTTTGTTTAGTAATCATATAAAGGAGAGCCAGAAATGAGTGAGAAATGGTGATGACTGGATTCTCCTCCTGTTTGGTTTGTGTGCTTTTCCACCAATGATGTTAATGGATGAAGCAAGAGATCGTGAAACACTTGGGTTCTGACCCATTCCCCAGCTCCCAGTCCTTGCAAGAATGCTCTCCCTCTATTCATCTGGAAGGATGTAATTCTTGCCCCCAACCCACTCCAAGCCCACCCAGCTCAGCATAGTCTCAGCAGCCTGTTTGGAGTCCACAATGAATGATGATAGTGGAACAAAACTTGCTCAAGTCTCAGGGAGCCAGTCCAGGTGTGTCAGATTTTATCCAATAGGAAGATAAATAAATCCACTGGGCAAAATAGTCCTGAAGCCCTCAGATAAAGTCCAGCAGTCCCTGTGGAACTGTGTGCTTCTGCAATCAGCCATGTTGACACTTCTCAGACCCCCAGGCCTTGCAAGGTCTCTCCAAAGTCAGAAACTCTGCAGCTTTGACTCTTGGAGAAAAAGCTGCTGACTTCTCTTATCTCACCCCACCCCTGGCAAACAGGAGTTGAGGGATGTCTTTTGCAAGGCTTTAGGAGAGATTACAATGGTTGTTTTTACCTCCTGAAAGAGAGCCACTCCCAGACACACAAAGCAACTGGGAGAAACTGGTTATTCAAACTTCCGAGTGGGTGTGGAATGTTGTGGTGTCAACATCCCCAGGTTCAGTTCTCCTGGCTCGGCACATCCCATCTCCCATTCCCTTCCCTGGACGTGGGCTTCCACCCATGGCTTACAGCTCTTCTGACCCAGAAATGAACTTCACTCCATCTTACTGGGTTAAAGGTGTTCATGGGAAATATAGGAAATACTCTAAGTCCAGGAGTCCTGGGGGGTGGGGACCTTAATAACCAAATCCCTTGTGGTGAACTTTACCTGTCACTGTCAACTCTGAGTATGCCTCTGGCTGAGACTTGACAGTTGGGCAGGGAAGTTGGGGTGAGTCAGAGTTGCTCACAAGGGCTCAACAGCAGGGGCTCCAGGAGACATCCAGGCAGTTTCAGAGCCAGCTGCATTTGGGGGCTCATGCTCTCTTTGCACTCCACCACCCTTCCCCTGGAGGATCTGACACCTGCCTCTGGGCTGAGAGTCCCATTGTGAACAGACTCAGCCTCCCCTTGTAATCCTGGCAAAAGCTGTGGTTGGTGGGCCTTGGAGTGTCCACAAAGAGAGCCTTCCCCCTTGCAGAGCAGTGACTCCAGTGGCAAGACGAGACCTAGGGGAAGAAGTTGTTGTGCACTGTCTGCTGCTGTGGGTGCGGGGGAAGGCTCTGCTTTGCCACTTGCTGGCTCCTGTGGCTTTTGAAAAGTCACTATTTAAAATGTTTACTGTATTTATGCATTTTTAGTAAGCAGGAGAGAAATCCCTTCAATCTTACAGGCTGCTCAGAGCCTTTGTGGTTCTGAAGTTCTATGATTGGGACTTTGCATCCCTGAAATCAACAGAAAATTGGCTGCCACTGCTACAAGTGATCAAGAACATACAGGATGTCAGGTTCTGGCTCAGGTAGCACTCAATGCCATGCCATCCTTAGAACTGTCTATGAAAATATATGTTTGCTTTGAGATGAGAATAGGAAAGATAACTAATTTATCACCTCAAGGAAAAGGTAACTGTGACTAATCATAGTTGCTTGGAAGGCTTTTCTGGTAAAGAAAAGATGCCTATTGTCATGTTCACCCTGTATCTGAGACCATCAGTCAGCATCACTTCTTTCCATCTCTGAGAAACAGGGTTTGCTCTGTCACCCAGGCTGGAGTGCACTAGTATAATCATAACTCACTGTAGCCTCCTGGGCTTGAGCAATCCTCCTGCCTCAGCCTCCTAAGTTGTAGGATTACCAGTGTGAGCCACCATGCCACTTCTTTCCATCTTCGTTCAACACGTATTTATTGTGATTCTATTGCATGAAGTCAAGTGTCTACCACGTGCTTATCTCTTTCACTTACTGGCTCTTAAATTGTGGTGAAATACACACAACTTAACATTTACCATTTTAACTATTAATATTTCTAAGTGTACAGAGGCTGAGCACAGTGGCTCACACCTGTAATCCCATCACTTTGGGAGGCTGAGGTGGGTGGATCACTTGAGGCCAGGAGTTTGAGACCAGCCTGGGCAACATGGTGAAACTCCATCTCTACTAAAAATACAAAAGTTAGCCGAGCGTGGTGGCGCCCACCTGTAATCCCAGTTACTTGGGAGGCTGAGGCACAGGAATCACTTGAACCCAGGAGGCGGGGGTTGCAATGAGCCGAGATTGTGCCACTGTATTCCAGCCTGGGCAACAGAATGAGACTCCATCTCAAAATACATACATATATATATATATATATATACACATACACACACATGTATATATTTCTTCTTTTTTTTTTTTTTTTTGAGACGGAGCCTTGCTCTGTCGCCCAGGCTGGAGTACAGTGGCACGAACTCGGCTCACTGCAAGCTCCGCCTCCCGGGTTCACGCGTCTCCTGTCTCAGCCTCCTGAGTAACTGGGACTACAGGCACCTGCCACAACGCCTGGCTAATTTTTGTATTTCTTTAGAAGAGACGGGGTTTCACCATGTTAGTCAGGATGGTCTCGATCTCCTGACCTCGTGATCCGCCCACTTCGGCCTCCCCAAGTGCTGGGATTACAGGCGTGAGCCACCGTGCCCGGCCACACATGTATATATTTATAAGTGTAATATAATATATGCCAGTAGTGTTAAATATGTTCACATTTTGTGCAACCACTCTCCAGAACTTTTTCATCTTGTAAAACTCAAACTCTGTATCTATTAGACACTCCCCATTCTCCTAACCCCCAGCCCCTGGCAATCACCATTCTACTTTCTGTCTCTATGATTTTTGACTACTGTATATACCTTATATAAGTGGAATTATACAGCATTGGTCTTTTTCTGTGCCTGGCTTGTTTCACTTACGATAACGTCCTCAAGATTCATCCATGTTGTAGCGTATGTCAGAATCTCCTTCCTTTTTAAAGTTGGATAATGTCCTATCAGTTTTCAGGAGAAAACCTGATTGAAATCTCATTCTTCTGACAAATTGTTGGCCAATGGGGAGGGCCCTGGATGTCTTAAAGGACAAGAGAGTCACAGCCAAAGGAAACTGGATCCCTACCCTTTCCTTTTCCAGGTTTCTCCCTCCCCACTGTGGCCTGGTGTTAGGGATGCTTTGGTGTTCACGTCTATCTTCTTCCCAGCAGATGGCAGCATGCTCCGAGCTGGCTTGCAAATTCCAATGGGAAAGTGAGCTGAGCCTCTGGGAGACGGCGGGGGTGGAGGGGTTTTGGTGACAATCTGCTGCAGTTTTGCACTATTGGTGTTGAGTCTCACCCTTGTTCTCCCCTTTAAGGTATGAAACAAAGGACTCTGCTTTGTCCATCACTTACTGAGTCCATTATATACCATGCACTTTCACATTGACTTCTCTTCTGTATTCACATATCTTTCCTTGATTTACAGAAAAAAATGGAACCCACATAGTTTGGGGGACTTGCCCAAGGTCACACAGCTTGTAACTGGAAGGTCAGCTTGTATCTGAGTTCAAGGGCAGTGCTTTTTCTAGCATCCCCTAAAAAAATGTAAAAATTTTAAGTGACTTTTTTCCATTGCCTTATTCATTCATTCAGTCATTCATTCAGTAAATATATTGAGCTCCTCTATATTTTAGGTCCCAAGAATCTTCACTCAGAGATTTTCTATCATGAGTTCTTAAGGGATTAACTCAGCTGTTTGGTAACTGCTGGTCTCCTAAGAACTCTTCTTTTCTGGAAGTCTGGTTAGTCCAATGTAACAAGTTCAGAGTTTCTCAACCTAAGGACTTTGCAAAGTAACAGGTCATTTCTTTTTTTCATTTATTTTTAGAGACAGAGTCTTGCTCTGTGGCCCAGGCTGGAGTACAGTGGTGAGATCATAACTCACTGCAGCCTCAAACTCCTGGGGTCAAGTGATCTTCCCATCTCAGTTTCCCATGTAGCTGATACTACAGGCATGTCCCACTATGCCCAACTAATTTTATTTTTTGTAGAAGTGGGGTCTTGGTATGTTGTCCAGGCTGGTCTCAAACTCCTGGCCCCAAGTGATCCTCCTGCCTCAGCCTCCCAAAGTGCTGGGATTATAGGCATGAACTACTGTGCCTGGCCAACAGGCCTAGTTTCTTGCTGCCTTCAATTACTTCCAAGCTGGCACTCTCTTGATTTTCTCTTTTCTTTGCCCTTCATCCACACTTCCCACATCAAGTATCCTCTAGAAGAGAAGTAACCTCTTAGAGGAGGCAGCCAATGGGAAGCCTCTGGGCTGGGGATCTGAAGGCCTGGGTGATCCTGAAGAGCCAACAATTAATCCGAGACATCCAACCTCCCCTTTGTAAAATGAGGGTGTGCAATTAGATGCTCCCAAAACTCTCCTCCAATCCTGGTGTAGATTATATAAAATCTCTACCTTATGGAGGTTTTTTGGGAAGAATGTTACATTTGCAGGAAATGAGTATCAGCATATTTTTGAAAAATCATTTTTGTTTTTGGAGTCAATAGCACTTCTACCTTGACACATTACTAAATGCCATCCCCATTTCTCCCCTGTGACCGCCTGCCTTCATCCACTTGAAGGCAGCTTCCTGCACGTGGCTGTCTAGAGCAGGGCACCTGCCATCCAGGTCACTGGAGCAGATACTGTGGGTCAACTTCAATGGTCTCCAAAGAGGGGCATGGGCACCCTGGGGACACACATGATGGCCCCTTTGGGCCATGGGGAATAAACATGCAGAACTTTTTCTTGAAGGGTTTTCTTCTCTAAAATAATTAAAAGAAAATGAAGTCTTCCTTAGTTTCAATACATATATTGACACTGGCACCCTCACTTACCCTGGATGCCAGGGATGTTATGTCATGATCACATGAGGGTTTCTGAGTGCCACAATTTGGAGGAGGAAGTGACAATGGCACTCTCCCATGTCATATTCAGGGTATTGTGGTGCATTGTAGTTTACATCTTGTGAAATGAGTATACAGATTACATATCTAGTTTTAACAAGTTAACTCTCATAGACTGCATTCATGGCTCTAAACATTTCCTGCAAAGAAGCTGCAAGTCATACTATTAGCACAAGTACAAGCATACAACAAGGAAAAGAAATGCTGGCATTTTCCCCGCCCCTATAAGAGCTGTGTTAACTCTATTACAATAGGTAGGAACAACTATGATCTAATCAGACCTAACAAGGAGTTGTCCCCCTACATTTGAAATAATTAAGAAAACTTGGGAAGGTATTCAGCTGCAAGTAACAGAAAGCCCAACCATGGCAGCTTATACAAACTCCTGACCGCAGGTGATCTACCTGCCTTAGCTTCCCAAAGTGCTGAGATTACAGGCATGTTTATACAAACAGAGGCTTATTTTTCTCATGTATCTAGAGAACTGAAAGCAGGCAGCTGATGATATTGCTAAATCACATAAAGAAATGAGGGCCAGCTTCTCTGCCATTCTCTTGGCCTTTCTCTCACAGTTGCAAGATGTTCAGCCATCACATCGGCACTGATGGCAGGAAGAAGGTGGGAAGGAAATAAAAGGCAATGTCTGCACCTTTGACCTATTTTTCATGAAAACTCCCCAAAGCACCTCAAAAACTTTTGCAGATATTTTGTTGGCCAGAGCTGGATCACATGGCCACCTCCAGTTGCAAAAGAGGCTGAGAGTGACTATTTGGCTTTCTAGTCTTTGTGGCAGTGGTAGCAAGAGAGAAGGGAGTTAGGAGTATCTGCTAAATTAGCCAACCAGTAGTGTTTGCCACAAAAGTGCTTAAGTATGGATTTACATTCACTCATCATTAATGATGTACTTCATAAAAAGTGAATACTGAGGCTATGTGTCATGACTCATGCCTGTAATCCCAGCACTTTGGGAGGGCGAGGCTCACTTGAGACCAGGAGTTCAAGAACAGCCTGCACAACATAGTGAGACTCCATTTCTACAAAAAAAAAAAAAAAAAAAAAGCAACTATTGAGCCTTGAGATATTTTCTCTGACAATATAATACATGTATAAGGGGAGTGATGCTGAAAACAGTTTTACTGTACAATAAAACACTTGGATAGCATTACCCTAACACTTGAAATTCATTCACTTCTTCCTTAAGAACAAAATCCCGGTTCACCCCTAAGGGAAAGGTGAACTCTATTTCAAGCTCGAGGGTAAATCCTGATTAGTTTAATCCAATCATGGCAATTTCACTTCTCTACCAGAGATTTCATTAGGAGTGGGCATGCGACCCAAGCTGGCCACTGAAATGAGAAGCCCACTGGAAGACTTCTGGGACAGATTTTCTCTCCTTAAAAAAGAGTCATGGGGCAGATACGATCCTTTTCTCTCTACTGGATATTTTATGTCTGAATATGACACTAGAACTAAGACAGCCAACTTGGGACCATGAGGGCAACTGGCTTGAGGACCAAGCCAGCATGTCTGGGATGGCCAAGCAGAAAAATGGCAAGAAGCCATAGTCCTTACTGAATTGCAGAGTCACTGAATTAGCCAACACTGTATCTGCCCAATTTCAGGGCTCCTTGTGATATGAACTAACTTATGTTTCCTTATAGTTTAGGCCATTTTGTTTTGCTTTTGTTTTTTGAGACAAGGTCTCACTCACATCTTGTGAAATGAGTATACAGATTACACTATCTAGTTTTAACAAGTTAACCCTCATAGACTGCATACATGGCTCTGAACATTTCCTGCAATAAAGCTGCAAGTCATACTATTAGCACAAGTATAAGCATACAACAAGGAAAAGAAGTGCTGACATTTTCCCCGCCCCTACAAGAGCTGTGTTAACTCTATTACAATAGGTAGGAACAACTATGATCTAATCAGACCTAACAAGGAGTTGGCCCCCTACTTTTGAAATAATTAAGAAATTATTCTTAATTATTGAATGCAGTGGCACAATCAGGGCTCACTGCAGCTTCGACCTCCCAGGCTCAGGCGATCCTCCCACTTCAGACTCCTGAGTAGCTAGGACTATAGGTGTATGCCACTACACCGGGCCAATGTTTTGTAACTTTTAGCCATGAGTCACCCAGGCTGGTCTTGAACTCCTGGACCCAAGTGATTCTCCCACCTTGGCCTCCCAAAGTGCTGGGATTATAGGCATGTACCACCGCACCCAGCCAGTTTAGGCCATTTCGATTGGGTTTTCTGTTCATTTGCAAATAAGAACAATTTAACCAGGCTGGGCCCGGTGGTTCATGCCTGTAATCCCAGCACTTTGGGGGGCCAAGGAGGGAGGATCACTTGAGCCTAGGACTTCAAGCCCAGCCTGTACAATATAGCAAGACCCTCATCTTAAAAACAACAACAAACAAAAGAACAGTCTAACCAACACAGTCACTTTAGCTTTATCAGAACTGTATGATCCTCAAAGTCTGAAGGCCTTTTCCCAAGGAAGTCAAAGCATTTTCCAGTCACCGAAAGGGAACTGGAATTTATCTACTCACTCATTCAACAAATATTTATTGAGAACCTACAACATATTTTTAAAAATTCTGTGATGCTTCCCCGCTGTCCTCACAACTTAAAAATCTCTGAAGTTGGGCTGTATCTTAAATTCTTGGCATCTTGCAATTGCTGTTGGCCATGCTGCAGTCTTGATGAGGTTATCATTCCCTGTGCAAACATCAAAAGTTCCAGCATTGGCTGGGAGCAGTGGCTCATGCCTAGAATCCCAGCACTATGGGAGGCTGAGGCCAGTGGATCACTTTGGGTCAGAAGTTTGAGACCAGCCTGGCCAACATGATGAAACTCTGTCTCTACCAAAAATACAAAAATTAGTTGGGTGTGGTGGTGTGCTCCTGTAATCCCAGCTACTTGAGAGGCTGAGGCACAAGAATCACTTGAGCCCAGGAGGCAGAAGTTGCAGTAAGCCAAGATTGCGCCACCGCACTCCAGCCTGGGCAACAGACCAAGGCTTGGCCTCAAAAAAAAAAAAAAAAGAAAAAAAAAATTCTAACGTCAGAACTTGCAGAATGTGTGTCAATAGCTTGGAGGAAAAAATCCACAAACAATCATGAAGCATGCTCTTAGCCCATAAGAATCAAATGGTGGTGTGGGGGAAGTGGTGAATTCGACATGTTTGGCAGCATTCATGATTATAGGAGTCAACAGCAAGCTAAATCCACAAAATTATGAAGCTGTTTTTTTTGTTATTGTTGTTGTTGGTTTGAGACAAAGCCTCACTCTGTTGCCCAGGCTGGAGTGTAGTGGCACAAACTTGGTTCACTACAACCTCCCCCTCTCTGTTTTGAGCGACTCTCATGCCTCAGCCTCCTGAGTTGCTGGGATTACAGGCACCCACTACCAAGCCCGGTTAATTTTTTTATTTTTATTTTTAGTAGAGACGGGGTTCACCTTGGCCAGGCTGGTCTCGAACTCCTGACCTCAGGTGATTTGCCTGCCTCAGCCTCCTAAAGTGCTGAGATTACAGGCATGAGCCACCATGCCCGGCCATGAAGCTGGTTTTAAGAACCCAGCACATATGACCCACCCTGAGTTCTTTTATGGATTCTTTTGAGAAACGTTTCATCACCAACACTCTTGATGCCACAGAGAATGACAGTGTGTGAAAAAAGATGGTCATTTTCAAGTCTGAGTCAAAAACAGAGGAGTCAGATTTGGAATGAGAAGAAATTCTAGAAATATCTTAGCCAACTTCTTTCACTTCTCTTTACTGTTTTATTATGCACAAAAGTGATTTATAATAGAAATCTACGGTGAACTGAATCTATAAAAGCTTTTCTCAATAAGTACAAAATAAAAATTCTAAGTGAAAGGAGAGTGTCATAGTTCAATTGGCAGCATTCTACTTTTTTATTGGCACATAAAATGACGATGTGCCTGGTACTTGCTGGTGTCGTAAGTTGGGTGATATATACCATGTGCCAAGCACTGCTCTGGTCCTAGATGCAGCAATAGAGACAATAGAGACAAAAACTCTGGTTGTTTGTGCAAGTTGACTGTGCAGAGCCCTTTATTACTTATTTTTTTGGAGACAGGGCTTCCCTCTGTCACCCAGCCTGCAGTGCAGTGACATGATGATAGCTCACTATAGCCTTGATCTCCTGGGCTCAAAGGATCGTCCAATCTCACCCTCCCATGTCGCTGGGATCACAGGTGCCCACCACCACACCTGGCTAATTTTTTTTTTTTTTTGAGACGGAGTCTTGCTGTGTCTCCTAGGTTGGAGTGCAGTAGCGTGATCTTGGCTCACTGCAACCTCCGCCTCCTGGGTTCAAGCGATTCTCCTGCCTCGGCCTCCAATGTAGCTGAGTTTACAGCATGTGCCACCATGCCCAGCTAATTTTTTGTATTTTTAATAGAGATGGGGTTTCGCCATGTTGGTCAGGCTGGTCTTGAACTCCTGACCTTAGATGATCCACTCACCTCGGCCTCCGAAAGTGCTGGGATTACAGGTGTGAGCCACCTCGCCCCGCCATTTTTTTTATTTTTAGTAGAGACAAGGTCTTGCTGTGTTGCCCATGCTGGTCTCGAACTCCTAAGCTCAAGCAATCCTCTGTCTGGGCCTCCCAAAGTGCTGAGATTACAGGCATGAGCCACCGCATCTGGCCCAGAGTCCTTTATATGTCATTTGAGGACCTATATAATAGCTACTTTTCCATCATCAACTGGTGGCTTCCAAGTTTGGCCTGGGGGCATATTCTCCAGTCACCCATAAGGATTCCCCCTTTCCATTGTGCCTGGAAGTGGCTCAGAGCACCTTTGTTTTCATGTAATTGGCTGAAACGTGGTCACATGGCCCCATGTGCTTGCAGGGGGAGTCTGGGAGGTATAGTTTGAGTGTCTAGGAAAAAGGGTGTTGATGAATATTATTGTGGATGAGGAGTCGATGGTCTGTGCTGCATACTGTAAGCAGCACTGTGCAGGCGGAGGAGAGTCCCAGCAGCCTAGGGCCTCTCCAAGAAAAGAAGACAAAAACCCCAACTTGCCTGTCCTGCCACAATCTCTTGAGATGCTGTCCTGAATATCAGGCACACCACCAAATAGGAAGATGTTCATGACTGGTGAACATTATTAACAGACCTGGTGACCCATAGGGCTAATGAAGTTAGTGGAACCTGTGGTGCTTATTCTAAATAATGAAACTCTCTACTTGAGAAATTTTTGGGCAGAGGAGATTTTCCAGGAGTGCCCAGAAACCCCATCATTTAGCACTGCTGATTCCACCCACTCTGTCTGCTCAGAGAGACTGGAGGTGGCTGGGTGGCTTTCTCAGTACAGTTCGTGCTAGTAACTCTAGATACAAGGCTACAGCCTCCAGGATACAGAACACAGCCATGGTGCAGAGGCACTGGAAGCCCTGTATATGAGTTTGGGCATCACCAATTACAAGCTATGACTTTGGCAAATTACTTAATATTTCTGAGCATTGGAGTCCTCATTTATAAATGTACATTTCTCAAATGTAAACGTGGTTTAATACTTGCCCTTATTACCCCACACATTGTTGAGAGGATGCAGAGCTGAAGTAGGGGAGACGTTTGTGAACCATCAAGCTTTATATAAACATACATTGTGACGATGAGAGCAGTGTCTGCACTTAGGAGGGGCTGCGCGAATCCTTGAATGAGTGATGGCGGTCTTGCTCATGCTCACTGCATCTGATTTGACCTTTGTAAGCCCCTTGTTTGAAAGCCTTTCCCCCTTCTTCCAAGCCCCTTTGGATGTGTGCATACACACGCACACGTACACTCACAGTGGAGCTTGTCTGTTTGGCATTAAGCATAAGGCCTGTAAGTCAGAGCTGAGGAGCTGAGATCTAATGCCCGTGGAGCACCCTCAGGACAGGGAGGAAAGCTGGGGGTCGTGGTTGCCCTCTCCCCGGTGTGGCGGCTGAATGCATTTTTCACTTGAAGTTCCAGAAGCCCACAAGTAGGAGCTGTGCTGCAGCACGCCGCTTTGTCCCCGTCCTTAGGACAGGTCTGTGGGCTGGTCCCTCTCCGCCTCTCCACCTCTCCTCACCATGAACCATTCGGCCACTCCTTGAGTCCCGTGACATATTCCTGACATTAAGCTGTCTCTTCTTGCTCCCCTAACAGCTCCTAGAGAGAAGAGACACCGTAAACATGATGTGTTCTCTCCATTTCAGAGCTATGAAAACGAAGGCATAGAGAGGAGAAGCGATTTCTTCAGATGGGGCCAAAGAGGTGGATGGGAACTAACTGAGAAGAATCCACTTGGAAATAGGACACTCTGGGGTTTCGCCATGTTAGCCAGGCTGTTCTCAAACTCCTGACCTCAATCTAGTGGCATCCAAAGCTGGGAAGGACTCTGAATCACGATATTAGCCATAATAGCCAGGGCCTCAGCGCCTAGAACTGGGGACTGGCTGCCACAGGGATGGCTGCTGTCTCTGCTTGCCTCTAGTTCTTTGTATGATGATGGCTTTGCTCTCTCCCACTGCAAACACCTGGACAAGAACACAGCCACTGGCAGGCCCAGCCTGGCTGGTAGGGAGAATACATGCTGAGGATAGATGCGGAGGTATGGGTGTGTATGAGGTGCAACCTGCCAGGACGAACTGTTGCATCACAGGGTGAGTCATGTTGAGGAACAGCGGCAGTAGCAGGACCACATCCTTTCTGGGATCCAGCTGCCGCTTCCTCAAGCCTGGGTCAGCAATGGTTGTCATGGCAACAGCCTGATGGGAAGGTCTCAAGGAAAACGCTGAGGCTGGAGTATTTTGAATCATATTTGCCTGTCAATGAGTCCCTCTCTTGCTAAGAACCAAAGAAAGAAAAGCCCGACTATGTGGGTCCATCTCACTCTGAGTAGGGAGGTCAGTAGGAGTACCTTGTGGTGTCAAGTTTGGGTTTCCCTCTCTCCCCTGAGGTTTCGGGGGGCAGGCTGGCACTAGCTTTTCCTGTTACCTGTTAACAAAGATGTATGTGCCTGTGCTTAACGTTTCTTCCCAAGGCATGAGGAAAAGCACACTGCCGTGAGGTACCTGGGACAAGTGTAGCCCCCTCTCCTAAGTGGTCTCCTTGTGGCCAGATTCTCCTTCAGCTGCTGCCCAAGTGATCTTTCAAACAAGTGAATCCCATCAGCTTGCTTCCCTGCTTAAATCCTTCAGCGGCTCCAGATTCCTGGTCAAATAGAGTTCAGTACCTGAGCTTGACAGTCCTCCTCCTCATCTCGCCTTCTCTGGACTCTGTGTTGCTGTCACTGTCCTCTGCTCACACTCCCTGCAAATCTCTATTCCCAGAGAGCTTCCTGCCTCTGTGTCTTTGTGCATATTGTGTGCTCGGAATGTCTTCCTGCTTCCACCAGAGAACCTTGTCTCCTTTAAATAAAATGTGTGACTCTCAGATGAGAATGGTGCCAGCCAAGTGACCTTGTCTCCAGTCTCCTGAGCCCTTTGTGTGCCTGAGGCCACAGCCAGGCCTGCTCAGCCCTTCTGTCCATCCCCTGGATGGACTTCCCCTTTAAAGATTAGCAGCTCTAAGATAAATTAAAACCCCTCTCCTTGCTTCCTTTTGCCTCTTTGAGAAGGATTCATTCCTTCATCTGACAAAGATTTAATGAATGGCCATTATGCACCAGAAACTTACTGTTCCAGGCACTTGGATACATTAGTGAACCAAACAGAAATCCCTGCCCTCATGAAGCTTATGTTCTGGCAGGGGAGATGGACGATACACAATGTATGTAAGAAAAAATATTATATAATATATATCTAAAGGCATTAAGAGCTATGGTAAATAGAAAAGGTAGAGCAAGGAAGGGAGTTTGGGAGCCCTAGGAAGAAGGGTGGGACAGGTGGCAATAGCATATAGAGTGGCAGGATCAGCCTTGTCTTAGTCAGCTAGAGCTGCCATAACAAATACCCCAGGCTGGGTGGCATAAGCAGCGGAAACATTTCTCATGATTCTGGAGGCTGGACATCCAAGATCAAGGTGCTATCGAGGCAGGTTTCATCCTGACGCCTCTTCTCCTGGCTTGCAGGTGGCTGCCATCTCGCTGTGGCATGATCTCGGCTCACTGCAACCTCCACCTCCTGGGTTCAAGCAATTCTCGTGGCTCAGCACCCCAAGTAGCTGGGATTGCAGGCATGCACCACCACACCCGGCTAATTTTTTGTATTTTTTTTTTTTTCTGAGATGGAGTCTCACTTTGTCGCCCAGGCTGGAGTGCAGTGGCGCAATCTCAGCTCACTGCAACCTCCGCCTCCCAGGTTCAAGTGATTCTCCTGCCTCAGCCCCCAGAGTAGCTGGGATTACATGTGCCCACCGCCATGTCTGGCTAATTTTTGTATTTTTAGTAGAGACAGTGTTTCACCATGTTGGCCAGGCAGGTCTCAAACTCCTGACCTCAAGTGATCTGCCCACCTCAGCATCCTGAAGTGCTAGGATTATAGGCGTGAGCCATCGTGCCCAGACTTCTTTTGAGTCTTTGATGAGCCTTTCACTGAATACATAATTTACATGAGGTGGGGGGGTGGGTGGGGCGGAGGGGTGGTAGAGGAGTAGTCCCTATGCCATGTCTAGCTCAGTGAATCTGCATTTTTACATCAGAGGAAGCAATCAGATATGCATGTGTCTCAAGTGAGCAGAGGGATGACTTAGAGTTCTGTCATTTGTCCCATGCCTGTGAAGATAGGTTATCCATTCACATTGTCCGGGTAAAATTCAGCAGATCCATTTCAGCGTAAAAATCTTGGGCCCCAGAATTTCCTAATGAGGAAATTGTGAGGGAGGTATGTAGCTTTTTTATCTTTGTAACTATCTTATCATTTAGGAATAAAATGGGAGGCAGGTTTGCCTGATGCAGTTCTCAGCTTGACTTTTCCCTTTGACGTGATTTGGGGGTTCTTGAGATTTGCTTTCTTTTCACAGTCTTCAACATAGGAATTTGGAGGGCAGACACAATTCAGTCCATACCAAGCCTCATTGAGAAGGTGAGATTTGAGCATAGAATTAAAGGAGGTGAGAATTAGAATATCTGGGAAGAGCACTCCAGGCAGTGGTGTGGCTACAGCAACGACCTTGGGGCAGGAATGTGCCCGGCATGTTGGAGGAACAGCAAAGAGTCCACTGTGGCTGCAGTGGGCAGAGCAAGGAGGACAATAGTGAGAGGTGAGGTTAGAGAAGCGATGGGACTTGGTCCTATAGGGCCTTGTAGACCACGTAAGGCCTTCGGCTTTTCCTCCAAGAGAAATGGGAGCCATCGCAGGGAGGTTGACCAGAGGGACCACATGATCGGCCTTATGTTCTAAATGACCACCCAGTACTGTATTGAGACTAGGCCATGGGAGTAAAGGTAGGAAACAGAAGGACCTGCTAGGAAACTTCTACAGAAATCCAGATAAGGAATGATGGTGGCTGAGACCATAGTGATAAGAATGGTGGCAGTGAGATGTCAGATTCTGTACATATGTGGAAGGTAATGTCCACAGAATTTCATAACAAATTGGACAAGGAGTGTGAAAGGAAGAGAGGAGTGAAAAATGACTCTTAAGATTCTGGCAGGGAAGAATGGAGTTGCCGTCAGTTGAGATGAGGAAGGCTGCCGGTAGAGCGGGTAGAGGTGAAAAGATCAGCTGTTTCAGTTTTGGACATGTTGAGTTTGAGATGTCTGCTAGACATCCAGGTGGATATATCAGGTAGGTAACTGGGTATATAAGCCTGGTTTGGAGAGAGACCCGGGATGCAGATAGAAATTTGGGAGTCATCCCATGCTGATGGTATTTAAACTATGAGAGCAGATGAGATCATCAAGGGAGTGAGAGAGGAGCCATGACAGTGGTCTAACCCTGGTGCACCCCAACAAGACCAGCTGCCATGGAGATTGAGAACAAGGCTGATTTGCTCAAAACCAGGGTGCCCAAGGAATGACAAAAGGGAGATGGATAATATAGACCAGGTACCGTGGGTCCCCAGAGACAAGTTTCTGCTCTCCCCATTGTTGACCTCCTTGCAAGGCCACATTTCCCAGCCTCTGCCCTAAGACTATCCTGCTGTGGCCCAGAGGTTCTCAATGCTAATTCGTGGCCTTTTAAAAAATAAGCATAAGGCCGGGCGTGGTGGCTCACGCCTATAATCTTAGCACTTTGGGAGGCTGAAGTGGGTGGATCACGAGGTCAGGAGTTCAAGACCAGCCTGGCCAAGATGGTGAAACCCTGTCTCTACTAAAAATACAAAAAATCAGCCGGGCGTGGTGCATGCGCCTTATAATTCCTGCTACCCCGGACGCTGAGGCAGAGAATTGCTTAAACCTGGAGGGTGGAGGTTGCAGTGGGCCGAGATCACCCCACTGCACTCCAGCCTGAGCGACAGAGCGAGACTCTGTCTCAAAAAATAATAAATAAATAAATAAATAAATAAGCATAAAAATGTGAGATTAGAGCTACAAGATCTGACTTTGATCATCCACGCCTGCGAGGTTTCCCTCCCTACCGCTCAACTCCGATGCACTCCTGAGGGGAGGGGAGGTGCTTTGCCTGGCCGCCCCTTCTCCTGGAATCCTGTCTCGGCCGCTTCCCCCACCCCTGTTCCCGGGCTTGTCTCAACCCCACCCAGTGGCTGCTGCTGTCTGCGCCCGAGGACCTCATCTCCTCGCAGAGGCTGGCTCCCCGCGCCCCGCATCCCACGCTGGGACACGCGTGTGGCCTTGCCAGGGTGGGCGAGACACGGCCGCCTTCCTTCACATCCAACGCCGGTGAGGCTCAGCACTCATTGTCTCACTGGCAGCACAGACAAAGCCTTGCGGGCTCCACGGGATAATCAACAGCGAGAACGCCCCCAGGGACCTCCGGAAAGAGACACCATTGGTTGCAGGCCTCCAGGTTCTCGTCTGCCTGGTGAGTGAGGTGGCACGCAGCGTCAGTCGTCTGCAGGAATTTGTGCTGGGGTAAATGCGCGCTTCGTGCAGACCGCAGAGCTGGAGGCGGAGGGCTGGGGTCCCTGGGCCGCGGGCGGGTTCCGCGTGCCCCTCCCTCGCCGCACCGCGCAGTCCCGCCAGGGGGCGCCAGGCACCGGCCCCCCGCTCTCTGTGCTCCCTGCGCAGGTCCAGCTGTGCTCCAAGATTATCTTCCTTCTATAGCTCACTAGATATTCTTATGCTCACAGGGGTGCCATCCCTCACTCCAGAGCCATCCACAGAATTCAAAAGCAGAATTAGAAAAATCCTTGCTCCACCAGCCTGGGCAACATAAGGAGATCTCTACAAAAAATGAAATGTAGTCCCAGCTACTCAGGAGGCTGAGGTAGGAGGATCACTGGAGCCCAGGAGTTCGAGGCTACAGTGAGCTATGATCGAGCTGTTGCACTCCAGCCTGGGCCACAGAGCGAGACCCGCCTCTAAAACAATAATAATAGTGAAAATTTAAAAAATAAATAACAAAGAAAAATCCTCACTCTTTAGCTATTGAATTTTGTGGCGGTGATTTCTTTGGAAACTGCCTCTTCCCACCCCCACTCCACCCACAAACAGGCTGAGCTACATCAGTACAGAGCCTGGCACTCCGGATGCTGGCGGAATTGATTCACTAGCATGAGCAGGAAGGTCCATTTGAAGGGATCACTCCAAAACAGCGGCTCACGACAAGGTGGGAGTGGAAGGGAATGTTCTCCTGGGAGTGGGTGGGGGTGGGGTGTCAGCATGTGGACCTGGTACAGCAGCGTTTGAAAATGCCTCCATCATTCTAATATAATTTAAAATAATAATTAGCCAGGTGTGGTGACTCGTGCCTGTAATCCTACTACTAGGGAGGCTGAGGTGGGAGGATTCCTTGAGCCCTGGAGTTCGACACCAGCCTGGGCAGCATAGCAAACCCCTGTCTCATATAAATAATAATAAGGATTATTATTCAATGTTTTTGTCATTCAAACCACAGGTAGTAAAGCTTGACAGAATTTTTGTGGGTGGGATGTGAGCTAAAAATGTTGAGAACCAGGACCTAGCAGATTGTCTGCTATAAGTTCCCTGGCTGTGGAGGATGGAGCCTCCCCTGAAGAGCAGTGTTGGTCCTTGGGACAGTGGCCGCAGTCCAGCCCATCACAGAAGGGAATGGTGCTCCCTGGGGCTGGAAGCCTGGGTCTGGGGTGGGGGGAGGTGGGGAGGAACTTGGAGATTCGGCTCACCGTCAGTCTTGTTAAGGAGGCCAATGTCTAAAGTAGGAACCACACCAGGTAAGCTGCGTTCTAACCTGCTCCTTGTTTTCCTGGCAGATTGGTTCATGCAGGACAGAAAAAGGAGAGATAAAAGACTGTCAGGAGAGTAACTGTTTGGTCCAAATGAGGACTCAGGACCCCCAGTGGACCCAGAGAGAAAGACGCTCTGGGTGGGAAGGGTGTGGGAGGCGATCACTATGCACTCGTGCTGGAGCAAAATGACACCAGGGGAGGTGGACCAGCACCCTCTAGGTTCATTCTTTTTATGAGGAAGACTTCTGGTCTCTTACTCTGTTCCTTGAATGGATTTACATCCCAGAAAGATGTGTGCTCTGTGCAAATGAAGGGGTGCTCTTCCACTGTAAAGAATGCATTGGCTTTCTGGACTGGGGGGCTGGCTGGCACAAGCCTTTCCCAGGATACAGCAGTTTCTGAAAGGGTTTTTGGAGCTGCAGAGTCAAGGACTGGGCTGGGAGTCTTGGTGACCCTACCAAGCACAGAGAGTGCCAGGCGCCCGATTGGAGAAAGCTGTGGGAGTCTTCTAGAACAATCGTACTAACTGCACACACCATCTGCATGAACCAATACCAGGTTGTATTGGTATTCGGCCATCTTGTGCTGTTTCCTCAGGGTGTCCCTAGAGTGTTTTGTTTTTGACTAGCATTTAAGCAGCCTGCAGGCAGGGACTGCATTTTATACACAGTGTGTGCCTCCCAGGAGCCAGGTGCAGCTGGGGTGTGTGACTGTGAGGCTCCTTGCTGTCCATGACATACTGTCACCCCCACTGCCTTAGCTTACTCCCCAGTCACCCCTTGAGGTAACAGGGCTGGTGCTTTTACAATTCTCATTTTAAAGATGAGGAAATAGGCTGGGTGTAGTGGCTCATGCCTGTAATCCCAGCCCTTTGGGAGGCCGAGGCAGGTGGATCATTTGAGGTCAGGAGTTCGAGATCAGCCTGACCAATATGGTGAAACCCTATCTGTACTAAAAACACAAAAAAATTACCAGAGTGTGGTGGTGCACGCCTGTAATCTCAGCTACTCGGGAGACTGAGGCCCGAGAATCGCTTAAACCCAGAGGTGGAGGTTGCAGTGAGCCGAGATCACACCAGTGCAATCCAGCCTGGGTGATAGAGTGAGATTCTGTTTCAAAAAAAAAAAAAAAAAAAAAAAAAAAAAAAGATGAGGAACTAGAGGTCAGTGAGTGCTGGCCTCAAGAGAACCTTGAAATCCCACTCTGCCTAGCCCTGACCACCCTTGTCTTCAATCCTTGAGGAACAGAATGATGCCAGGTGTAAGTCATTCAGGTATCTCCCCAGTACCTCTACCTGGGGAGGAGATAATGTTCTCGGCCTACATGGTGGGGAGGGTGACCACGGTGCGGGGTGAGGGGAAGGCTCTTCTGCCATGCCTTGGGACTTCCCTTTCTGTGTGAGTGTGAGGTAGGTGGATTGCGCCTACTCAGCATGGATTTTGCACAGAAAGTCTTGCTCGCTTTTCCTTGGTGTGATTTTTATTGAACTCACCTTTCCTTACTAAGGGAGTGTTAAGTTGGTTTGGGTTTCAGGAGAAAAGACACATAGCCTACTTAGGTGAGCCCCCCAGCCTACATTAAGGAATCTCTTACATGGGACAGCCTGGTCCACCCAGGCAAAAATTTTCAGTAATAAATAATTTGCATTTGCCCACCCTATGATGGGACAGGAGTGGAGGATACGGTTTCTGGCCAGATCCCATGATCCTGTCCTCATCCCTCAACATGCACTAGGGACCCTCCCATGCTCCCACTACCACAAAAGGCAGAATTGGGGCTGGAACATCTGACCCAAGTCCACACCTGTTTCCTCTCCTCTTCCGCATTTCTGAGTCTTAAAGCGATGCTGGGCCAAAGTGGGGGTGGTCCTTGGCCGTCCTGGGAGGAGCTTTGCACACTGGCTCTAAGTTCCTATTTCGGTTGATGGTTCTATAGTGGATGAGCTCCACACTCAATTCTTATACCCCTGCAGCTGCCATAGGAGGCAGGGTGACCTGTCACCAAGGCAGCTCCCACAACCTGGTCACAGCTCTTTCCTCAGGGCCTGTTACCCAGCATGAGCTAAAGTCCTTGGGAGCTTCTAAGACCACTTGAAGGAGGAAATTTATTCTGTGTCTTTCCTTCTCTCTTTCTCCCTCCCTCCCTGTCTTCTTTTATCTTTCCTTCCCTTCCTTTTTCCTCCCATCCATTCACTCAAATCTAGGCGATGCATCCCTGTAGTGTGCTAGCTATTGTTTCTCTAGGTGAAGAGGCATCAGAAACAGAATACTTCCCCTGAGTCAGGAGCAGCACTGAATTATTCATAGGCCAATGTATTGCAAGTTTTAGAGGGAATTTTCTTCAAGGTTGTGGCTGTGAGGCTGCAGAGTGAAAGGAGTAATGAATATGCCTAACACTCACAGAGGTGAGAAATGCTGCCTGGACTCACACAGCCCAGGGTCTCAGGCTCACGCAGCCCTGGGACAATCACAGTGAAGAGAAATGCCCTGAATAGAGAATCACACTGTCTTGGCCTTGGTGGATGGAACCCTAATCTCTCTGAACTCTTCAATCTGTGGGTTGATGGATTAAACACACATGTATTCAACATAAATGGATAGCTGGGTCTCCTCGAACTCTACACCTGTATGGAATCCATTTCCTCTTGTTCTGGACCATTTAGAAGGGCACGTGGGTAACTGGAGCTGTCTGACAGACATACTGGCTGGAGAAGCGGTGAGGTCCCCAATACTGAAATGGTTTGGGTTGGAAATGATGAGTAACCATCAGGCATGCTGTGGGAGGGGCTCCTGCTCTGGGTGGAGATGGGACTGGATGTCTGTGGATGATCAAAGCCATCTTGTTAATCAATTTGAGGGTCAAGATCATCCTCACATCTGAGTATCTTGAAAGGTTCCTCACAAATCTAAGATTCAACTACTAGGAATAATGGTCTCAAAGTAGAATCTGAACATGGATTCCCTTAGACTCAAAACTGGAATCTGAACTTGGATTCCCTTAGACTCACAACTGTTTGGCTTTGTCAGGTGTTGCTTCTTGGATTTGCCTCCTGACTGTTGCCAATCCCCTCCCTACCTCATAGTCTTCATTCATCCCCTGCAGTGCCCCACTGATGACACCATTCTGCCAGTGACGCCTGGATCTCCCATGGCATCGTAGGTAGCTTTACGGAGAGGAAGTGTAGCCTCATGGAGAAACCAGCAACTCTGGAGCAGGAGGACTTACTTAGATTAATATCTTGATTTCACCATTATGGCTGGGTGACTTTGGCCAAATCAACAAACCTCTCTGACCTTCACTGTCCTGTTCCACAAAATGAAAATAGTAACAACCATTTTTTATAGGATTGTGAGGCTTATGTGAAATAATGGAAATAAGGCACTTGGCCAGGCGTGGTGGCTCATGCCTGTAATCCCAGCACTTTGGGAGGCAGAGGCGGGCGGATCACCTGAGGTCAGGAGTTCAAGACCAGCCTGGCCAACATGGCAAAACTGCATCTCTACGAAAAATACAAAACTTAGCTGGGCATGGTGATGCGTGCCTGTAATCCCAGCTACTTGGGAGGCTGAGAGAGAAGAATTGCTTGAACCCAGGAGGCGGAGGTTGTAGTGAGTCAAGATCGCACCACTGCACTCCAGCCTGGGCAACAGAGCAAGATTCTGTCAAAAAAAAAAAAAAAAAAAGAAAGAAAAGAAAAGAAAAGAAAAGAAAGAAAGAAAGAAAAGAAGGCACTTGATATAATGCTTAGCACATCCCTCCCCAGCTTCATTGTTCTCTTGTGTCTCTTGCCCTTGACCATGCAATTCCATAGACCATTATTCCCCTCCTGGGACAGAGATTTCTAATTGCCCACTAGTGCCCATCTCCCCTTCTTCCCTCTTAGTTTTAGTTAGATACATGGCTACTTAGTTAGACACTATAGATTCCAGCCTCCCTTTCAGCCAGGAGTTGCCACATGACTAAGCTCTGGCCAGAGGAATGATGCAAGCAAAAGTGACGTGTGCAGCTTCTTCAAGAAGAAATTGTTTGCCTTCCATAATTTCCATCTTTCTTCCTGGAATGTGGGAGTGGTGCTGGTCTGTTAGCTTTGATCATGCAAATGAGGAAAACACCCTAGAAAATGGCAATGGGCCCCAGACAACCTCTTGACATGGGACTATCTTCCCAGCCTGGACCATTCACCTACCTATAGATTAGTATGCAAGAGAAAAGCCTCTTCTCAGCCTCTGCTCATTCTCCCACCTTGACTTAGATGTCACTTCACCATCTCTGACCCTCCAAGACCAGCGCTTCCTATGAGCCTTCACTCATGCCCTCATGTCTGCAAGCCCCACAAGACTAGGAGCACCATGAGGAAGGGACCATGGTCTCATCTGCGCAGGTTTTCTCAGGAACAGGAATACAGTAGGCACTTAGTAAATGTTGAATAAATCGATGATAGTGCCACACGCTTACAAACTGCCTTAGTTCTTGCCTAAAGGGATCGTAAGCACGTCCACCTGCTTAATCTCCAGCAAAAACAAAAGAACAATTCCCATTTTTTTTTTCTCCCTTCCTCCAAACACGCCCAGGGCTTTCTTCCATGACCAGTTGGCCAGAGCAGACCCTGGAAAGAAGCCTTCCCCAAGGGGCCTTGTTGACTATGGCCAAGGCCTGGCCCAGTGCTGGACACCAGTCTATGTGAGTATATTTCTGTAAGTCCATAGTTATTAGCAGAATCCCACCCCAGTGTGAGACCTGGTAGTATGTGACCAGGTCCATGAAGTGTAGTAGCAGTTGTCCCCACTAGACTATTTTTGCCTGGAAAACCTAGGCAAAAACAGAGGCTTTGGTTAAAAAAAAAACAGGGGTGGGGTGGGGAGAGGATTCACAGATCAAATGTAATTGGAAAAGGCATGCAAACTTTTTCAATTTATACACAGCTACAGAGGTCTATTTACAGATCTGGGATGGGGTTGGGCTTAATGGCTCATGCCTGTAATCCCAGCACTTTGGGTGGCTGAGGTGGGAGGATCGCTTGAGCCCAGAAAGTTGAGGCTGCAGTGAACCATAGTTGCACCACTGCACTCCAGCCTGGGTGACAGAGTGAGACCCTGTCTCAAAACAAACAAACAAACAAACAAACAAACAAACAAACAAACGAATCTGGGATGGAGCAGTCCTGGTGGACTTCTCTGGTCATTGTGTAGAAGGCGCTATGCAGCCTACAAGGACCAAGGTCTTGCAGCCAACTCTGAAAGCCAGGGCTCTGGCTCCCAGCCAGCCTTTCCTTGAAGACATTTCTTGAGCGCATTGCCCTTGGCAGCAGTTAGATGCTGCTGCTTTTTATTAGTGCTTCCTTCTGTTTTTCCAGGCCCTCTTTTGGGGTTCTTTCTGCAGACAGTGGCTTTCGTTTTAACCTGAGGGTTTAGAAGAGGACAGTGGGCTGGCCTCACCACCCATCAGCCTCTGCTTTGGGGACTGAATGCACAACGTCATCCACACTCCTAAACTGACCTCCAAATACACACAGTTGTGATCTCACTGCTCAGGAGGGCTGGAAACCATGGCAGCTCTCCTGAGGGCTCAGTGGGGCCAGCCACCCTCAGCTGGAGGTGTAAGCAGATTTTTTTTTTAATTGAGAAGGAGTCTCACTCTGTTGCCCAGGGTGGAGTGTAGTGGTGTGATCTCAGCTCACTGCAACCTCTGCCTCCCGAGTTCAAGCAATTCTCCTGCCTCAGCCTCCCAAGTAGCTGGGATTATAGGTGCCTGCCTAATCCCATGCCCAGCTAATTTTATTGTATTTTTAGTAGAGATGTGGTTTCACCATGTTAGCCAGGCTAGTTAGGAACTTCTGACCTCAAGTGATCTGCCCGCCTCGGCCTCCCAAAGTGCTGGGATTACAGGCGTGAGCCACCGTGCCCGGCCGTGTAAGCAGATTTTTGTGGGTGAAGTTTGCCCCAGAGCAGGAGCTCTCTGTCCTGTTGCCTAAGAAGAGTAAGACTGGTGCTTTTGAGAAAAAGCAAAGTGCCAACTCAGGGGGAGAAGCTTCAGACCTCCTATTTGACTCAGGCATGCCCTCTACTGCAACCAGGTAATTATGGTGGTTTAACTGTCCTTGATGGTAGAACCAGAAGCTCTCACATTTGCGGAGACCTTTGATAGTGGTGCTGTTCTCCGCAGTCCTGTCTTTGATGGGTCATCTCATATTTCCTCCCCAGTAGAGCACAGGGTGAGATGGGGCAGGAGGGGAGGTCACCTTCAAAGAGTCCCATCAAACAGGGGAATCTTGGGGGCCACTAATACCCTCTGCTTACATTAGCCAATGTTGATGCAAGGTTACCTTCAAAGTTCGTGTTCATCTTACTTAAACCTGTTCAGGTAACAAAGCCCTTGAAGTCTTGAATTTATGTGGTCTTAGACTTTAAAGTTCTTGAGAAAAAAATACCATAGGGGAAAATCTAAAAGTAAGACAGCTTTATGCTTTGACTTAATTTTGTCTGTGAATTGAAAAGGAACATGCCTTTATTCAGCTTTGGGAAGGAGGGACAACTCGGGAGCTTAATTAAATGTCACTGATCCCACCCTAGTGGACTGTTAGGCTTTGTGATCTGGGTTGAACATGGACACCCCCAGTCAGCCTCTCTGCATCCCTTCCAGAACATTCTTTCTGAGGGTGAAACTAGAAGTAATAGTTTAGCTTGTGGTTACCTTTATTTCAACATAGCTCAACTTTTAGAATCACCTACTTAAAAGTAATGATGAAATTAATAATAAAAGTTATTTGTTGCAGGGCATGGTGGCTCACACATCTAATCCCAGTGCTTTGGGTTTAGATGGTGGGCGGATCACCTGAGATCAGGAGTTTGAGACCAGCCTGGCCAACGTGGTGAAACTGTCTCTACTAAAAATACAAAAATTAGCTGGGTGAGGTGGCGCATGCTGTAATCCCAGCTACTCTGGAGATTGAGGCAGGAGAGTCACTTGAATCTGAAAGGCGGAGGTTGCAGTGAGCCAAGATCACACCACTGCCCTCCAGCCTGGGTGACAAGAACGAGACTCTGTCTCAAAAAAAAAGCTATTTATTGAGCACATAGTATGTGCCAGGCACTGTGCTATTTTCTCTGCATGCTTTTTCTCACTTAGTCCTCATGACAACCTGTGCAGTAGATACCGTTTTTTGTTGTTAAAAATTTTTTAGGGGTAGAGACTGGGTCTTGCTATGTTGCCCAGGCTGGTCTTGAACTCCTGGCCTCAAGCCACCCTCCTTGCCTTGGCCTCTCAAAGTGCTGAGATTACAGGAGTGAGCCACCACACCCAGCCTGGTAGGTATCATTATGGTCCCCACTTTACAGATGAGGAAAATGAGGCTCAGAGAAATTATGTGATTTGCCCAAGTTGACCAAAAGGCCAGGGTTTTCTGGATTTGATACAATTTTGCGAGAGGGCTGATTCTTAGTGAATGGGGAGAAACCAGCTTCTCCCACTTTGGGAAAGGTTGTGTCCTGCCATCCATGTCAGATGGTCCTAAAGAAACACTCACTAACCCTTGTTCTCATGTGTAGAGAAGGATCAGAACAGGAATTAGATAAAGAAAGACATAACAAAAGGGAGTGTCTGAATTTTTTCCTTTTGTCCAATGCAAGTCTGGTTTTGCAACTGAAAAATCCTAATCAATCTCAAAGTTAAAAACTCCAGAAATGTTATCTCCTGGTGACTTGTCTACAGCCTCTTCTACCAGGTACAATGATTTGGTAGGCTGGCTTCCCGAAGGCTGTCACCTGTGTAGTCACGCAGGGCCCTGAGTTTAGAAGGGCCCACCCTTGCTTTAATGTTCTGCTGTCCATTTGAAATTCTTAATAATTTTTAAATGAGAGACCATGCATTTTCATTTTGCCCTGGGCACTGCAAGTTCTGTAGCTGATCCTGCAATTTAGGAAACTAAAAATAATGCGATGTAACCTAGAATAGCTGCAGCCATGAGCTACTCCAGAACCAAAGCTGGGGTGCCTGGGGTCCTTCCCTTGTGTATTCTGTTTGTGTGGAGAGTAAGTGACCACACAAGGAGGTTGTCTATTCACTTGCCCTGCAGTGAGAACTGGTATTGACATCAGAGCAGGAGCTCGGCAATGAACCCATCAGAAGAGTCCAGCGGAATAGAGATGGTGGGAGCCCTAGGCCTATTTGAAAATCCCAGGAGAACAAGGACAGGTGGCTCAAGATTCCCTGAGTTTGGATTTGCTTGATGCCCTGACTGGTGGCAGAGGGTCTAATTTCAATGCATCTGACATTAATATATCCTTCTGATCCCAGGCGGGAGCTCAGAGCCTTCAGTACCCCATTTCGTTTAGTTTTGTTTTTGAGACAGGATCTTGCTCTGTTGCCCAGGCTGGAGTGGAGTGGCATAATCACGGCTCACTGTACCCTCAAACTCCTGGGCTGAAGCAATCTTCCTGCTTCAGCCTTCCGAGTAGCTAGGACTAGAGGTGCATCTCACCATGCCCAGCTAATTTTTTATTTTTGATAGAGATGAGGTCTCACTACTTTGCCTGGGCCGATCTTGAACTGCAGGCCTCATGTGATCCTCCTGCCTTGACCTTCCAAAGTGTAGGGATTACAAGAGTGAGCCATCATGCCTGGCAACATTTTTTTGTTTTTTTTTTTGAGGTGGAGTCTCACTCTGTCACCCAGGCTGGAGTGCAATGGCGCGATCTTAGCTCGCTGCAACCTCCGTCTCCCAGGTTCAAGCAATTCTCCTGCCTCGGCCTCCCGAGTAGCTGGGATTACAGGCGTGAGCCACCACACCCAGCTAATTTTTATTTTTAGTAGGGACGGGGTTTCACCATGTTGTCCAGGCTGGTCTCGAACTCCTGATCTCAGGTGATCTCCCTGCCTTGGCCTCCCAAAGTGCTGGGATTACAGGCGTGAGCCACCACACCCAGCTGCCTGGCAACATTTTGATTTATAAATAGTTTGTCCCATCACAAGACAATGGCAGCCCATTGAAAAACCCATGTCTTTCTTTGTTGGTGGTTTCTTATACTTTCTCTCTCCTCTCTCCTCTTTCCTTCCTTCCTTCTTTTTTTTTTTGAAACGGCGTCTTGCTCCGTCGCCAGGCTGGAGTGCAATGGTGCAATCTTGGCTCACTGCAACCTCCGCCTCCTGGGTTAAAGTGATTCTCCTGCCTCAGCCTCCCAAGTAGCTGGGATTACAGGCATGTGCCACCATGCCCGGCTAGTTTTTTGTATTTTTAGCAGAGATGGGGTTTCACCATGTTAGCCAGGATGGTCTGGAACTCCTGACCTTGTGATCCCCCCGCCTCAGCCTCCCAAAGTGCTGAGACTACAGGCATGAGACACCACGCCCGGCCCTTTCTTTCCTTCCCTTCCTTCTCCTCCCTCCCTCCCTTCCTTCCTTGCTTTTTCTTTCTTTATTCCTTCCTTCCTTCCTTTTTCTTTCTTTATTCCTTCCTTTCTTTCTTTTTCTTTCTTTATTCCTTCCTTCCTTCCTTTCTCTAATTTATTTATTTCTTTTCTTTCTTTCTTTCTTTTCCTTCTTTCTTTCTTTCTTTCCTTCCTTCCTTCTCTCTTTTCTTCTGTCTTTCTTTCTCTCTCTCTTTCTCTTCCTTTCCTTGCCTTGCCTTCTTTCCTTCCTTTCTTTCTTTTGAGATGGAGTCTTACTCTGTCACTCAGGCTGGAGTGCAGTGGTGCGATCTTGGCTTACTGCAACCTTCACTTCCCGGGTTGAAGCAATTCTCCCACCTCAGCCTCCTGAGTAGCTGGGATTACAGATGTGTGCCACCATGCTTGGCTAATTTTTGTATTTTTAGTAGTATTTAGATTTAGTTGTATTTGCCACGTTGGCCATGCTGGTCTCAAACTCCTGGCCTCAAGTGATCCGCACACCTCGGCCTCCCAAAGTGCTGGGATTACAGGCATGGGCCACCGCACCTGGCCAAAAGATCTTTCAAGGAGAAAGAAAGTCCAAGCTGCTCTGAACCATTTGGCTTCTGTGTTGTAATAAAGGTTTATAAATCATCATTGTTGGGCATCCATAGACATATATTCACTGCTTCCTTGGTCTACTTGGTCTCCTGACCGCTGTCCCAGAATTTGGGGTGTTAGCCCCCAGGCTGCCTTACTGCCAAAGCAGAATTCTGGCATCCCTGGCTGCTCTGTGCTGTTTCTATACTGTCTGCCCCCAGGGCCCCTCTCTGGCTGGCTCTGATCTGGCAGCCTGCTCATTGCTCTGCGTTGTCATGGAGAAGGTTTTAGAAACATATTGTTGAACTGTGGGTGTATTTCTGCCACCTGGTAACAAGTGGGTTTGTAGAAAAGCCACAATGGAGGAAAAGAAAGGGCTCTTGGAGGACAGAGCTAGTGCCAGGGAAGCCAGCCGCGGCAGAGGGATGGGAGCCTGCACTGCTGTTTGCTGTTTGGTATTCTGTGCAGGCAGCAGCTTGCTGGTTGCCTTGGTTCCTGCAGGACTCCTGGGAGCTTGTGGCAGACGGAAGGCCATAGCCTCTGCCGAAGTTTACAGATTCTAGGGAAATGAACTGCCGTGCAGCCCAATCTGTGGGAGGAGACCAAGTGGGCTCTCAACCATTTAGATGCTCTGATGTAAATTTATGCTTCATGCAGACAGAAAAGCTGCCCTCTGCTTATGTATGCCATCAGGCTGCCCTTGACCCATCTGTGCCAGCTCCTCATGGGGCCTAGATGTCCTAGCCACCTGGACACCCCCTCTACCCTCCCACACCTAGTTCCTGCAAGGACTTCAGACAGCCAATTTAGGGCACCTGCCACACCACTGTCTGCAGCTTTGTAGGTCAAAAACAGTTGAATATTGACAATTTCATATTGTTCAACCTAATTGAAAGCTTTGGGGTGACTTGACACTTTCATCAGGCTTAGATAAGATCATTAAAGAAAATCATTAATAGATTTTCTCTTGCCTGATACAATCTTTTCCCTTCTAAATTATTCTAAATCCTGGTACTCTGTGTCCACGTCGTCTTCATCTTCCAAATGATGTATATGCTACTAATTATGCCCTGAAAGCTACAGAGCATACGCCTTTTCCTTGAGAAGGTTTGTATACTCTTTCTACTCCTTGAGGTAGAGGCTAGATCCATTCCCATGCCCATATAGAGAAAAGGTATCTTCTAATGGACTCCAAAGATGTGTTAATTGGTTTGATCACAAGCACAAGAAACTATATATTTGTATTACTTGTACATTCTTTTTTAATATAGTACAATGTTTATTTAAAATCTGAGCTGGGCCAGGCATGGTGGCTCATGCTTTTCATCCCAGCACTTTGAAGGCTGAGGTGGGCAGATCACCTGAGCCTAGGAATTAGAGATCAGCCTAGGCAATGTGGCAAAACTCCACCTTTACAAAAAATTTAAAAATTAGCCAGGTGTAGTAGCATGAGCCTATAGTCCCAGCTACTTGGGAGGCTGATGTGGGAGGATCACCTGAGCCCGGAGAAGTTTAGGCTGCAGTGAGCCAAGATCACGCCACTGGACTCCAGCCTGGGCAACAGAGTGTGAGACCCTGTCTCAAAAAAACAAAACAAAACAAAAAATCTGATCTGCCAACTTAGCATTTTTCCACCAACTCGGGGAGCTGAAACTTTCCCAGGCTTCACAATCTTTTGCTTAGGGGACGCCCTTGTGGATCTTTTTCGATGCTTGCTTAGCCTATTTTGCTTCCTTAGCAGCCCTGCGAGCTTGTTCTCGTTGAGCCTCTTTAACTTCAAATTTCTGATTCCTCTTGGCCATTAGATCAGCAAGAGATGCATCACTAATGGCCCCCTGGAATCTGACTGCTTGGCAGTTTCTTTTCTTCTGAATTTCTTCCAAATGTCCCTTTTTGTGCTTTCTTCTGTAGAGGACAATCCGGTTTATCTACTAACGGTCCCTCTTGGAAAGGAAAGCTGACGTGTACTTTACGTTAAGAAACTGGAAAACCTCCCTGTCCGTCCTGGTGTAGCGCCTTCCATGTCTAGGGTAGACCTTGTACCCGCTTAAACTGTACAACTTGACCTTCATGGTGGCAGCTCCAGGGGAAAAGAAAAGATGGCAAAGGGAAGGAGAGGATCATGGGAAGAGCCATTCTTCTTATGAGAAGTTTTGGCAACTTTTGAAAAGTCTGTGCTTACCCTTATCTATGTACATATGACATCTACAGACTATGAACGCATTTTGCATCAGGACCTAAATAGCAACTATCAGGTTCTGAGGCATCTGCCCTCTCCTTCCTCCTCCCTGGATCTTGATTCAGCTGCTTTAAGATGGCTCTAGTGACGGGCCTCTTATTTTTCTGTTGAGGCATGGGCTTATTTAGCTATCCTCAGCCCCTTGAGATATATATCCCGCCTGAATTTTTCTGTCTGTGGCATCAGACTAGTATTTCCCAGCCTCTCCCTTTTTATTTCCTTACTTCGATGCTCTCACTGCATTCTCTCCTTTTTTGAACATAAAGATGCTTTCACTTATTTTAATGACCTCTTGTAAACCAGCCCTTTCCCTTCCCAGAGGTTTTTGCACACTTCCCTCCCTGCTTTCTTTGTTTCCACTTCTTCTAGTGGCTGTAAGAAGTGGGATTCCAGGCAGAACTCTAGACCCACCTAGGGCAGCAGAGGCAGACTGTGAAACCCAGGCCCACAGCTTTTGGCTGAATCCACATCAAACAATGAGACTGCTTCAATCCTCATATCCTTTTGTTGTGAATTGCAAGCAGGAGGCAAGATGGGCTTGTCTGGTAAATGCCACCTGTGGATCAGGTGAGATTAAGCCCACTGGATTTCCCTTCCCAGGAAGGAAGCAGGTGAACTGCCAGACTTTCCAACACAATCCCCTGGCTTCATGTGATAATGAAAACAGGCACCTATATGTGAAGAAATAGCCAGTTATAAGTGGGAATACTGAGTATACACAATGCCCAGAAAATAAAAACAGGCAGCTGGCAGCCTGAAGATGGAGAGAGCAAAGGGGAGATTTTTATTAAATGCTCTAAAATTGATTTAAAAAAAATTGTCTGCCTTTAGCGAATGAAGTCTTCTGGAAAACTACATACCTAGTGATAATTGGAAGCCAAGTCCTGGACACTTGCAACCACCCGCAATAAGATCAGAACGCGTGGAGGGTCTGGAGCACAATTTCTGTCCAGGAGAGGGGCCTTATTCCTATTATTCAAATAGACAGATGGATGGCATCTAACTTCCCTTCAAGCTCCACAATATTGTAATCTGGTGGCCTGGGAAGTTGAAGCCTAGCCACAAATGATACAAATTTGCCATAAAGTAAATAATTACCAATGAACAAGGAGGTAGAGGAGGGAGAATCTACCAGTGGGAGTTAATCAATCACACATACAAACTGCCCTTGAGTTGGACTTGCCTTCTAGAGCAGTGCTTGTCAAACTTTAATGTGCAACACGAATCACCTGGGGACCTTGCCAAAGGGAAAAAAAGAGAGAAAGAAAAGAAAAAGCAGACTTGGATTCAAAAGGTCTGGGGTGGAGTCTGAGCTCTTCATTTCCCTTCCTCCCTCCCTCCCTCTCTCCCTCCCTCTCTCCCTCCCTCTCTCCCTCCCTCTTTCTTTCTGTCTTTCTTCCTTTCTTTTTCTTTCTTTCTTTCCTTCTTTTTTATGGAGTCTCACTGTCACCCAGTCTGGAGTGCAGTGGTGCCATCACAGTTCACTGCAACCTCCACCTCCTGGGTTCAAGAAATTCTCATGCCTCAGCCTCCCAAGTAGCTGGGATTACAGGCACCCACCACCATGCCTGACTAATTTTTGTATTTTTAGTAGAGATGGGGGTTTTGCCATGTTGGCCAGGCTGGTCTTGAACTCCTGACCTCAGGTGATCCGCCTGTCTTGATCTCCCAAAGTGCTGGGATTAGAGGCATGAGCCACCGAGCCCAGCCTGAGCTTTTCATTTCTAATAAATTTAAGACCAGTGCTGCTGGTCTGTGGGCCACACTCTGGATTAGCAAGGTTCTCGAGCAGGGCTACCCAACAGAAATTTCTGTGATGATGGAAACATTGATATCTGTGCTAGCCACCAGCCATATGTGGCTGCTGAGTGCTTGCCATGTGGCTAGTGTGACTGAGGAGCTAAATTTTTAGTTTTACTTAAATTTAATTAACTTACTTTTTTTTCATTTTCTGTTGCTATCACAAAATTTAACTAATTTAAATTCAAATAGGCATATGTGACTAGAGGCTATTGAATTGGAAAGCATAGCTCTAGAGCAGTGGTTCTCAACCTTAAGTTTACATCAGAATCACCTGGAGAGCTTGTGAAAACACAGATTGAGGTTCCCACCCCCAGAATATCTGATGCTGATCCTGCTGGCCCAAAGACCACCCTTTGAATACCTCTGCTCTAGAATATGCATCATCCCTGATGTGGTAAGCTTCAGGGTCAGCACAAGAGTCCCTCGTCTTGTCTCTGGGCAGTGAGCCTCAGTCCATCCTTAGTGCCAGCAGGACCCACCTGGTGGCACTAAGCTCCAGTGAAATCTAAGCTTTCTCCCTGCAGGCCTTACACATAGATATTGCTGGCAGTGATTCAAATGGCTGCCATTGGGATGCTCCAGGAGGTCCCCTTGGTTATAAAATATCATTCCGATTACCAAGAAGCAACAGAACATACTGGTTAAAAGCATGTGCTGTACAGCCAGACTAAGGGAATCCAAGCTGACTTTGCTCAACACTGGCTGTGTGACTATGGGCATATAATTGCTTAAAGTTTATGCCTCAATTTTATCATCTGTAAAATGGAAACAATAACAGTACCTACCGCACAGAGAATCTTGTGAGAATCAAGTGCTTAAAATAGTAGCCTGCACAGTGTAAGTGCTTAGTACACACTGGCTATCATTACCCCTGCAATCCCAGCATTAGCAAATTGTTCCTTTCTGCTATGCATTTGCTCACCCTGCAGGTTCTCTGGAAATAAGCAGATGTTCCTAGGAAGCACACTCTGCCTACTGTACAATTTTGCTGAGGATTCAGGAGTACTCTGAGGTCCACTAGGGCATCCCTCTAGGTTATCCAAGGATGGAAGAAAGCTGATGAGGTAGGAGAGTGCCTAGAAGCTTGCCATACTCTTCATCCTCACTTCCCCATGCACAGTGAGAGCCAGGATGGGCCAGCCTACCTGTTTAGCACCTCTGTGTATTGATGTATGTCCAAAGAGGAGAACAGACATTTACAAACCCAGGCCTGAAGCTAGGCTCCATGCAGTTGTCAACAGGGCCAGAGGACCAGGAAGGGAGAGTGGGGACATTTGGTGAGGCTTCTCAAGGAAAGTCATTAGTTGAGGATGAAGTGATGCTAAGGCATATCCACCTCTATCCTTCCTGCTCCAACACTACCCCTACAGTGAGCCCATCAGCACTCTCCCAGGTTAGGCTTGTCCCAGACCCTCTTCCTTATTCCTGTGTGGCCATAGCAGAAGATGGCTGTATAGTCCAGAATTCCTGCCAAGTACCACCACACCCTGTAGTACCAGAGTCCCCCTGAACAGTGGTTCTCCCACAACCTCTCCTACTTGGTCCTGCTGAAGATGCTATCATAGAATTTGGGCATCACCAGGACAGAAGCACACCCTCTTTTGCCCTAGAAAGATACACAAATTTTAAAGCATTCTGTCATTTTACCCATCATTTAAGAAGTCTTAAAATAAAATTTCCAAAATTATTATCAGATGTCAATTTTATTGCCAAACAAGGTAAATGGGTAAACAAGTAAATCCCTACCTCCCCCAGCCCCCACAACCCCAGGACTACTGCTTATTACCAGGGGAACCATTTTTCCAGAGCCCCTCATTTGGAATGGTTGGAAGATTGCCACGCAACAAGGACTACCCCCAAAAGGGCTACCATTCAAGTCTGGTGTCCACCAGGACCACCTGGCTTAAGCTCGATCTACCCCATTCCTTCCTTTACCATCTTCTCTAATTTAGGATAACAGTATCCACAAATTAAGTGCTACTGCTTTCCAAGAACTAAATGATTTAACAGCTCCCTACCAGATAGGATCTATTGTCTCCATTTCACAGAAGACAAGAGGAACAAGTTGAGAATAGCTTGAATAAGTCAAGACACTTGCTCCTTTGCCAAACTCTTTGCCTTAAGTTGTGATAACCACAGGGAATAGATTTTCAGAATTTGATGGACGTCAGTCATTTTGTTATACTATGTTCCCGAATGCTGGCATTTTGGTATCTAAATTCTATCTCCCAGTAAATCTCTGACACCCAGTGAGAGAATGCACTGGGAAGGAGAAGTGTAGTGGCAGCATGAAAACCCTTCGTCAACATGAGGCTCGATGATGGATTTGGGAGATGCAGACACCATGCTCACAAGCCACAGCCTAAAGCAGCCTTGGGGCTGGAGGCAGGTGGGAGCAATGGAACCTTACAAGGGGCAGCTCAGCCTTCCCAGAACTTAGCTCTCCTTGGAAGAATAAGATGGCTATAGTTCCTCCCTTTGCAAGAACACTGATGCTGGAAGCAGTAAGGGTGGGCGTGCGCATGTGTATGTGCATGCACGCTTGCACATGTGTGCTCAAACACAGAAGATATGGATCATTCACAAGAAAGTCCTGTGAACTGTGTAAGTGTCTGACACAAAAATATGCTATCAGTACTGTACTAATGGAGGGCTGGGTGCCATGGCTCATAGTCCCAGCACTATGGGAGGCTGTGGTGGGTGGATAACTTGAGGCCAGGAGTTTGAGCCCAGCCTGGCCAACATGGTGAAACCCCATCTCTACTAAAAATACAAATTTAGCCAGGTGTGGTGGCATGCACCTGTAATCCCAGCTACTTGAGAGGCTGAGGCATGAGAATTGCTTGAATCCAGGAGGCGGAAGTTGCAATGAGCCGAGATGGTGCCGCTGCACTTCAGCCTGGGCGACAGAGCAAGACTGTCTCAAAACCAAACCAAAACAAACAAACAAAAAATTGTACTAGTGGAGAGGAAGAAAGGCAAGAACACTTCAAAATGACAGCTAATTTAAAAATCACTTTGGACTAGGTTTTTATGCTCATTTGAGACATGACTGTATTTGATGAATTGGGAAGTAATAACACTGCAAATGATCACATTATCAGCGTTTCTCTGAAAGAAACCATCCCACATTCCATATCCTAACATCTGCTACAGTAAAAAGATAGACAGATAGAGGAAGAGAGACAGAGACAGAGGGAGACAGAGCGAGAGAGATGAATCACCTTCAAGGGTATTGCCTGTCATGACTTTAAGAGAGGCAGCATTGAAAACGGCAAGAACTCTACCCTCTGTCCCAGCCCTGACCTATTGGAAACCAAAGCAGCACCAGGGATAGTAGTGAAGGGCTGGGGGCTTGTTGGGAAGATCCATGGGGTTGGGAGGAGATGCATGTAGAGAGAGATGCCAGGGAGCTCTGTGTAACAGAGCACATATGAACTGATGAACTGCTCTTGTCTAAAGACACACATAACCAAAGCATATGATGAGGTGTAATATTCAGGTGCTATGCCAGACACCTGAGGCCTCAGCAACATTTCCAGAACTGAGAGTTTTCTGCTTCTGGGTCCCTGAAAGCCCCTTTGCAGGCTGTGTGAAGAAATACCAAGTTTCCTCATGTTCCTCTGCCAAATGTTTCACTGGATGAAGATGTGGTCATACAGCAGAGAAAAGGCAAGCCTACATAGCAATCTTTGGGCTCAATTACCTGGAAGGCTTAAGAAGTGAGATATTCTGGTTTACTAAATCTCTTTATGGATTCAGTATTAACCAGAAATTTCTTTTTGTTGAGACTTTTAAACTGGAAATGGTCCTGCAATTTTGACTTTCTTGTCTCAGTAAGAACAGTCAGATGAGGAGCTGGCACCAAATGACGTTTGGTGAATTAGGACTCTGCACAGCCTGAGGGTCGGTTCTCTAGGTCGAAGATCATTATTTATGCTGCCTCTCTTAAAGGCATGACAGGTAATGCCCTTGAAGGTGATTCATCTCTCTCTCTCAGTTTATCTCTTTGTTTACTGAAATTTAAAGCTGATTAAGGGCATAGCATGAATTTGACCTGATTAATCAAGGCTTCTCCAAGAAAGAGAGCAACAGTGACTAAATGATGATTGAATGGTGGATGACTTGTCCTTAGGAGGCTGACAGTGTTTGAAGTTAGTGCCTTGAGGGACCATCAGGTCTGCCTGCAGATGGATACTCAGGTGAGAAGGTTGTTAAGCCCCCAACATGGAAACAAAGATGTCGTCTGCTCATGACATTGTACATACGTGATCTCCAGGGTCAATGATTGGAGAGGCTGTTTCTCCAGCACCAAGGGCAGTGCCTGACACATAGCAGCGGCTCACTGAAAATGTGTTGAATGAATGGAGTCCTGCCTAGCTGGTCTATACACATTTCCTCTGGTCACCATTCATTTGTCCATCCATCCCTCTGTCCTTCTCGCCATCCAGTATCTACGTGCTTACCATATGTGAGATGTAAAACCATTGGCTGTAGGGGATTCTATGCTAAACAAGATACAGCCCTTTATTTAGAGTCACCTCTATTTCAATGGACTTTGTAAAGGTGAAGAAATGATAAGTGATGGATTTTACAGAATAGTCTGAACACAGACTGCATTCTCATATATCTTCACTATCCTACAGGGTCTTTGCCTTTAGCAAATCCCGGTTACTACCCTCATTGGAGAGTCACAGTCTGCATGCTTCCAAAAAGAATCTTCCACCATCCTGTCTAGATAGGGTTGTAGGCATTGGGTCACTGCCTGAGCAGGACACTAAACTAAGCTTCACTGATGATTTAATCTGAAATCGTTTTGTCCTTCTTGCTTCCATGGTAATGAACTAAACCTAAGCTTCTTCCAATGCCTCCCATACCTCCTCACTTCATTTCACAGTCTCTGTTTTGTAGAACAAGGGGATGCTCCAAGAGGACAAATGTGAAGGTCTGTGGTCACTTCAAGGCTGCAATCCCCTGGGTGGTAAGAACACATCCACCATGGTGCTCTAAAGAAAATTCTGGGCACTTGTTAGAATATCATTTAGGGACAATTCCACCCAAAAGAATATACATCAGGAGCCATTTTTCCACCCACTATCCTTGTTCCACCTCCAACATTCTCTTGCTGCATTTCAGAATAGGAAACAACCTCTTCTCTCTGGCATTGCTTCAAGAAAAGGATATAAACAAGGGGCCCGACAACGATTCTGGAAATTGCTTCTCCTCAGAAAGCAATATGGATATTTATCCTAGAATATGGAGGTCGGCCTATACTCTAGCAGATGGTCTGCAACATTCTTTATTGTCACTAGGTTTGGCTTCTGTTTTTGCTTTTTTTTTTTTTCAGGGTTTCACTATGTTGCCCGGGCTGGTCTTGATCTCCTGGATGCAAGTGATCCTCCTACCTTGGGCTCCCAAAGTGTTGGGATTACAGACATGTACCACCATACCCAGCCCTGTTTTTGCCTTAATTCTACTTGGCTATGTGGATTTTTGTTTTTTGAAGAATCTAAAAGTTTCTGCGTTTACACAGTGCATCTCTCTAAGTGCAAACTTCTAATTTGGTGAGATTCAGGCCTGGGCCTTTGCAACACATGATACCATAATTTGTGCTTTTCAAGACTACTCCTTTCTGCACCAGGTCATGACAGTACATCACACTCTGTAACCACGGTACAGTTACCTGACCCTACCTGTTTATAGCAATTGCACCTTTGGTTCCAGAGTTGTAGAAGTGGGGAACCCATCTGGATTCTGATTCATTCTCACAGTGCTTGTGTGACAGACAGGGCAGAAATCATGATCCCCCATTCTACAGGTTGGGGAAACCAAGGCACAGAGAAGCAATCAACCCAAAGTCACTCAGTAAGCCAGAAAACAAACTAGGTAAAGGTCCAGGCAAGACCACCTATGTTCCTTTCAGTGCCTTATCTGAAAAATCAGATTGTCTCCTCCAATGAATGCACATACTTTGGAAGTAAGTAGTTTTAAAGCGGAATTTTCTATGGTTTCAAAAGCCCTTTACCAACTCAAGAACCACAAGGTAAGAACCAGAATCACATTAACCTTTTAGTTAAATGCTTCTGACTCATGGATAATACCAATTATTTCAACTCACTGACAACCTGGTTATCAACAAGAAGAAAATTTAAGGAAAAAATTCACCCATTCAATAAAAAAACCTCGGTAAACAGCTCCTTTCCTTGTTTCATGATATCTTGAGCCTAACACCCAAGCACTGCTTCCTTCTACAGAATACACCTTTTATATTTGTTGGCATGTGATGGAGTGGGGGTGAAGGGTTGACAAAGTGTGTGTGTATGGATGTGTGTGTAATAATCAGCCATTTCAGGGACAATTTTACCCAGCAGAATATATATGAAATATGTTTAATGTAGCAGTTCTCTACCCTGTTTCCATTTTTTTTTTTTGGTAACATTTTATTCCTGATCCTGGTTTAATGTAAAAAGTGATGTTTTACTTCCCACCTTCCTTGATGAAGGCAGAGTCAATGGGTGGATATGGCCGTGGGGCAATTTCAGCTTAATGGAAGGGAAGCACTCTAAGGGTTAAAGTTGCCTGATGACAACTGAATGTGACCTTTTGGACCACAGAGTGACCTGGTATTGCAAGTATTTCACCCCAGAGGCTAAATGACCATCTGTCCACGAGGCACTGCCCTTTCCAACACTAGGGAGCCATATTCCCAGAAAGAAACTAGGCTGACAGCAATCCTCCTGCCTCCCCCTCCAGGTCAAGAAAGGCACAAAAAGGACCAACAAATAATACTGACATGGTGCTTTGGATCCAGGAGGCCTTGCGGTACCAGGAGAGGAATACTGATGGTTCCATCTGGCGAATGGGAAAGGTGAGGCATTGAGAGGGTGAAATGCTTTCAGGCATAGGTGAGGGGGTACCAGGAAATTTAAGGGGGAGACTCTTTTTCCTGGGGGCAGGTGGAGAAGGTACACGACCACTGATAGTGAACACAACTCTCAACAAAGGCAATTCCAGCTCTTCGGCCACCACAGTAAAGCAGCCAAGGATACCCTAATTGTCCTCAGAGAAGTAGAGATGATTCCTTCACAGAGGGAATCCTACACTCCAAACTCTCTGGGGCCCACCCTTGAGACGGCATGCAGGGCTGGAGATTTAGGCAGGAACAGCCTGGGCAGGCACGTAAGGTAGCTCTGCTTCTTAAGGCATGACTGCTGTCTTCATGGAGTGGGCCCCACCCTGCAAGGAAGCTTAATGGAATGGAACACTGCTCCCAAAGGAATCCAGCCCCTCCAGGGGCTGGGGGTTTCTATTAAAGCTAAACAGCATCACCAAACCAACCAATTTCCTGTGCCACTTGGTAGAATGAGGGAGGGGGCAAAGGACAAAAATTGAACATTATCTGCAGATGACTGTCTAACTAGAAAACCCAAGGGACTAAACTGGAAAACTATCAAAACTGGTGAGAATTTGCTCAGGTGGCCGATTAAAAGGTCTAAAAAATCAACTGCTTTTTGGATCATTTGGGCGTGGCTTGACACCTTGGAGGAGCTGTGTTTCTCTGGGAGGCCTCCGCGATTTGTGCAGCTTGCCATATTTTGAAAGATGGAGGTGAGCCAGGGTGATGTTCCCTCAGCAGTAGCAACACTGTCTCAGACACCAATGTCGAACAGGTGCCTGGGGCAACTGCTGCAGAAGGGGTGGGGACAACCACCTCTGCCCTCTCCTGGGGGGCCCTCTCACCAGTCCTGATCAGCCCCTTTCCCCCAAGCTTCTCTATTCCAGCCCAAGAGACACATAGGGAAGTTTGGCAAGGGTCGGTGCGGGAGCCATCAAGGGTGGATGTGGGCAGATTGTGCTGTCATCTCCAAATGAAGTAAGTTTTAAAAACAAAGGGGGCCAGCTGACAGGTCCCAAACGTCTGTACTGTTGTTGCCTCATTGGTCAGAAGCCTCGAGAGGCCACCGCGCTGCGCACCGAGCGGGGACTCCCACGATGGTCAGTGGTTGAGGGAGGCCCCAGGGGGCTGTGCGTGCCAATCTGGCTGGCAAAGAGCCGCAGTTATTTGCGGTCCAGGCTGGCGTGTAGCTGGGCCTCCCGCACCATGCGGTCGAAGGATCGCGTGTTGGTCTCCTCGCGCACCTTCTCACGCACGTGGAAGGAAGCCCGGGCTGTGGAGCGGGCGCTCTCCAGCGCACTGCGCCGTTCCCGCGTCAGCTGCTCGCTGCGCTCCAGCTTGCGCCCGATGGCCTGGAGTAGCTCTCGCCGGCGGCAGTCTTCGTCCCTCTCCACCTTCTCCTTGTTGGCGCGCTGGGCTCGTTCCTTCTCCAGCCGGCTCTGGCCCACGCGCCGCGCCTTCTGCTGCACTGCTTCCTCGGCCACCTGCGTCGCGTGCTGCAGCCGTCGCTCCCCCGCCCGGGCCAGCGCCTCCAGGTGCGCCTGATGTTCCCGCTCTTTGCGCTCTGCCGCCTCCTTGGCCCGCCGACCCTGCAGCTCCTCTCGCCGGGCCCGCTCCCGCAGCTCCCGGGTGCGCTGCTCCACCAAATGCTCGTAGTTCTCCTGCGCACGGCCCAAACTGGCTTCCAGCGAGCTCCGCAGGCCCTCTCGCTCCTGGCGCTGCTGCCGGGTCCGACCCTGTAGCAGCGCCTCGTGGCGCGCCCGCTCGGCCCGGCTCAGCTCCCGCTTCTCCCGCTGCAGCTGGCCCTCCTGCCGCTGCTTGGCGCGGGCCGCGCGCTGGGCGCGCTCCCTGCGGATCTGCTCAGCCCGCTCCCGCCCTTCCTGTAGACCTTCCTCACGTTGCTTCAGGTTCTGCTCCTGCTGAAGCTTGCGCAGCCGATCCTCCCGGGCCGCGCGCTCCGCCCGCTCCCGCCGCAGGAGGCCCTGGCGTTCGGCCAGCTCCCGCCGCCGCTCCTCGCTGCGCTCGTACTGCCGCTGCCGCCGCCGCGCCGCCTCGCGCTCTTCGCGGCCACGGCGGCCTCGCCGCTCCTCCACCTGCGCGGCCCAGGCTCGGCGGCCCTGCTCTAGGGCGCGCTGCTTCTCCCGCTCCTCGCGCTCCCGCCGCTGCTTGGCGTGCACGCGCTGCAGCTCCCACTGGCCGTGGGCAGCCGCGCGTTGCTCCAGCAGCAGGAGCTCCTCCTGGTGCCGCGCCAGCATGAGCGCCGCGATCTTCCGGTCACGCTCCGGCACCCCGCGCAGGCCGCGCTCTGCACGCACTTGACGCACGATGCGCTCCACGTGCTGAGCGGTCTGCGGCGAATGGCTCAGGTCGCCGAGGCTGAAGCTGCGGCCGGTGATCGGAACCAGGGTCAGGGCAGACGGGCGGCCCGGAGCGTTGGTGGTGGAGGACGCCGACCCCGCTGGGCAGCTGTTCCTGGCCGAGGCCCGAGGCGGCCAGCGCAGCTCCCTCAAGCTTTCCCCACTGTAGGATGACGACGATGCGCCCGACTCGGAGCTGAGGGCGCCCTCACGCCGGCGGGACAGTGAGTCCAGCGAATGGCTCTTCCTGCCTGTTCGAGAACCCGCTGGCGGAGGTTGGGTCCGGGCGGAGGAGGGACTAGGGGAAGCCTTGCGGGCCGCACGCGGCGCGGGCGAGGCCGGGAGGCTGGCGCTGCTGCAGCTGCTGCTGCTGCCCGCGCTCGGGGCCGAGGCCGCGGCGGCGGCGGCGGCGGCGGCGGCCGCGGGGCTCAAAGGCGTGAAAAGACGCCGCTTCTCCTCGCGCATGATGCGCTCGCGCTCGGCCCGGCATTGCTGCAGCTTGGCGCGCCGCTCCGCCTCGTAGGCCTCATACAGGCCGGTGGCCACCCGCATGGAGCGGCCCGGAGCCTCTCGCACCAGGTCGGCCAGGGCCCGTGGCAGCAGCTCCACCGGCTTGACCGCACAGCGGGCGCAGGCCTCTAGCGAGCGGGGGCTGGTCAGCACGTAGCGGCTGCCCTCCGCCTCTGGGCAGTCGAAGTTGAAGAGGTCGAGGTGCAGCAGCGGGGACTGCTCCCGCCGCCCGCCTTCTGCGGCTGCACATGGGACTTCTGCCTTGCGGGGCACCGCCGCGGAGGCCGAGGCCGAGGCCGAGGAAGCTGCGGGCTCCTGTGCGCCCTGGGAATCAGGGGGCACGGACGCCACGGCCTCGTCCCCTCCAGAGTCGCCGGGTTCCGCTCCTGCCTTCTCTTCTTCAGGCACTGGGTCCACCATGGCTGAGCCCCGTCCTTTGTTGGAATCTCTGCAGATCACAAGGAGGGACATCGAGGAATACGTCTGAGAGCTCTTCCCCCCTCCTCATCCATAGTCACCCCATCCCAACTTAATCCGCTTTCGGATTAGGCTCAGAGGCTTTGGTGGAACGTAAATCATAAAACCGATGTCGGAAAGCCCAGGCTGAGCGCCAGAACGGGGATGGGGGTGGGGCGGACACTCGTGTTCAGAGAGCAGCCTGGGTCTCCCTCAGCCCCGGAATGCGGGGTGGAGGCCTGTGGCGAGGCTCCTCTGGGCGCCTAGCCCGCTAGATGCATCCCCTTTCTGCTGCAAGTTAAGATGAAAAGATCCAGGTGCAGGCAGGAGCTAGAGAGGGAGGCGCTGGAGGATTCCCGGGAGGATTAGCGTATTTGTTTGTAGCTTAGGCGGGCTACTGGGGATGCAGCTTTGCAGGAACAAAAAAGCAAGAGGCCTGTTCATCCCAAGGGACCCCATTTGCCTAAGGGAAGAAGTTTATGGTTGATTTCCCCTGCCAAAGGAGACTCGGTCGCAAGGCCCCCGGGTGATTAAAGGGCTGGGAGAAGTCCCCAAAGGCCTCTCCGGGAGGGGTGATGGATTCTTGCTCCAGCAGCTCTGGCAGGGCTTACTGAGGGCTCTGCACGCCGCCTCCGCCCCCACCTCCACCCCCACCGGGTGTTTGCTGGGGATGGAGAAGGTGCCTGGATACTCTCAGACGCACCGGATCTCCTCCAAGTCTGAATGTGCTAAAGATACCATCCACCCCAGTCGGGGTTCAGATACCCGCCCTCGGGTGCCCTCCGAGTTCCCCCACAGCATCCCAGTGGGTGGGCTCCTGGAGTGCAAAGAACCTGGCCGCCCAGGTTCCCGCAGCTCCCGGTACCCGAGCCGGTTTACTCACCCCGCGTCCTGGGCTTCGGCCCCGCGCCAAGGGCTTTTGTTCGCAGCTCGCCGCTGTCCCCTGCGCTTCTTCAGTCTCTGCGCCGGCGGGGTCGGGTTACTGCCGGCTGCAACCGTGAAAGGAGCCCCATCTGCCGCCGCCAGCGTCTCTCCATGGGGTCTGCGAACAGGGCGCACGCACCCCAGATGCTACCTACACGTGGGAGGGGGAGTGCGACAATGTCTCCCTAAAATAACGCGGCTCTGCACCCTTCCCTCACATTGATTCTTTAAAAAAGAAGCCCGGTTCCGTCGCTGCGGCATCCCTCTACACCTCTACAACCGTGGAGGTACCGCAGGTCCCACGCTGCCCCCTGCGCCTCCTGGCGGACACTCGAGGGTGCTGGTTTGTTTGCTTCGAGGACGAAGGAGAAATTTTTGTTTAAATGTATATATGTACATATATACACACATATAATATGTATATATATACACTACACACATACAGGTAGATGTAGGTATAGATATGGATAGATATCGATATATAAATCACCAAGAAACCCTAGTCTTTCAGCAGCCTAACTGGGTAGAATGAAGGAATTGCTCAGCTTGTTTCTAAAGGAAACCCTGAGGAGCAAACAAACTTGATAGCGAATAATTGGGTGGAAATATGGCGCCTGATGCAAATTGTGATTTTTTTTTTTTCAATGAAAAACTAAAAACAGGCTGGGCAAGGTGGCTTACACCTGTAATCCCAGCACTTCGGGAGGTCGAGGCCAGTGGATTACTTGAGTCCAGGAATTTGAGACCAGCCTGGACAACATAGCGAGTCCCCATCTCTAAAAAAATTTTCAAGAATTAGCTGGGGTGGTGTCCTGTGCCTGTAGTCCCAGCTACTCCAGAGGCTGAAGTGGGAGGATCACCTGAGCCCAGGAGGTTGAGGCTGCGGTGAACCATGACTGCACCACCGCACTGCAGCCTGGGTGACAGAGTGAGACCCTGTCTCAAACAAAATAAAACAAAATAAAAACAAACAAAAACTAAGAACACTTATGGGTTTGACGCAGGTGGAACATATGTAACTGGTGTTTAATGCAACATTTTATGACTTCCTGGTTATAGATAATAACAATTATAACCAGTTAGTGCCATACAATGAGTGTTATTTTGAGACATCTCCTGCCCACCTCTTTTCCATTTTGAGTGATAGTGGCCGTAGGAGACAGACCGGAGGAGTGCTTGATGGAGGGAAGTCGAGGAGAGGATGGGACATAACATTAGAGGGAATATTGAACTATGCATTAAATAACCTTGGCTGGGTGTGGTGGCACACACCTGTAATCCGAGCACTTTGGGAGGGCGAGGCGGATGGATCACTTGAGATCAGGAATTCGAGACCAGCCTGGCCAACATGGTGAAACTCCGTCTCTACTGAAAATACAAAAATTAGCCGGGTGTGGTGGCATGCAGCTGTAATCCCAGCTACTCAGGAGGCTGAGGCAGGAGAATCGCTTGAACCTGGGAGGCAGAGGTTGCAGTGAGCCGAGATCTCACCACTGCACCCCAGCCTGATGACAGAGCGAGACTCCATCTCAAGAAAAAAAAATTAAATTTTAAAAAATAACCTTGACATTGTCAGGTAGACTGTGAGGAGAAAGTGAAGGGTTTTAAGTGGGGAAATGACATGATTTGGTTTTTATTTTAGGAACATAACTCTGGCAACAGTGAAGTGGAGGCTTTACAAAGGCCAGGGCCAAGAGGAGGCAGGAAGCCCAGTTAGCTGGACACTGTGGTCACCCCAGGCAGGAAGGATTGGGGCCAGAGAGGAACAGTGGCAGGAGGAATACAGCACATAGTGATGGGGAGGGCCAGGGAAGGATGGTTTCCTTTTCGGACCTCTTGATTGAGGTGGAGCTGCTCAGCAGGTGGCTGATAAGTTGTGTCAGAGATCTGGACTGGAGCTAGAATTAGGACATCGTGACCCTATACCTGGTTCCTAAAACCAACAGTGTGAGTGAGATCACTCAGGGAGGGCAGGTGGAGCAATGAGAGAGGCTGGCAGGGCATGGATAGGGCTGCTAAGGGAAAAGGAGTGCACGAAGGGGACCAACAAGGAGTGCAACAAGGACAGACAGCAAAGTGTGGTCTTGTGTGAGCTACCAGTGGGGCACTGCAGAAGGAGAGTGTGCCCCTTGTGTTAAGGGCTGCAGAGGTCCAGGAGGTTTCACCTGGAGTCAAATACCCACTGAAACTGGCAGTTATGAGTCTTGGGTGACATTGGCAAAAACAGCTTAGTATTGCACTAGGGCAGATGCCAAGTGCAGGAAGCTGAGGTGCAATGGGAGGTGAGAATTACTGATGCTTTTGACATTCAGGTAGTAGTTTTAAGAACACGAAGCCTTTGGAATTTTACCCTACTTACATACTAACAGGTGAGCCTGCCACTGTTCTGTATATGCTGGCAGAAGACAGGAGACTCCAGGGTCAGAAACCACTGACTTTGTTACTCATGGCACAGCAGGCAGCATGAGATCATGCTTTTGTTGGCTCCCCTTGCTCCATGTGTCCCATGGGTCATAGACAGGTAGTGAATTAGGTAGAGATTAGTAAACCCTAAACTTCTCAACAGGGCTACTAGCAAACCTGCTCAACCATTGCCCCAGTGACAGCATTATCTTTATTATCCTGGACTGCAAACAAATCTCCCTGCTTCCCTGGAGGGAGATTCTATCTCTATCATCCTTGAAAAACAGTCCAGCTGGGCATGGTGGCTCCTACCTGCAATCTGGCACTTTGGGAGGCCAAGGCGGGAGGATTGGCTGAGCCCAAGAGTTTGAGACCAGCCTGGGCAACATAGTGAGACCTTGTCTTTACAAAAATTAATAAAATTAGCCAGGCGTGGTGGTGCACACCTGTAGTCCCAGATACTCTGGAGGCTGAGGTAGGAGGATTGCTTGAGCCTGGGTGTTGGACACTGCAGTAAACTGTGATTGTGCCACTGCACTCCAGCCTCTCACTCTAGGGAACAAAGTGAGACTCTGTCAAGAAAGGAAGGATGGCTGGGTGCAGTGGCTCACGTCTGTAATCTCAGCACTTTGGGAGGCCGAGTTGGATGGATTACTTGAGCCCTGGAGTTCGAGACCAGCCTGGCCAACATGGTGAAATCCCGTCTCTATTTAAAATACAAAAATTTGCTGGGCATTGTGGCAGACACCTGTAATCCCAGCTACTCGGGAGGCTGAGGCAGGAAAGTTGCTTCAACCTGGGAGGTGGAAGTTGCAGTGAACCGAGATCACGCCGCTGAACTCCAGCCTGAGTGACAGAGTAAGACTCCATCAAAAAAAAAAAAAAAAAAAAAAAAAAAGGAAGGAAGGAATAATCCTCTTTACAAGATATGTAGAAATTGGCTGGGCACGGTGGCTCACACCTGTAATCCCAGCATTTTGGGAGGCCGAGGTGGGTGGATCATTTGAAGTCAGGAGTTGGAGACCAGCCTGGCCAACATAGTGAAACCCCATCTCTACTAAAAATACAAAAATTAGCCGGGTATGGTGGCAGGCACCTGTAATCCCAGCTACTTGGGAGGCTGAGGCAGGAGAATTGCTTGAACCTGGGAGGCGGAGGTTGCAGTGAGCTGAGATGGCGCCACTGCACTACAGCCTGGATGACAGAGTGAGACTCCGTTTCGGGGGGAAAAAAAAAAGACATGTAGAAATGACATTAAAAATTGCTCTGAATAGAGAAAAGCAGTTGGTCACAAAGCTAGTACAGGTGGGGCTGGGATTTGGACCTGGCTCTGTCTGATTCTGAAGTGGATCACATGCATTGTATTAATATTTCCACACCAAACTGAGTGTCTGTAGACATGTAGATTCAGATGGAGATGAGTAGGGTGGGCAAGTTGGCCTCTCCAAACCTCATTTTCCCCCCTTGCATAGAATCTTATTAAATTGCCTCCCTCAATGGCTAATCATGGCTGTGGAAAAACTATGTAGATGTTAACTTTATCCTTCAGTTTTCACATTTGTTAAATAGGGACAATAATGCCTACCTTCCAAGAGTGTTAGCAGAACTGGAACAGCTATATGCAAAGTACCTAGACCAGCACATTGTCAGTAAGCAGTGATACAATGGTTACCATTTCTTTCTTTCTTTTTTTTTTTTGAGATGGAGTCTCACACTCTGTCACCCAGGCTGGAGTACAGTGGTGCGATCTTGGCTCACTGCAACCTCCACCTCCCGGGTTCAAGCAATTCTTCTGCCTCAGCATCCTGAGTAGCTGGGACTAGAAGCGCACACCACCACGCCTGGCTAAGTTTTGTATGTTTGGTAGAGATGGGGTTTCACCATGTTGGCCAGGATGGTCTCGATCTCCTGACCTCGTGATCCACACGCCTCAGCCTCCCAAAGTGCTGGGATTGCAGGAGTGAGCCACTGCGCCCGGCTGGTTACCATTTATTTTGATAAACCTTATCTTACAGACATGGTGAGAATCAACATCTGCAGTATTTGCAAGTTCTTAAGGGGAAGCCCGACAAATGTTCTACCTTTGATTAAAGAATGATTCTGCATCTGGGAAGGTCATGCAAGGAGAGGGCAGGAGAAGGGGGCCTTGAAATAGGACACCAACATATCCAGCCACTTTGCTGGAACTGACTTGGTAGTCAATGCGGTGCCATCGAATTGTCAGGTATCTCCCACTTCTCATCTTTAAGTGCCTTGGACATTTCAGGAGATGGATTTCACTTCAGGTTGGGAGCTCTAGACTGCTGTAATTTAAGAGTGTTAAATCCAATTTTATTATAGTACCCAGTAAAGACAGCAGCCCAATTTGGGAACACTCACCTGCTTCTTATGAGTGGGGATAGTGGATATGATGGTAAAAAATGTGGGCTTGGGAGGCAAAAAGATGGGGCTGGGTGCAGTCACTGGCACCTGTAATCCCAACACTGTGGGAGTCTGAGGTGAGAGGATCACTTGAGCCCAGAAGTTTGAGATTGTGGTGAGCTAGGATTGCAACCACTGCACTCTAGCCTGGGCGACAGAGTGAGATCCTGTCTCATTAAAAGAAAAAAAAAAAGGCAGATGGGTAGTTCTAATTTCAGCTCCTCCAGGCTGTGTGATTTTAGGCAAGTTTCTTAACCTCTCTGAGCCTCAACTTCGTCTTTCAAAAAGGAAGGCACAATATGGACTGTTATTTTGCCTTACACAGACCCTTACAGATAATAACAATTAGGTACACCATTAGGTCCTTTAATATTACTAGCTCACTAATCTAGACAAATACAGTGTAGACATTATCATCTCCATTTAAATTCCTTTTGCACAGCCCCCACCACCCACTTCAGCTCAGTGTACTCACGCTCATCCATTCTCCTTCCTCTCAGTAGAGTCGAATTTGCAGAACAGAGGTTTTTTCACTCTAAAGTTCTACATCAGGAGTTGATAAACTATGATCTGTGGGCCAGATCCACTGCTTGGTTTTTGTAAATCAAGTTTTACTGGAACACAGTCATGCTTATTTGTTTGTATAGTATCTGTACTGCTTTTGCACCACAATGGCTGACTTGAGTAGTTTGGACAGACACTGTCTGACTCAACAAAGCTTGACGTATTTACTATCGGGCTCTGTGCAGAAACACTTTGCCAACCCCTGTCCTAATGACTGATAACAGCTTGGGCCAGTCATCAATGTATTGCCTCATAGCTCCAAGTTCACCCTACAGTACCTTCTCTGGGGTGATGTGCTGTAAGCGTTTGCTGTAAGCGTTTTCTGCCTGACAGTGAGCCCAATATGAAGGCTTGCCAGTAGGGGGAACCAGGGCAATGTTGCAGGAGGAAGGGGGTTACTCTTCCCAATCCTGTGTGCGGTGCTATTTGCTTTTTCTTGCCCCTGCTGTGTGGTTAGTGGTGGTACAGCTGTGTGGGAACGTCTGTGGTACTCTGCTCCAGTTGCATCTCCATAACAGCCCCTTGGTGACCTTGTAGCCCCGGCCCAGGCCTGGTGACCACCTTCCAGTGCCTTCCTGAGGTGGACACCAGGTGTTCCAGGCCTCATACCCGTAGTGGCACTCTGGCTCCCTCCCACCAGCCTCAGCTTACCTATAATTTCCTGCTTGCTCAACAGCTGTGGAGTGGCTCTGCCCTGGGCAGACTTCTGTGTCACCCAATGGGCTGTAACAATACCTCCTCTAAGGAGGTCTGAACTCCAATCTTTTTTTTTTTTTTTTGTAGAGACAAGGTCTTGAACTCCTGGCCTCTGGTGATCCTCCTGCCTCAGCCTCCCAAAATGCTGGGATAACTGGCATGAGCCACTGCACCCAGCTCCCCAGTCTTGAGGAGGGAACTCTCCTTCCAAGTTGTCCTTCCTTGAATACTCTCCTTCAGCCTTGGGGAACCGTTAGCTTCATACCTCTTTGTGTTAGGCTTCTCTGTTTAAATTGCTATGTGGTTTCTGTATCTTGATTGGACCCAGAACTATATACAGCTTAATGTGTAACCATTCCCAATTTCTGAGACTAAAGCCTTAAGAAGAAATTTAGGACACAAACCAGCAGGTAAAAGGTAATAGTTGTTAAAAGTAAAGTGTTTTATTTCATACTTTAATGAAGTAATATATGTTCATCAAAAGAGGAAATGAAAAAGTACAGGAAAAGGAAGGAAAAAAAATCACGTGTAGAAAAATCATTGCTGAAAGACCACCACTGTTACATTTTGGTGTGTAGGTGGCAGGGACTTGCAAGCTGCAGGACAGGTTCTTGTCTGTTTCTGCTCTCAATTGCTTAGGGTCCAGTAAGTGGTAGCCCTCCTGCTGGATGCATCGAGAGGAAATGAGATCTAAGTAGTGCTACTTTGCCCACTCTGTGTACCATAAAACTACCTAAAGTACCCTGAGCCATTAAGCTGCTTTGGTGAATCTTCAGAGTTAGGCTTCTTAAGCAGGTGATGCTCATGTTTAAGAACTGTCTCGTGGGACAGGAGAGGCCCAGCCTGCCCTTAACTGTGAAGCTGCGTCACTGCGGAGATGTAGAGGGAGCCTTATGATTAATCCAATGGGCTTTTCTCTCACTCTGTGAAGGGCTGCACCTCATTCCATCCACCAGCCTTTTGTATGATATTGCAGAAGCGTCCTCCTTCCTGAGTATGACCAGGAACCAGGGGTGCTGCCCCATGGGCATCTCCTCTGTGAAATGCTTGTGCTTGAAAGAACAGGCTGGTGCTCAGGAGCCAGGCTTGTTTCCAGTCTCTGCCTCTCCTGCTGGGCCATCTGCCTCTGGCATAAGCCACTTCTCTGCTCAGTCCCTTTAGGCCCCTTCCATTTCAGAGAGGCTACACTGGCATCACAGCCACTGTTCCCACTGGCCTCTCCCCCGTGCCTCTGCCTGCCAACATGCACGCACACACACACACACACACACACACACACACACACACACGCACACACACGCACTGATGTATTTCTTTCTTTTTACATTTTAACTTAATTTTAATTTAATTTTATTTTTTGAGACAGAGTCTTGCTCTATTGCCCAGGCTGGAGTGCAGTGGCACGATCATGGCTCACTATGTCCTTAACCCCCACGGCTCAAGTGATCCTCCCACCTCAGTCTCCCAATAGCTGGGACTAAAGGCATGCACCACCATGCCCACCAATTTTTTAATTTTTTGTAGAGATGAGGTCTCACTATGTTGTCCAGGCTGGTCTCAAACTCTCGGGCTCAAGCAATCCTCCCCTCTTGGCCTCCCAAAGTGTTGGGATTATAGGCATGAGCATTGTGCCTAGCCCCCCCTCCTTTTTCTTCTTAATGGACAATTCTAATTTAGAACATTATGCACCATTGCCTTCCATGATGCCTCAGACCAGTCATCCCAATATATATATTTAGACATTCAGAGATGAGTCATATTCTACTTCTGGGAATATGTGTGATCACTGGCAGAATATGTGTCTCTTGGGGATCAGGAATTTACCTTTGTATGTGTCTCTTGGGGATCAGGAATTTACCATCAGGCTCCTTTTAAATTTAATTTTTACTTTTATTTTGAGATGAGTTCTTGCTATGTTGCCCAGGCTGGCCTCAAACTCCTGGAATCAAGCAATCCTCCCACCTTAGCCTCCCAAGCAGCTGGGATAACAGGAATGAACCACCATGCCCAGCCATCAGGCTCCTTTTTACCCATCCAAATGTGTCAATCAACCACACAACAACAACAAGAAATGCATCAAAAAGTTATTGTTAAGATGCACCAAGCTCAGCTAGGATATCTGCAAATACTGAGAAGGGGAAGACAAGGCCCCTTACCCTGAGTGCCAGTTGGAGCAATAAGACCCAAACACTCAAGAAGTTAAATAATAAGAGTTAAATCCATTATTTTATCTGATAATCAACATAAGAGAGTGGTCACAGGCAGAATGTGATGAATGCATTACTAAGGAGCTAGACAGCGCTAGGTGGGTCCCTCAGCCTTGCTGAGTCTGATTTCCTTTCTTGATTGTATTAGTTTGCTAGGGCTGCTGTAACAAAATGCCCCAGACTAGGTGACTGAAGCAACGAAAATGTATTTTCTCACAGTTCTGGAGGCGAGAAGTCCAAGATGATGATGTCAGCAGCTTGGTTTCTTCTGGGGCCTCTCTCCGTGGCTTGCAGATGGCCACCTTCTCACTATGTCTTCACATTTGTCCCTCTGTTTCCTGTGTCCTAATTTCTTCTTATAAGGATAGTAGTCACATTGGATTAGGGCCCACCCTGATGACTGTACTTTAACTTAGTTACTTTTTATTTTTTAGAGATGGTATTGCTATGTTGATCAGGCTGGTCTCCAACTCCTAGCTGCAAGCCATCCTCCCTTGGCCTCCCAAAGTGCTGGGATTAGAGGCATAAGCCACCACATCCAGCCTTAATTACTTCTTTAAAGGGATGACATGGTTTGGATCTGTGTCCCTGCCCAAATATCATGTCAATTGTAATCCCCAGTGTTGGAGGTGAGGCCTAGTGGGAGGTGATTGGATCATGGGGATGGTCTTTCATGAATGTTTAGCATCATCCTCTTGGTGCTGTTTCTCGTGATAGTGAGTAAATGAGTGATCATGAGAGCTGGTTGTTTAAAAGTGTGTAGTACCTCCCTGCTCCCTCTCTTCTGCCTGCTCCAGCCATGTAAGACGTGCCTACTTCCCCTTTGCCTTCCACCATGATTGTAAGTTTCCTGAGGCCTCCCCAGAAGCCAAGGAGATGCCAGCATCATGCTTCCTGTACAGCCTGTGGAACCATAAATACAAAAAATTAGCTGGGCATAGTGGCAGGTGCCTGTAATCCCAGCTACTCAGGAGGCTGAGGCAGGAAAATTGCTTGAACCCGGGAGGCGGAGGTTGCGGTGAGCCAAGATCGTGCCACTGTACTCCAGCCCGAGTGACAGAGTGAGACTTCGTCTCAAAAAATAAATAAATAAATAAAAATAAATAAATAATCACACATGTGCTGGGAAGCAGAGGGACTGCTGGGAGACCCTCTAATCAGGCAAGAGATGGGCATGGCCTGAACTAAGGCAGCAGCAGTGAGGATAGAGAGCATAGGAAAAAAATGTGAATTTATGAGAGAGAATCAACAAAATTGGTGAGTGATTAGGTGTGGTATCAAAACTCCTGGGTGAGACAGGCACAGTGGCTCATGCCTGTAATCCCAGCACTTTGGGAGGCTGAGGTGGGCGGATCACTTGAGGTCAGGAGTTTGAGAGCAGCCTGGCCAACATGGTGAAACCCTCTCTACTAAAAATATAAAAAATTAGCCGGGTGTGGTGGCGGGTGCCTGTAACCCCACCTACTTGGGAGGCTGAGGCAGGAGAATTGCTTGAACCCTGGAGGTGGAGGTTGTAGTGAGCCAAGATGGTGCCACTGCACTCCAGCCTAGATGACAGAGTGAGACTCTGTCTCAAACATAAGACAAAGACAAAAACAAAAACAAACCTGCCTGGATGTCTGGCTTGGTCAACTGGATAGGTGTGGGGAGGACAGGTTGTGCTGTTCGCTGAGGTGTGAAGTGGAGGAGGAAGAGAAGCAAAGATGATGAGATCCACTTTCAACCTGTTGAATGGCCATATCTATCAGGTGTCTAACCTAATGGTTAATATCATGAGTTTCAGAGTCCACAGACCTGAAGTCAAATCCCAGCTTGTCAGGTCCTGGCTGTGTGATCCTGGGAGTTACTCAAACTTTCTGAACTGACATTTGTTCCCCATAAAATGGGTATAGTAATATCTCCCTTATAAGGTTGTTGCTGAGAATTAAAGGAGATTAAATATGTTCAGCACACAGCACAGTGTACCCATGCATCTGGAACGTAGTATTACGCAGTAAGTGGAAAGTCATTATTATTATCACTACATTTAGATGAAATGATGAGCAAATCCAAGCTTTCTTTTGGTTGCTTTCCTGTGTGTTTATAGATCATGTCTCTAACTTGGATTTCAGTTCCTCTGCTCCATTTGGAAACAGTGCCTTCTACTTTTTTTTTTTTTTGTCATTTGTTCCTGGAGATCGGAGTTTTTCCCTGATGCTCAGCTCTTTGATAGGGTTGACTAGAAGGCAGGATTATTTTGTTTACTGGAGGCAAATTTTGAGAAGGGAACTCAATGCTCACTCCACACTCTTACCACCAGGTGGCGTCCCTCCTCTGGTCATCTGCATGTAGAGACAAGGTATGAGAGAATCAACAAAATTGGTGTGTGATTAGGTGTGGTATCAAAACTCCTGGGTGAGACGGGCGTGGTGGCTCATGCTTGTAATCCCAGCACTTTGGGAGGCCAAGGTGAGCAGATCACCTGAGGTCAGGAGTTCGAGACCAGCCTGGCCAACATGGCGAAACCCCGTCTCTACTAACGATACAAAAAATTAGCCAAACGTGGTGGTGTGCGTCTGTAATCCCAGCTATTAGGGAGGCTGAGGCAGGAGAATTGCTTGAACCTGGGAGGCGGAAGTTGCAGTGAGCCGAGATTGCACCACTGCACTGCAGCCTGGGTGACAGAGCAAGACTCTGTCTCAAAAAAACAAAACAAAACAAAAAACATCGATAAAAAATAACTTCAAACATAAAAAAGGAATAAATAATAACCCCCTATAACCGCAAACTTACTGAATTGTAATGTTTTATTTTCTTATCCAGTTCACCTACTAGACAGTGACTTCTGTGAGGAGAGGACCTGTATTTTATGACATTTCCTCCCCAGCCCCTGTGTCTGACATAGATATTCAGTGAGAGTTTGAGGAATAAATGGAAGTACACTCGGTCCCACTTCTCTGTTCATACTCTTCTGCTTTCCTCCTTTTTTGGGAGATTCTCCCCATCTATGCCTTCAGTTTTTGAGAGGCAAGCAAGGAGTCAGCCGTGGGCACTCCCCCGACACTGAGAACTAGGGATGTCTTACCATGACACCCTCTGCCACCAAAGCTTGGTACACTAGAAACAGCATGGGCTTGGAACCACATACATGTATCCAAATTTCAGCTCTTTCTTTTTTATTCTTATTTATTTATTTGAGACAGAGTCTCACTCACTCTGTTGCCCAGGCTGGAGTGCAGTGGTGCCATCTCGGCTCACTGCAACCTCTGCCTCCTAGGTTCAAGCAATTCTTCTGCTTCAGCCTCCAGAGTAGCTAGGACTATAGGTGTGCACCACCATGACAGGCTAAGTTTTGTATTTTTAGTAGAGACTGGGTTTCACCGTGTTGGTCAGGCTGGTCTCGAACTCCTGATCTCAAGCGATTACCCTGCCTCAGCCTCCTAAAGTGCTGGGATGACAGGCATGAGCCACCGTGCCTGGCCTTTCTTTTTTTAAAAAATGAACATGACAAGTTGTTTATTGTCTCTGAGCCTCAGTTGCATTATCTGTAAAAATAAGAATTATAATTGATTTGCAGAATGGTTGTGGGAGTCAAATAAGATACCCAACTGCTTGGCATAGTAGGTGAGCATTAAATGTTTATTTCCTTTCCTGTGGGTTTTATGTTGATTCTCGGAAAATGACTTCCTCCTTGGGGAGGAACGGCTGTTATTCATTATGCAGCTGGAACAATGACAATATGGATCTTTGGGAAACACCAGCTTCCCCTGCCCCAGCATAGGAAATGGAATGTCAGCCTCCCCCCGCTTACCCAAGTCCTCTGTGTCCAACTAGGCCAGCGAAAAATGAGAAGGGGCTGCAGTGCCTCTGCACTGTGTCCTCCCAGTTATATTTGTCCATTCTTCCATTCATGTATTCATTCATACAACACTCCATATGGCTGAGTGCCTACTGTGTGCAGGCCCAGGGCTGGGTGCTCGGACTCAGTGGTGAACAGATAGACTTGGCCACTGCCATCACAGAGAGTTCGTGGATGGAGGCGAGATACCCGCACACCTTGCGACAGCCTTAACTGTAACTGTGGTAAGAGCTATGGATAAAAAGTGTGGGCTCTGGGAGGGAATGACAGGGGGATCTCACTTGTTCTGAGGCCTGCAGGGCTTCCCTGAGGAATTGGTGCTGAAACTGAGATATGAAGGACAAATGGGAGTCAGCCAGGCAAAGTGGGTGGGGAGAAGAGAACCCCTTCCATCCTTGTACTCCCTACTTGCCCCCTTTCCCCATCAACTTGTGGGGTGGCCCATGTGGGTGCACACCCCAGCACTCCCTGCCACAAAGTTCTACCTGGGCCTCACCCCCAAAACCTCCTGGCTCAGCCCCTCCAGCCCCCTTCTCAAATGGCTGCAGGAACTAGAGTCTCCTTCTCAAAGAAGTTGTCCTAAGATGACAGCAGAGAAACGTGTCCCCTTCAAGGAGAACTTGCCTTCTACTCAAGGACACATACAGATGAAGTATCTTTAAAGAACAGAATCTAAAAACGGAGATCTCAGGCACTTTCTGGCCAGAGTTTTGGGGAATCTTGTCAGTGTTTTGCTGACTCTACCCTGAGCACAATCTCCTGCCACATGGGTCCATCTTTCTTCTCTCCCTACGTCACTGCGATTCTTAGCCTCTCCCCACCAGAGCAAACAGGCAACACCCTGAGTCTGTCCTTCCTGCTTTGGCACAGCCAGAGGCCAGGGTCTGGAGCAGCCCAGGGCACCAGGTGAAGGTACACAAGTGTTCCATCGCTGGGCCAGAGGACCCAGCCCAAACAAGGGCAAAAGATGAACTTGACGTCAGTCCTGGGCGAGGCTGGCCAACGGTCTGTCTGTGAGCCTCAAAAGGAAAAGAAGGAATCATGACGAATGGAGTCAGGCTGCTTTCATTTTCTTTTCTTGAGTAGGCTGCAGAGCCAGGCAGTGCTGGCAACAAGAGGCAAGCCCCTGTAGACCCTCTGCAGATGGGATGAGGACACATATGCCCGATTAGAGCATAGCCAGATGGTGGCATCTTTAGTGGCAGTGCTGTCCTGAGTGCTGTGCCATTGAAGGGATATTGATAACTTGGATGTAGATAGAGTGATCAAAGATGACACTAATCTGGGCAGAGAGATAATGAAAATCATCATAGTTAGCATTTAGATGCCTGGCCTGTTTCACTTTGCCACACACTTTTGCATTGTATTTAATTCTCATGATGACTCTAAGAAGTAGGAATGATGTCCCTAGGTGACAGATGAGGAAACAGAGACTTGGCAGGGGTAAGCTACATGCCCAAGGTCACATAGCTAATATGCGGTGAGTTGGGCTTGGAAAACCGTCTGAGGGTCTCACCAGCACTGACAAACTCCACTCCGCTATCCATCATCCATCCATCCATCCAACAAAGATTTAGTGAACTCCTTCCAAGTGTTGGGCGACATGTGAGGTAAGGCAGACAAAGTCCTGCTCTCATGGAGCTTACATCCTAGGAAGGAGACCGAAAATAAAGAAGTAAACCAATTTTAAAACATTTCACAGAAGTGCTATGAAAAATAAAGTCATGGCCAGGTGCAGTGGCTCACACCTGTAATCCCAGCACGCTGGGAGGCTGAGGTGAGAGGATTCCTTGAGCCCAGGAGTTCAAGACCAGCCTGGACAATGTAGTGAGACCCTGATTATAAAAAAAAAAAAAAAATTAGCTGGGCATGGTGGCGTGCGCCTGTAGTACCAGCTAGTTGGGAGGCTGAGATGAGAGGATCGCTTAAGCCCAAGAAGTTGATAAATAAATAAATAAATAAATATAAATAAAAATAAAGTGAGGCAATAGGATAAGTCCATTTTACACTGAATGGCCAGGGAAGGTGTCTCTTAGGAATTGACATCTGTGGCAAAAGGGAGCCAGGTGGGGAGTGTCTGGGGAAGGCCTGTAGGCAGGGGTAGGTTTGGCATCTTTGAGAAACAGCATCAACTTGAATGGATTAAGTGAGCTGTGCTTCTAGACTGAGTTTCAAGAAATTGTTTAGGATAAATGTCAGGTCTTGTGCTTGGGCCCAGGGTACTGTGGACTTGCCTGGACTGGGCTGAGTGAGAGAGGCTGGAGTCTCAGTTGGTCTGGTAAAGTTAACACGATCTTGTTGTGCTGCGCTGATAAAGTAGTGTCTGGGGTGGAGAAGGGGATGGACTCTTTCCCCTGTGTGCTGGTCAGACCCACCAGGAGATCTGCATGCTCCCGGGCTGCACATGGACAAATTAGACTGTCTCGCCTGGAGAACTGCCACCAGGACAGTGAGCAGGATGGGGCGGAAAAACCACTTACTCCTGGCAGAGGAGATATGGGGAGGCACAAGCACTGCCTCCAGAAAAATCTAGGGTCAGTGGGAAGGAGTTACAAGGAATTAGATTTCTTTTACTTCTTTCTTCTTTTTTTTCATTGATAAAAGAGATATGTGCAATATCTAAAGTAGAAAAAAAGCATTAGAAAAAGGAAAATGAATCATTTAAATCCCTTATCTACTATAGGCAATCACTGATGACATTTGGCATAATTTCTTTTCTAGGCTTAAGAAAACATACTGGGACCGGGTGTGGTGGCTCACGCCTGTAATCCCAGCACTTTGGGAGGCTGAGACTCTGTCAAAAAAAAAAAAAAAGAAAAAAGAAAAAGAAAGAAAACATACTGAAATCATACTGAGACTCTGTCAAGAAAAAAAAAAAGAAAAAGAAAGAAAACATACTGAAATCATACTGTGCATATGCATGATTTTATTGATGTGTCTATGCTTGTCTAGATGTTTAGGGAGGCAGTGGAGGAGAGGGGCTAGAGGCAGACTCTGGGTGCTTGGCCTGGGCTTGGATCCCAGATCTGCCTTTTATTACCTGTGTGACTCTGAGCAAGGGATTCCACCTCCCATCCCTCAGTCTCATCCAAAAAATGAGGGTAATATTAGTGTCTACCACAGAGAGTTATTTGAGGAGTAAATGAGCCAATAGTAGTTATAAACACTAAAAACAGTGCTTGCACAAACCTAAGTTACATATTTAATACATAAGTAAATACCATCCTTCTTTTAACACAATAAGCATTTTATAGTGATGTCGAGAACTGTATGTAAACATCTTTCCATTGTCTGAATAAAATCCCTTCATATATTTTCCCATAGCTTATTGAGACATCCCCCAATGTGAGATATTGTGTATTTCTCATGTTGCACTACTTACAAGTGGCACATTTTTGATTGGTTCATTTGGATAGAGTCACAGAAGTAAAATTACTGGGTTAAAGGATGTGGACTTTGTTCTGTATTTTTTTCTTTTTCTTTTTTCTTTTCTTTTCTTTTTTTTTTTTTTTTTGAGACGGGGTTTCACTCTTGTTGCCCAGGCTGGAGTGCAATGGCACGGTCTCAGCTCACTGCAACCTCCGCCTCCCGGGTTCAAGTAATTCTCCTGCCTCAGCCTCCCAAGTAGCTGGGACTACAGGTGCCCGCCACCATGCCCAGCTAAATTTTGTGGGTTTTTTAGTAGAGACGACCAGTCAGAGGCAATGGGGTTTCACCATGTTGGCCAGGAGAGTCTCTATCTCTTGACCTCGTGATCCACCTGCCTTGGCCTCCCAAAATGCTGGGATTACAGGCATGAGCCACTGCACCCGCCCCCCGCCCCCCACTTTTTTTTTTTACATTTAAAAAGTTTATTTTTGGATAAGAGAAACCATACAAATGTAAAACATTCACACAATACAAAAGGATATACAGTAAGAAGGAAGTCTTCCAGTGACTCCTGTCTCCCAGTTTCCCGACTTAGTGGCACCAAAATCAGGTTCTTGTTTATGCTTCAAACGATAATTAGTACAAACAGCAGATATATGTATGTATAACCCCCATTTAAAAAAAAATGATATCCGGCTGGGCATGGTGGCTCACACCTGTAATCCTAGCACCTTGGGAGGCTAAGGCAGGTGGATCACCTGAGGTCAGGAGTTCAAGACCAGCCTGGCCAACATGGTGAAACCCCATCTCTACTAAAAATACAAAAATTAGCCGGGTGTGATGGCACATGCCTCTGATCCCAGATACTCGACAGGCTGAGGCAGCAGAACTGCTTGAACCCGGGAGGTGGAGGTTGCAGTGAGCCAAGATCGCACCACTGCACTCCAGCCTGGGTGACAGATCGAGACTCCGTCTAAAAAAAAAAAAAAAAAAAAAAAAAAAAAAAAAAAAAAAAAAAAATTAGCTGCTTTGCCTTGTTAAGAACAGACAATAATTTAACTGGAGATTTTAAAGATGTTTGATGCCTATCAAGAATTCATTTAGCAGAGGTGAGCACTGGTTTACACCTACCCTCTTTTAGCCCTAGATAATTAGTGGAATCAAGATTGAAATCCAGATCAGCTCATAGAGGTACAAAGACTAGTTAACAATGGTTGTCCCTGGGGAGGGGACCAATTGCTGGAGAATACCTTCCTCATACCTCCCAGAGAAGATCTGACTGAAAATGAGCTGCCTCACTCACCATAAAGCCCTCTGTTTTAAAAATGTTCAGATGTCAGCCAGATAACTGTATCCTCTACAGCAGCTTCTTGTAAACATGTGAGGTATACGGCAGTGCCGAGTGGAGGGAACCATGGCAGACTGCAAACAAGCATGGTTTTCCTAGACACTCAGACTCAAACACAGTTACAGATGGTGCTGGGCCAACAGCCAGTTAAGACCCCAAGATTGCAAAGAGATAATCTAAAGAACACACACTTTACATGCAAGTGGCTGTCTTTCTGGGTGGATGGGCATGGCCCCCACTGAACCCCAGATATCTTTTCCAAGCTCTGATTCTTGCAAATCATCTCATGTGGAATGGAGAGGAAGCAGTGCCTTACCAAACTGACAATGGGAGGGGAGGACCACTCACTGGCACTGAGGGCCTTATGGGGACAGAGGATTCTATCCAGGGCTGGCATCAGGAGTGTGAGACCATTTTTCCATCCAACAATGCCAGTTTCAGGGAGAGAAAAATGAGGCCTCTAGAGTGCAGGTGCAAGAGCCCGGGAGGTGTTCTTGTCCCCTAGGGAAGCTGCAGAAGGCAACCAGTCAGAGGCAATGGGTTTTCACTGAATCCTATTCCTGGACCCAGTGAAAGAGCCAGTCCTGTACAGGTTGGGGTGGGCTGGGGGTGGGTGTTGCTGAGACTTGTGGCTCCAAGGGGCTCTAGGGAGAACTGGACATTAGGAAGGCTAGAGTCAGAGTGTGTGTCTTGGTGGGGAAGTCTGAGAGATCCCAGGATGGATTCCCAAACTGAACATTCGGTGCCTCTAGAAAGGCTACAGATGGGCCTGCTGGAAGAGGGAGTGAGGGCTCTTGGGGTCTGGGACAAGATAGAAGGGTCTGGAGGATTTGCTGCAGGGTTCTGAGGCCAGGGTGACCCATGGGGAACTTGGGTCCTTGAGTTTGTTAAATTTGGGGGGTCTGGGAGTCATTGGATTTTTTTTTGTTGTTGTTGTTTATTTTTTATTGTTCTTCTGAGACAGAGTGTCATTCTTGTTGCCCAGGCTGTAGGGCAATGGCACGATCTCGGCTCACTGCAACCTCTGCCTCCGGGTTCAGGCCATTCTCCTGCCTCAGCCTCCCAAGTAGCTGGGATTACAGGCACACACCACCGCACCTGGCTAATTTTGTATTTTTAGTAGAGATGGGGTTTCACCATGTTGGCCAGGCTGGTCTTGAATTCCTGACCTCAGGTGATCCACCCACCCTGGCCTCCCAAATAGCTGGGGTTACAAGCGGGAGCCACTGCGCCCAGCCTGGATTGTTAATTATGTGGTTTTCTCTGCAAAATTTCTGTAACCTTGTCAAATTACTTCTTGTTTTTGAGCATCTGTGTCATCACTTGTCACAAAAGCCGTGTCCTCTTCTGAGGCATATTATACAGCAAGACTTTAGAATAATCTACGAAGCTGAGGCATCCAGAGAGTAGGACTGTAGACATAGTGTCTTTGTTAATACGATCACAAAATATTTAAATGTCTCATAACTAGAAGAAAACTACGTACATTCATAGACACTCCCTAACTCCAAAAGATAACAAGATGCGTTGATAGACACCCCCCTTAACTCCAAATTCCACAATATACTCCTAAAACTGACAAATATTTCTGCCTGAGGGTTAGTATCAAAGTTGCATTTTAAATGTGTAAATCACACCTGTTGACTCCTCAGGGCTGTACAGAGCCTTCAGGTGCTGGGCGCAAGGTCTTGAGCCTGAACAAGTGTGTGCAGGCCCTCCTTTCTTCTCTTCTTTGTACCTCCTCCATTCTCAACCCTTCCCAGCAACACAGAGATCAAAGCTGCCCCCTACACCATACAAAGCTATTGCTGGAAAAGCCACATAAACGCTGCAGCTCTTTGCTGACTAGGGCTGGGAGTGGTGCCAGGCCAGAGATTTTAGAAGGGAAACCTTCCAAATGGGGGATTAAGCCTCTGGAGCAGATGTTGCCTGTGGATCGAGAGCATTCAGAGAGCTAGGCAGGCAGCAGGCAAGGACTGGGATTTGGATAGCTCAAAAAAAACCATTGAACAAAGACCCACAGACACTGCACCAATGGAGAGACCTAGGAAGGGTCAGCTGTCATCAGGGGTCCCTGGGGAGCCCCCGTCAGCCCCCCCAAGAGACTAGAATCACAGTGAGTCATTTCCAAAGTGAAAGAAAGGCACAGAAGAAGTTTTAATGTGAACACCTCCCTGACACCTCACCCACGGAGGACTTAGCGGATATTCCTGCCTCTTCCAGCTTCACACTCAGCCTCCCTGTTTTAAAAATGGGAACAACTTCATGTCTGTAGTTTGCAAAGGAGTCAGGATTTGAGAAATGGTAGAAATAATGTAGGCACTGTATCCATTAACCACGTTTTTGCACACAAAGCCCAGCCACTCAGACAGAGCTGATCTTACTGCCTTTTGGAATAGGTGATTTGAGGGACGAGAGAGGTATGCCAATTAGAAGCCACTTTCCCTGGGCCTGCCTGAAATTCTGCCATTTCAGTTTGAAGCACTGGGCAGTTGAGTCTGGGCAAAGGGGGCAAAAAGGAGAAGCCAGGGGACCTTAACAAACATGATGAAAGATACACTTGGCTGACTACAGCGATCTGCTTAAGAGTAGCTTTAGGGAAAAGACACGTTATCACACAGTACAGAGAAAAGAGCACTGGAGGCCAGGGGTGGTGGCTCATGCCTGTAATCCCAGCACTTTGGGAGGCCAAGGCAGGCGGAGCATGAGGTCAGGAGTTTGAGACCAGCCTGGCCAACATAGTGAAACCCCATGTCTACTAAAAATACAAAAATTAGCTGGGCATGGTGGCGTGTGCCTGTAATCTCAGTTACTCAGGAGGCTGAGGCAGGAGAATCGCTTGAACCTGGGAGGCGGAGGTTGTGGTGAGCCGAGATCATATCACTGCAGTCCAGCCTGGGCAACAACAGAGTGAGACTCTGTCTCAAAAAAGAAAAAAAAAAGAAAAAAGAAAAAGAAAAGAAAAGAGCACTGGGCCTGTAATCCCAGCACTTTGGGAGGCCAAGGTGGGCAGATCACCTGAGGTCAGGAGTTCGAGACCAGCTTGGCCAACATGGTGAAACCCAGTCTCTATTAAATATACAAAAATTAGCTGGACGCAGTGGTGCGCGCCTGTAGTCCCAGCTACTTGGGAGGCCGAGGCTGGAGAATCGCTTGAACCCAGGAGGCAGAGGTTGTAGTGAGCCGAGATTGCGCCACTGCACTCCAGCCTGGGTGGCACAGCAAGACTGTGTCTCAAAAAAAAAAAAAAAAAAAAAGAGCATTGGATTTGGGTTTGAATCCTGGCTCTGACACTTACTAGCTGGTGACTTTGAACTAGTTAGTTGACTTTTCTGAGCCCTCATTTCCTATTGCTAAAGTAAGGCTGATAATCCCTGCCTTATTGGGTAGGTATGAATGTGAAATGCTCTTTTAACTGAGACCTCGAGCACACATGTAATTTATTAGAAGCGGCCCAAGAGTCATCACTGACAATGCGTGTCTTGGGCTGGGATGTTCCATTAGCTGAGCAAATTCTCTTTGCTGTCATTGTTCATCTCAGCTCAAGACCTGGGCTTGTTCTTGGGCGGTGACTTCAGAAGCTGAGACGACATTCCCTGAAAGCTGTTGAGAGGCTGGAGGCTTGGATTTCACTGAAGCCTTAAAAGATACTTGCATTTTGAGGCCCGTTCCCCTTTGTCATGTTTTTCTCATTTATTCTTGGCTGATGAGAGAAGGGTTTTCATCTCTCTAGTTCCTCTGAAATTAACTTTTCTCTGAAAGTATTTCTTACCACCAAAGAAGATCTGAGCCTGCCCCCAGGCATGACATTCTGCAAAGGTGAGTAGGGCAGGCACTCTAGAAGGGTTGGAAGAGAAGCACGAAGAAGGAAAAAGTTGAAGTTGAAGGGAAGTCAGGAAAAGGAATAGATGTGATAGCGGCACAGAGAGAAAATGCAGGGAGTTAGAGGTGATAGGTAGAAGGCCTTGTAGCTGGTGGGTTGCTCCCTGAATTACTGTGAGAAGCAGCAGTCCTTATGAACAGGCTTTTGGCCACAACCGAGGACTCCTGTGCCCTCTGGGATGCCAAGCAGCCAGCTCCCCCATGGAGTTGTGCAGAAGGTGCCTCTGTGTAGATTCTAAAATTGTCCTGAGTCTTCTGGCTCCCCTTTCTATCTGCCCTCCCGCTGCCTCTGGGAGGCCAATGCATTCGCATGGTAACTGGTCTCATAAAGCTTCTCACTAAGCACTGCTCTCACTAAGTATTTTATGGATGTGACAACATTGGAATACTGATAAATTACCCCCGAAATTCTGATAAATTATTTCAAAATATAAATTTCAATGCATTTAGAGGGGATGATTCTCATGGAACAATTTTTCCAAAGAAATTTAATTCTTCATACAAATCAGCATTGCCACATGCATTCTGCATTGAGATGCATCAGCAGTCTCATGCATTGCCCATCACTACGAAGTGCAGAGCCAGCTTGGGCATGCGACCTGTGCAGTTGTACCAGAAGGACTCTGTCTTGGTTTAATCCTCTGCTGTCTCTATCTTGAAATTCTTAATAATTTTATCTCTGAATTTGGGTTTTATAAGTGAAATCCAGTGGGTCTATGCAGGCTGGATGTGAGCAGTGGAGATTAGACACCTGGTGACAGCACACACAGGGCAGGGCAAGCACCAGAAACATGGAACAAAGAGCCTGATGGCCCGGCAAGCACATGCATGCCTGAAACAGTCTGGAGCACCTCTGGGCCCCAAGGTGGCCAGAACCTGAGCCCAGACTGGTGGCAGCAACAGTGACAGCATCAGCAACCACAGGAAAGAGAAGGGGCTACATGAGATATCAGTGCTGGAACCCTGCTTGGGAAGCCTGCTTGTCTGTCCCTGGCTGTATAAAAAATAACTCATAGGGCTGGGCGCGGTGGCTCACACTTGTAATCCCAGCACTTTGGGAGGCCAAGGCGGGTGTATCACTTGAGGTCAGGAGTTCGAGACCAGCCTGACCAACATGGTGACATCCTGTCTCTACCAAAAACACAAAATTAGCTGGGCGTGGTGGCGCACCCCTGTAGTCCCAGCTACTTGGGAGGCTAAGGCAGGAGAATTACTTGAACCCAGGAGGCGAAGGTTGCAGTGAGATGAGATCTTGCCATTGCACTCCAGCCTGGGCAACAAGAGTGAAATTCTGTCTCAAAAAATAAAAATAAAAAATAATAATGATAAATAACTCTTGGGTCTAAGCTCCAGGACAGGAATTGTTGGATCTCAGGCAGTAAACTTTGTCTGTAAATGATTAGAAAATAAAAGCATATATATGGACGTCGTAATAAAGCATATCAGGGAATTATTAGAATTCGTTTAAAATTTTTGAATTTTCAGTTTTGAAAAGTGCTGCAAAATTGCAAGCAAATATTCATAGACTTACAGAGAGAAATTAAAGGTCATTGTACTCAATGGAAAAGAATACTTTGATATGAAGCTTTGGAGAAACCAATTATTAACAAGCAAAACAATTTCAAAATTAATTTTTCTTGTAATAGAAGATACAATGAAAGAATGCATAGTAGGTGTTTTAAATTATACACAAAAGATGAAGTCACTTTTGCTATGTGACCTTCACAAATTATGGGGTATGTCAGAGGAGATATGAAAAGGCCATTGAGGGGCTGGGCGTAGTGGCTCTCGCCTGTAGTCCCAGCCCTTTGGGAGGCTGAGGTGGGCAGATCACCCGAGGTCAGGAGTTTCAGAGACCAGCCTGGCCAAGATGGCGAAACCCCCGTCTCTTCGCAAAATACAAAAATTAGCTGGGCATGATGGCAGGCACCTGTAATCCCAGCTACTCGGGGAGCAGAGGCAAAAGAATCACTTGAAGCAGGGAGGCAGAGGTCACAGTGAGCCAAGATCACGCCACTGCACTCCAGCCTGGGTGACAGCACGAGATTCCGTCTCAAAAAAAAAAAAAAAGCCATTGTATAAACTTTCATTTATTTTTATTTATTTATTTATTATTATTTTTTGAGACAGAATCTCACTCTGTCGCCTAGGCTGGAATGCAATGGCACAATCTTGGCTCACTGTGACATCTCCCTCTCGGGTTCAAGTGATTCTCCTGCCTCAGCCTCTCAAATATCTGGAATTACAGGTGCCCACCACCACACCTGGCTAATATTTTTTATATTTTTAGTAGAGACGGAGTTTCACCATGTTGGCCAGGCTGGTCTCGAACTCCTGACCTCAGGTGTTCTGCCTGCCTTGGCCTCCCAAAGTGCTGGGATTACAGGCGTGAGTCACTGTGCCCGGCCGTGTAAACTTACATTTAAAACTAAATTTATGCCACTTCCACAGATGAGCTCAAAATAATTTTAATTTTTAAAATAAAAAATAGTAATTAAAGTAAATTAATTCAGACCTGCATGAAGCTGATTTGTATGAATTAAATTTGTTTGGAAAAATTGTTCCATGAGAATCATCATCTCTAGATGTAATAAAATTTGGCGGGGCGTGGTGGCTCATGCCTGTAATCCCAGCACTTTGGGAGGCCGAGGCCGGTGAATCACCTGAGGTCAGGTGTTTAAGACCAGCCTAGCCAACATAGTAAAACCCTGTCTCTACCAAAAATACAAAAATTAGCTGGGCTAAAAAAAAAATTAAATAAAAAATTAAATAATCAGAAATTATTTGTTTTGGGGGTTTTTTGTTTGTTTTTTGCTTTTTTAGTTTTTTAAGACAGAGTCTCTCTCTGTCACCCAGGATGGAGTGCAGTGGCGTGATCTCACGCTCACTGCAACCTCTGCCTCCTAGGCTCAAGCGATTCTCCTGCCTCAGCCTTCTGGGTAGCTGAGATTACAGGTGCCTGCCACAACGCCCAGCTAGTTTTTTTTTTTTTTTTTTTTTGAGACAGAGTCTTGCTCTGTTGCCCAGGCTGGAGTGCAGTGGAGAGATCTCAGCTCACCACAACCTCTGCCTCCCAGGTTCAAGCGATTCTTCTGCCTCAGCCTCCCGAGTACCTGGGACTGCAGGCACCCTCCACGATCCCTGGCTAATTTTTGTATTTTTAGTAGAGACGGGGTTTCACTATGTCAGTCAGGCTGGCGTCGAACTCCTGACCTCGCCAAAGTGCTGGGATTACAGGCGTGAACCACCGCGCCCGGCCAATGCCCAGCTAATTTTTGTACAGTACATTTGTTCACAACAATCAGAAATTATTTGTGATCTTGGATTTGCCAATGGCAACTAACATTGCTTTCAATGTTAGTTATACTGATTGAAAATAAAGTTGCTAAAATTGTAAATTTTGATAACCTGATAAATAAACTTGCAGAAAAGTTAGCCCGGAAAATCTGGTCAAGATACTATAATATTAATAAAGTATTATGATTTATTGCATTACATGACATATGACACCAAAGTACTTTTTTGTCATTTGTGAGTTTATGTTGTTACTCATGTATCGCTATTACCTCATTATGTTTTATAAGTAATAAATTTTTTTTTTTTGAGATGGAGTCTCGCTTTGTCACCCAGGCTAGAGTGCAGTGGCGCGACCTTGGCTCACTGCAACCTCTGCCTCCTTGGTTCACGCCATTCTCCTGCCTCAGCCTCCCAAGTAGCTGGGACTACCGGTGCCTGCCACCATGCCCGGCTAATTTTTTGTATTTTTTTTAGTAGAGACGGGGTTTCACCATGTTAGCCAGGATGGTCTCGATCTCCTGATCTTGTGATCCGCCCGCCTTGGCCTCCCAAAGTGCTGGGATTGCAGGCGTGAGCCACCGCACCCGGCCGTAATAAAATATTTTTAAAGGCAAAAGCTTTATATATTCTAGTACCTTTAGCAACACTTTTTTCCTGCTCTTTGAATAAGGTCACTGCATCTTTATTTTGTACTGTGCTTTACAAATTATATGGTCAGCCCTGTCCCAGTGTCTTGGAGTCTCTCTAGATTGCAGAAAAGCCCATAGGCATTTTTTTTTAAAAAGAGTTCCAGGCTGGGCTTAGTAGCTCACGCCTGTAATCCCAGCACTTTAGGAGGTTGAGGCAGGAGGATCGCTTGAGCCCAGGAGTTCAAGACCAGACTGGGCAAAATAGGAAGACCTCATCTCTACAAAAAATTTAAAAATTAGATGTGCTTGATGGCGTGTGCCTGTAGTCCCAGCTTCTTGGGAGGCTGAGGTGGGAGGATTGCTTGAGCCCAGAAGGTCAAGATTACAGTGAGCTGTGATCGCACCACTGCATGACAGAAGGGGAACTTATATATATGTTAAAAAAAAAGTTCCTCTAAAATTTTAACAGAGGGTTTTGCTTCTCTGGTAGGGGAGACGGGGCAATGTCTGAAGTCATTTTTTCTTTTCTTTTCTTTCTTTCTTTCTTTTTTTTTTTTTTTGAGATGGAGTTTCGCTCTTGTTGCCCAGGCTGGAGTGCAATGGAGTGATCTTGGCTCACTGCAACCTTCATCTTCTGGGTTCAAGCGATTCTCCTGCCTCAGCCTCCCAAGTAGCTGGGATTACAGGCGTGTGCCACCATGCCTGGATAATTTCATATATTTTTTAGTAGATATGGGGTTTCACCATGTTGGTCAGGCTGGTCTTGAACTCCTGGCCTCAAGTGATCCACCCACCTCAGCCTTCCAAAGTGCTGGGATTATAGGCGTGAGCCACTGCGCCCGGCCCAAAGTCATTTTTTCTTGTTACTACTGGGGGCTGCTGCCGACATCACATGGGTAGAGGCCAAGGGTGCTGTTAAACATCCTACAAGGTACAAGACAGCCCATACAAATGCTTATCCCACACAATACTGCTGCAGTTGAGAAACCCTGCTCCAGCGACTGTGTAAGTGTGGTCTTTGGACAAACAGCACAGCATCCCTGGTAGGTTGTTTGAAATGAAGACTTTCAGGCTCCACTTCAGAGCTACCGTGTTTTAACAAGGTCCCTGGGTGATTCATGTGCACATAAAAGTTTGAGAAGCACTGAGCTAGGGGATGCACATCCCTAATGATATGTTTCAGAAGTGAGGGGAGCCCTTTCCTGCCCCTTCACTCTTACCACGTTAAGTCAGCCCTGCAGAGACCTAAGGACCAGGCTGTTCCTGCTACTTCCCTCACTCTCTGGCTCATCTCTTAGGGCTGTCCCAGGTGCAAGGAGACTGTGAGTATTGTCCCACAGCACCTCAGCCCTGGAACTCACTTTTATTTTGAATTTGTACCTCTGCCAAGCAGTGTGCAGAGCAGGAGAGCAGGCTGGTGTTAGACCTGGGAACTTTAAAGCTCGGGCCTGTCTCTTAGCTTACCCCTGGCCTCCTGCTGCAGTGGGCCTAAGGACTCTGCCAAGTGTCTCCATGAATGAGGGAATGGCCCTTGGGCATGCCACTGCTCTTGTAGCATAGACCTTTGAATATGCTACTCCTTCCACCCAGAAAGCCCTTTCCCACTTTATCTGCCTTGCACTGAGTCTTTGGAACTCTTCTGCCCCTTCTGGAAGCTTTTAGTTGTCCTGAGTTCCCGTAGCTATCAGGAGACAGACCTGTGAGATGGCCTGAAGCCCCAGGGTCTGCAGAGACCTGGTAGGAAAACTAAATGAAGGTCAGGTGGGGGCTGTGGCAAACACAGGTCTCCTGACCATACACATGCAGGACTGATGTTTACAAAGCGATGGATTTTTCAAGAGAAGCAGGAAATTTGGACTTTTTAATGCATGAAATCTTCTCATCTTCAAATACTGGCAACTAAATAAAAAATGAAAGCAATGGCTAGGCACGGTGGCTCACGCCTGTAATCCCAGCATTTTGGGAGGCCAAGGCAGGTGGATCACCTGAGATCAGGAGTTCAAGACCAGTCTGGCCAACATGGCGAAACCCTGTCTCTACTAAAAATACAAAAATTAGCTGGGTGTTGTGGCGAGCGCCTGTAATCACAGCTACTTGGGAGGCTGAGGCAGAAGAATCGCTTGAACCCGGGAGGCAGAGGTTGCAGTGAGCCGCGATCGTGCCACTGCACTCCAGCCTGGGCGAAAGAGCAAGACTCCATCTCTAATAATAATAATAATAATAATAATAATAATATAATAATAATAATAAATGAAAGCAAACCACAAAGTAGATCAAACCCCTCTGCCGGGGGCTGGAGCCTGAGAGACACTTTGCTACCTCTGGGCTATGTAAACACTATCACACTGTGTTATTACTTGTGGACACGTTTATCTCCCTACTCAGAAACTTGAGGGCAGGAGCTGGACAAAGCAATCCTCAGCACAGACTGCTTTGTGAGCGAATGAATGAATGAATCAATGAATAGCACTGCTACTTGGTGTAAGTACTGTTCATCCAGTAGGTTTAAAGCCATGGTTCTTTATGGGCAGTGTCAACCCTAGAGGCTGTTTGGACATCTGTGGGAGTGTTTTTGGTTGTTATGACGATGAAGGCACCATTGGCATTTAGTGGGTAGGGCCCAGGATGATACAAATAATATCAAGCACTTATTTTGTGCTCGTGTGTGCCAACTGCTGTTTTGAGCACTTCATTGAAGTGAATTCATTTCATTTTCACAACAGCCTTATGAAGCAGGTACTGCTGTCACTCCCATTTCACAGACAAGGGGGCATAGTCAGTCTGCAATAGATAGCCCTACACAGCATAGAACCATCCTGTGTGCCTATACAAAGTCATAGACTCTTGTATGCCTTCCACTAGATGTTTCTATAGGGAAAACAAATAAATAAACAAACAAAAAACCCTGTTATAATGATCAGAATACAACTACAGGGGCTGGGCGTGGTGGCTCACACCTGTAATCCCAGCACTTTGGGAGGCTGAGGCGAGCAGATCACTTGAGGTCAGGAGTTTGAGACCAGCCTGGCTAACATGGCAAAACCCTGTCTCTACTAAAAATACAAAAATTAGCCGGTTGTGGTGGCAGGTACCTGTAATCCCAGCTACTTGGGAAGCTGAGGCAGGAGAATTGCTTGAACTTAGGAGGCAGGGGTTGCAGTGAGCCGAGATGGCACCACTGCACTCCAGCCTGGGCAACAGAGTGAGGCTCCGTCTCAGAAAAAAAAAAAAAAAAAGAAAGAAAAAGAATACAACTACAGGAAAAATGTGCTTTATTTTTCAGCATTTTACCAAGAGCTGAACATATCAGAACATAATAGCGACATTGTTGAAGGCATTTGCATCACTAAAATCACACACCTACATCTGTCTGCATTTGTAATTGCTATGAATTGACTCTAGGTGCAAGCGGCCTTTTCTTTTTTATATTACAGTTAGGGCATTGTATTGATTGATTGTTTTTTTTTAAGTAAACTTTTTATTGAATAACTACATACTTCAAAAAAGTGGACAAATCTTATGAGTACACCTCTATGAATTTTTGCAAAATGAACACACCTTCATAACCAGAACACTCTCAATACCCTGGAAGTCCAACTCATGGTGCCACCCAGTCACAACTCCTCTAGGTAACTACTCTCCTTACTTCTAACACCTTAAATTAATTTTGCCTACCTTTGAACTTGATATAATGGAAACATACATGCATGCTTTTTTCATGTCTGACTTCTTTCAGCCAAAATCGTATTTGTGAGATTCATCCATGTTGTTGTGTGAATTGGAAGTTTGTTCATTTTCTTTTTTTTTTTGAGACAGAGTCTCACTGTCTCCCAGGCTGGAGTGCAGTGGCGCGATCTCGTCTCCCTGCCACCTCCGCCTCCCAGGTTCAAGCGATTCTCCTGCCACAGCCTCCCGAGTAGCTGGGACTACAGGCATCCGCCACCATGCCCCGCTAATTTTTGAATTTTTAGTAGAGACGGGGTCTCACTATGTTGACCAGGCTGGTCTCAAACTCCTAACCTCAAGTGATCTGCCCGCCTTGGCCTCTCAGAATGCTGGGATTACAGGCATGAGCCACTGTGCCCACCGTGCCTGGCAGAAGTTTGTTCGTTTTCATCATGTGGACATACCATATCCATTTGTGTTGTTTCTAGTGTCTGGCCATTATGAATAATGATGCTGTGAACATTCTTGTACGTGTCTTTTGGTGAACCTATGCATGCATTTATTTTTTGCAATTATGTGTGTAGGCAGATTATGCTATGATTTTCATTTCATGGTAGTGGAATGGGGGATGTCATAAAATACTATCCAAAGGGGGCATAGGTTCTAAGGGGATGGTTGAGACCCTCCTGTTGGAAGCAGATGCTTCTGTCCATCGTCCATTTGTCCCACAAGGATTGTCCCAGCTGTCCTGTGCTCTGTGCTGGGAAATGCCATGATGGTACTCTGTGGAGGGAGACTCTGGTTGAGCGTCTTGACCTAAGGTTGGAGGGCAGAGGCTGCATTCTTAATCCCACCACTAGAGGCTGGGCATTCACAAGGGACTGAGGACCAGCAGCCCCCTTCTTCCAGGCAGGCTTCCTCTCAGGTTCCTGTCCCTCCATCTCCCTTGGTAACTGGAGAACATACTCTATTGGGGGATATGGAAAGTAAGAAATCTTTATGGTGCATCTAGGTGGAGTGCATCTCAAATAGAACCGACACACTTTTTTTTTTTTTCAGACAGAGTTTCGCTCTTCGCCCAGGCTGGAGTGCAATGGCATGATCTCGGCTCACTGCAAACTCCGCCTCCCAGGTTCAACCCATTCTCCTGCCTCAGCCTCCCAAGTAGCTGGAATTACAGGCATGTGCTACCATGCCCGGCCAATTTTGTATTTTTAGCAGAGATGGGGTTTCTCCATATTGGTCAGGCTGGTCTTGAACTCCCGACCTCAGGTGATCCGCCCGCCTTGGCCTCCCAAAGTGCTGGGATTACAGGCATGAGCCACTGCACCCAGCTGGAACCGACACACTTTTGAGGCATCAAACATTTCTCACCTGGCCTCAGAACTCACCTTCCCTGTAAAATGGAGACTATGGGGTCTGGCTGCCTCCTAGAGATACTCCACATGTGCCCTGCACCCACTAACCCTGCTGGCTCTGCTGGTGAGCTCAGCTAGCCCTGGGTTCACCTCCTCCACTACTGCTACAGACCCTGGTGCTGGAAGCTTTCAGTTTTCCAGATGTAAATGTTTCACATTTCAATTGTAAATGTTTAGCAACTTGTTCTATAGGTGGGAGCTGATTTATATTTAGTAATTTCTGTGGTGTAAATACTTCCACTGTATCTGATTTCAAACTATCAATGTGATGTCACTGAATGTGGAGTTGAGAAGAGATGAGAAGTGGCATAATATGATGTAGTACTTCATAAGAGATGTAAATAAACTTGAAAGCATAGATAAGAGTATAATGTAAGAGAAGGGAGGCAGAAAAAGTAAAAAAATACAATGTAGTAAAATAATTAATAATTAGGAAGTGGTAACTTGAGTATTTATTACTTTAACAACTATAATTTAATTTTACATATATATAATTTAATTTTTTTAATTTTTAATTTTTTTGGTTTTTTTTGAGACAGAGTCTTGCTCTGTCACCTAAGCTGGAGTGTAGTGGCACAATCACAGCTTACTTTAGTCCTGACCTCCCGAGCTCAAATAATCCTCCCACCTCAGCCTCCTGAGTAGCTGGGACCACAGGCGTGTGCCACCATGCCTGGCTAATTTTTGTATTTTTTGTAAAGAGGTCTCACTCTGTTGCCCAGGCTGGTCTCAAACTTCTGAGCTCAAGTGATCCTCCTGCTTTGGCCTCCCAAAGTGCTGGGATTACAGGCGTGAGCCACTGCTACTGGCCATAATTTAATTTTTAACAAAGGCTGTGTTTAACAACTAGCTTACAAAAATCTTGAACATTTTAGAATTGATTCTTGACAGTTTGAGCACTCTTCAGCACACCACTGCAGGTAACCTGCTCTGGTCCCCCTTTAAAAATCACATTTGGTTTTTACAGTGCAAATTACAGCTGTATTCCCTAAGAAGCAGGACATGCTACTAGTAACTGTGGCCTTGGCCTCATCTTTAAACTTTATGTACCTCAGTTTCCTCATATGCAAAATGAAGATAATAGTATTAATACCTATTTCAGAGGCTATTGCAAGGATTAAATAAAATCATGTATGTGGAGCCACTAGCAAAGTATCTGGCAGACAGTACATATTTAATGTATTGGAGCTTTTTTCAGGGGATTCATTGACATGCCTGGGGGCAAAGCTGCACCTTGGGGTCCATCATCAGCACCTTCAAAATACCCTGATTTTGGAGGTATCAAAATACCCTGATTTTGAAGGTCCCTGGCCAGCCAAAAGAGGGACTGACCCTACTGATCCAGCCAACAAGTCCTGGAGCCAAGAACCTTCTGAGGTGTTGTGTCTGCCAGAGCTTCACAGCCCTATCCCTGCCTCCCCAGACAGTCTGAAGGAGGGAGCAACTCCATTCCTCTATGCACTGGCAGCTCAGAGCTAGCAAGGCCAATCATATAGCTCTGTCTTCTCACCATTAAATCACATGAAAATGAACCATCAGGGAGGGAATACAGTGTCCAATGACCAGGAGCTGTGTGTGTGTGTAGGTGTGTGTGTGTGTATATGTGTGTGTGTGTGTGTGTGTGTGTGTATGTGGGAGGGGTTTGTGGGCTGGCTCTGTCTAGAAAGGCCTCAGGCCCTAGGCTATCCCCAGTCCCTTCCTTCCTCCCTGCAGATTGTCTCCTAGAGTCACTGCCCAGCCCTTGGGCAAAGGGCAAGCAGCAGGTCATCAGGCTGGTTGGCACCAGGGGTGGGGGGGATCTGATATTCATTCATCTTCCACTGGGATACCATCTGGAGACATAGCAGGTGGATGCTCCCTTTCTACCTTGGCTTTTCCTTGTGTGAAAAATGGGGCCAACACTTTTACCAGTTAACCTGACCTGTATTAGGGAAAGAATGTTGTCAAAGACATGCTTCAGAAAAGCAGGTGGGGCTGGGTTGCCCTCTTATATGTATCTGCTAATTGGGCAGCCTCAAGTGCACATTTTCTAAGGCTAGGGTCAGAGTTGGGGTGGATAGGGAATCATAGCTGCTGCTGTGAATAGCCCAGATCTAAGCCCTGAACTCTGACCTCTACAAAGCTCCCTCCGACCAGTGGCCTGCAGGGATTGCGTCACCAAGCCTGGCTCTCACAGGCTCCTGACAAGCTGCAAGAAGGGTTGCCCCTGGTGATGGTGCAGGCTCACAAATTCAGATAACCTCCTGAGCCTAGATCTTCCTCCTCTGGAGTGGGAGTTGCTTCTCAGCTCCTGTTGGCCTAGCCCTGTACAGCCCACCCATTTTGGACTCTGACATTCTGCGGTGAGGGTGGCCTCACCTTCCACCTCCTCTGGGGTCAAATGGGTTTACCTTCACAGGGCTTTGAAAGCTGCCCAAGGAATCTTGAATCAAAACATGAAACTCATGCTAATTTCTATATGAGATCAGACAAGCTAGCAACCTTTCAGTGCCTCAACTTCCTTATAGGTAAAATTGGGGACAATAATGTCTCTTCGTTTTATGGGGATGTTGTAAAAAACTAGCTGGTATGCAAAAAAGCACTTTTTTAAAAAGCAAGAGATATATGAGGACAATTTCAATCTTTATTTGCTATTTTTATTAGGGGTGGGAGGAAGCACATGGTTTATTTGGGAAAGTGTGACCTTTGGAACAGACAAACAAGAATGAATTCTGCTTTTGCAACATACATACTTATGTGGTTTTGATATGTCAAAAAAAAAAATCTCTCTAAGCCTTGCTTGTAAAATGGTGTTAATGATAATTAACTTGGAGGACTGTTGCCAAAATTAGAGGTTACACGTATCAAGTCCCTACCAAGCACCTGACATACAGTAGGTGCTTTGTAAATAGTAGCTGTCATTACTACTATTGTATGTAATAACCATAGCAACTGAGATTCCATGTACTTATTCTGAACCTTTTCTCTCACTTTCAGAGAGCCAAACTCCTCTGTCCTGCCCTGCAAGCAGTAAAGGCACACACTCCTTGTTATATTCCTGGGAGATGAAAGGAATACTGTGCCTCCTGACTCTTATCATAGGAGTGACTACCTCATCCTGATTGGCCCAGGACTGTCCTAATTTTGGCACTGGAAGTCCCATGTGCCAGGAATCCCCTTAGTCCCAGGCAAACTGGGATGGCTGGCTATTCTACTCACCACCAACTGGGACTAATCTAACCCCCATGCCATATTCCAGCACCTAGATTTAGAGCAGAATATTAAGATTTGTGCTGGAAATTGGCCAGGTGTGGTGACTCACGCCTGTAATCCTAGCACTTTGGGAGGCAGAAGCAGGCTGATCACTGAGGTCAGGAGTTTGAGACCAGCCTGGCTAACGTGGTGAAACCCTGTCTCTACTAAAAATACAAAAATTAGCTGGGTGTGGGGGTACGCACCTATAGTCCCAGCTACTCGGGAGACTGAGACAGGAGAATCCCCTGAACCTGGGAGGCGGAGGTTGCAGTGAGCTCAGATCATGCCACTGCACTCCAGCCTGGGCGACAGAGCAAGACTCCGTCAAAAAAAAAAAAAAAAAAAAGATTTATGCTGGAAATCTGGAAGGACCCAGGAATATTAGCTCAAAGAGCCATCTTAAGTCCTTTTAGAATAAGGCAGGGTCTGAATTGAAAAGTGAAAATAAAAAATTAGCTCTGGTTTAAAATTGATTGTTAGGTGGAAGAAACAAAAAATCAATTATAAAGGCCACATATTTGTATGATTCTATTTATAGAGAGTGCTCAGAATAGGCAAATCTATAGAGACAGAAAGTAGATTGTTGGTTGCCTAGGGAGGGAGGCAGGGAAGGTGGTAGGGAGGGAGGAAATGGTAGTGACTGCTGATGGGTATGGGAGTTTTTTTTAGGGTCATGAAAATGTTCTAAAATATTGTACGACTCTGTAAATATACTAAAAACCATTGAATTGTTCACTCTAAATGTACAATTGTACATGTGCAAATTTGTACAATTTGTAAAGTTATACAAAATAAATACAAATTTAAACTGTGAATTGCTGGTATGTGAATATCTCAATAAAGCTGTTAATTAATTAATTAATTTATTTAAGACACAGTCTCACTCTGTCGCCCAGGCTGGAGTGCAGTGGCGCAATCTCAGCTCATTGCAGCCTCTGCCTCCCAGGTTCAAGCAATTCTTGTGACTAGCCTCCCACATAGCTGGGATTACAGGCGTGCACCACCACGCCAGGCTAATTTTTATATTTTTAGTAGAGACGAGGTTTTGCCATGTTGGCCAGGCTGGTCTTGAACTTCTGGCCTCAAATGATCAGCCTGCCTCAGCTTCCCAAAATGCTGGGGTTACAGGTGTGAGAAAGCTGTTAAATTAAAAAAAAATCTTAAAAATTTTAAAGAATTTTATTTAAAAAAATCTATGATCCCTCCCACTTGAGAATGTCTAAGTCTAAATTATTCTTAACCTTCATCTTGTGAGATCTTTTCAATGGCAGAAAGATAATATTCACCCCAGGCCAGGAAGTACCATTCCATTTTGCGGGTGAGAAGAGCAAGGCCTATACGTAGAATGTAACAGGGGCTTTTCGTCAGCTGTACTGAAGAGGCCAGTGGAACTTCAGATAGGAGGGGATGAGAAGACAGGAAAGGCTGGTGAGCTGACATTTATAAAGGGAGGAGACTTGACCCTGATTCTGGCAATTCAAAGCAGAAGGAAATGGAAGCTAATCCCAGCTGTAACCCAGCTACTCGGGAGACTGAGGCAGGAGAATCCCCTGAACCCGGGAGGCGGAGGTTGCAGTGAGCTCAGATCATGCCACTGCACTCCAGCCTGGGCGACAGAGCAAGACTCCGTCAAAATAAATAAATAAATAATTAAATATTTAAAATGTTTAAAAATTTTAATTTAATACTTTTCTGTGGCACTTTGGGGCTCAACCAAAGTGCCACAGAAAAGTAGAAGCAGCAGCCTTGGGAAGATTCTGAAGGGTAAGTAGAGAAGGCCTTCAAGATTGAGGAAACAGCATGGGCACCTGGTTTGTGACAGGAATGGCTTGTTAGAGACCAGCAGGTGGTATGGGGAGGCTGGAGTGGGGTGTGTGGAGGGATGGAGAGCATTTGGGCCGGACTGTGGACAGCACAGGATACTACAGTCCTTGCTGATGACTTTGAGTTCATTCTGTGGACCCTGAAGGTCTGGGAGAGGATTTTTTTTTTTTGAGACAGTCTCACTCTGTCACCCAGGCTGGAATGCAATGGCACGATCTCGGCTCACTGCAACCTCTGCTTCCTGAGTTCAAGCAATTCTCCTGCCTCAGGCTCCTGAATAGCTAGGATTACAGGCATGTGCCACCACGCCTGGCTAATTTTTGTATTTTTAGTAGAGAAGGGGTTTCGCCATGTTGTCCAGGCTGGTCTCAAACTCCTGACTTCGTGATCTGCCTGCCTTAGCCTCCCAAAGTGCTGGGATTACAGGCGTGAGCTACCGCGCCCGACTGAGGATTTTTGGGTAGTGATGGACAGATCTGCATAGGGTCTCACAAGGGATTTTATAAGGTGGCAGTTCTTGTATGAAGTTACTGAGCCTCTTAATGGCCAAACTGACTTCAGTGCACAGCCAGGGGCTCAGTTACTTTGGCAGTTGATCTGACCTGAACCATCCATGCCTGCTTTCTTCCCTTTCCTTTCTTTCTTTTTCTCCTTCCTCCATTCATCTTCTCCAATTCTTCCTCCATCCCTTTCCCTTGCTTCCTTCCCCCTTGTCCCCTCCCTGAGCCTTGGGTCTGCCTGGCATGTTCCTGCTGCCCACACTGATTTGGTTGTGCTCTGAGGCAGACCCAGGTAGTTCTGAATTGTGCTTTTCAATCTTCTAGTGGTCTGGGCAGTGTGGCCCCAAATGAGCAGGAAGGGAGGGGTGCCCATCTTCTCTAATGAGTCTGGACCCAAGAAGGCAAGGAAGAAAGAAGGCAGAACAAGGATAGACTTATGAAAAAGGCATTATAGCAACGAGCCACAGGTTGCTGTGGGGCCCAGAAGGGAAGGGTTCTTTTGGGGATGGGTCTGTGTGCATGGGGAGGAGCATCCTGTTTATTTGGTTCAAGCTACTTCACAAGGACATGCCCTGTTAATTCACAGTGCTTTTCCCGAAAGCCTACTAGAACTAGGCCTGGTGAGAGGCCCTGAGAAGGTGTATCCTTTTGTCCAAGAGCATCTGGGAGAAGAGGCCTGCCTGACCCAAGCTGCAGCAAAGACACAAGTCTGTAGGTCCAGATGTGGACTCTACCACTGATTTACAAGTAGGAGTTCCTTAACACTTATGGAGGACCTCTGAGACCGACACGGTGCAAGGCCCTGGGGTACAAAGATAAAAAGCCAGAGTCCTCCCCATCAAGGCGCCACGGGCCCTGTAAACACATAAACCGAGGACACACTGCATGAGAGATCACCAATAAACGATGTAGCCATACAGTGCACAAACTGCTCACTCAGTATGTGCTAGAAAATAGCCCCAGAAGGCAAGGCTCAAGAGGGGAAATACAGTTAGGAATGTGGCAGGCTTCTAGCCCGGGCTCTGCCAGTCCTGGCTCTGAACTGCGGTTTTCTCAACCTTGAGATCCCTTGTGTGCTTTTAGTATGCTGAAGGATCACTCACTTCAGAATGCTAGTGAAAATACAGATTCCCAAGTCCGACCCCACTGAATCACAATGGCTGGAGGTCATTCGGGGCCCCGAATCTGCATTTTCACCCCCACCCACCCCCCGGGCAGCTTTAATGTTGGCAGGCTAGGAACCACAGTTCGGATTACTGCTTAACAGGGAGATAATAACCTGCTTCAGACGAGCTAGGTCAGACGAGCAATTCAAGAGCTAACAAGGCAACATGCGCCAAAAGCCTTGTAAACCTCAGGGCAGTACAATTCTTTGCAAATAATAGTAATTCAATCATGCAAATAATAATAATAGTAAACGAACTGGAGAGCGCACTGGAAACGCCGCATAGTCCAGCTGAGTCGGTGCCACCGCCCCATCCACTCCAGCGCAGAGGGACTGTCTCTTTAAGGACCCCCCACCTCCCCAACCGCGTCGCTTCTCCCTTGGGTACCTGGCCCGGCCGGCGGCGCGTGCGTGCAGGGCCTCCCGGCGGGGCGGTCGCGGCGGCGCGACGCCGGCGCCGTTGCGTGCGCGCCTGGCCCTGCCCCTTTCCCGCCCCTTCCCCGCCCCCTCCCCTCCGCGGGGCCTCCCCCGCCCGCGCGGTACAGCTGGGTCAGTGACGCGGGCGCTGCAGCCGTCGCTACCGCCGCGTTCTATTCTCCGAAGCCGGCGACCGCCCCACCTCCTCCCTCCCTCCCGCCCGCTTCCTCTGCCCACAGCGCCGGCCAGAGCG